>NC_000002.12:240871736-241199684 GCF_000001405.40 Homo sapiens
CCAGGGCCTGTCCCCACCTCACCCCGAGATTGCCAGGACACTAAAGCTGCCTGATGCCCTCCACTTCCCTCCTCCAGCCTCCCTCATCCCCGCATGGGGGTGCACAGGGCAAGGCCTTGAATGGAGTCAGATGGGATTCCTGAGAAATGCGGACAGAGCCCCTTGGGACCCAGCAGTCCCGTCTGCAGGTCTGAGCACAGGACAGAGGAGAGAAACTCCACGGCCAGGGAGGGTCCTTCTGACAGGGCCCCCAGCCCAGACAGCTTGCTGCATGGACCGTGGCCATGAATAAAGCTCACAAACATAACCTGGCCAGCTTCAGCAACACCCAGGCCATCCCCACCTGCGGCCAGCACGAGATACTTTCTGTGTCTCTTTTTTCTTTATAAGAAAACCTGGAGGTGGAGGAGGGTGAGAGTTTGTGAACATGGAGGCGGAGGAGGGTGAGAGTTCGTGAACATGCAGGCGGAGGAGGGTGAGAGTTCGTGAACATGTAGGTGGAGGAGGATAAGAGTTCGTGAACATGCAGGAGGAGGGTGAGAGTTCGTGAACATGCAGGAGGAGGAGGGTGAGAGTTCGTGAACATGGAGGAGGAGGAGGGTGAGAGTTCGTGAACATGCAGGCGGAGGAGGGTGAGAGTTCGTGAACATGCAGGTGGAGGAGGGTGAGAGTTCGTGAACATGCAGGAGGAGGGTGAGAGTTCGTGAACATGCAGGAGGAGGAGGGCGAGAGTTCGTGAACATGGAGGCGGAGGAGGGTGAGAGTTTGTGGCGCTGCTGCTTGGGCTGTTCTGGGACTCTGTCCCCTCTGGCCTAGATTCTGGCCAGTGGCTGGGCCGAGCAGCTGTTGGCAGAGGTAGGCCCAGCCTGGTGCCACCCTGGTCCCTGGGGTCCACACAGGCCCTCAGGCACCCGCTGTCCCTGGGAACCACAGACTGCCCGGCTGACCCTCTTCAGCACCACTGCCGGGCCCTGCAGCTGGGTCTCACCAGGGCCGTGATGCTCCCTCACTCCCCCAGCTCCCTCTGCTCCAATGTTCAGGGCTGAGAAAGGAAGAGCCACAGGTCCTGATGGATCCTGACAGGCAGGAGAAGGCAACTGGCCAACTCCTGGGGTGGAGGTGGGAGGTGCCCTGCCTTCCTTGCCAGCCTGAGGCTCAGAAACCCCATCCAGCCTGGGGCCAGGCCCTCCAGTGGCCCCCTGCCTCACCTGCTGCCCTCCATTCTGTCCCCCACCTCTCCAGGTACAAGTGCCTGCTCCTGGTGGATTCGGTGGCATCCCTGGGCGGGACCCCCCTTTACATGGACCGGCAAGGTAAGGGTGGGCTCTGAGAGCCCTACCCAGCCCAAGCAGCCTTGGGGCTCCGCGTGCAGGAAGCCCTGCTGGAAGCGTGCGTCCAGCAGCCGATGCTGCGGATTCGGCCCCATCTCCACCAGGCCCAGGGAAACACTCACTCCTTACTGCGGCAAGAGCGGCTCCATGAACTACCCAGCACCCCAGTGTTTCCACTGAGCTTTCAGATCCAGGCGTGGGGACTGGCAGGAGGGACAGCTTCTGGTGGGGGACATTTGAGATGCCCCAGAGCTGTAGCAGAAGCAGTGGGAAGAGGAAGGGCCAGGGCTCCAGTCAATCAGGCGTTGGGCACCCCTCTGCCCAACCCCCCAGAGGCTCAGTTTCACATCTGCCCTGCGCCCTGCCAGGCTGCCCATAGCAGTGAGCACCACTGTCAGGGTCACCTCGCAGGGAACCTCAACCAGGCCGGCCGAGGGGCCAAGGAGCCTCCTGTGCCCATCCGCTTACGGGAGAGAGCCTGCACATTGCATCCACTGCGGTGCCTGCCCACCCACTCCATGGGAGCCTGTCTGTTTCTGCAGAGCCCCTCCTGATTTGGGAGTTCTCAGGCAGGAAGGGAGGGATTTCTGGGCTGATCCTCAAACTACTACTGAAAGCAGGGACCTGGGGAGGGCCCCAGGGACACGGTGCCTGGGGTGGCAGGGCTGTCCCTGGGGACCAGCACAGCAGAGGGAGAAGCTGCGCTAAAACGCTCAGGCCTGAGGTCATGGCTGCCACGCAGCAGTGCCCAGATTTGAACCCAGGACTCCCTTCCACATCTCCCCTGCTATCGTGTACGGATTCGTGGTAGGGTCGTAGCCTACCAGCCCATTAGCTAGGCAGGCATCCCGCTGGACTGGCCTGCCCTGAGGTGGGACTCACCCGTCCCGAGCAAACCACCCATCTACAGGCATCGACATCCTGTACTCGGGCTCCCAGAAGGCCCTGAACGCCCCTCCAGGGACCTCGCTCATCTCCTTCAGTGACAAGGCCAAGTGAGTGACCCACAGACCCTCACCTCTGTGCAGGGCTGGGCTTGCAGGGAGCTCAGGTGGCCCGAGGCGGGAGGGGCGGGAGCCAGGCAGGAAGGGCTCCCCATGCTCCTCCAGCACCTGGCGCTCTCCCGCCCACCCTCTGGGAGGCCAAAGGCACTGCGTTCACAGGGAGTGGGGAGGCCGGGCGAGGGGAGGGCTGCAGGCGTGTGCAGGGTGCAGAGTCCACTGCTCTGGAAGTTCCCAGCTTCACAGCAAGGAGTGACCAGGAAAGGACTGAGGGCCTGAGGCCCAGTGCCCTGACCGGCCTCTGCCCTGGCTCAGCTTCCAGGGGCTGCCCCAAGGGACAACGTGGGCCACACACAGTGCCCCCTGCAGTCCCAATCTCACCTCCCGCTCCTGGTGTCCAGATTCTGAGCCAGGCCGGGCAGGGGGTAGGGGAAGGGGGCCAGACCTCACAGGCGGTTCCCATCCAGCTGCAGCCTGGCAACTGGAGGTGCCGTTCCCCAGAACAGAGAGGACTTCGGGGAGAAGTCAGGAATTCGGTGTTGGACGTGGGAGGTCTGAGATGCCAGCTGGACCACACGGGAGGGTGAAGGAAGCGGCTGGGTGTGAGTCAGGAGCCTGGGGAGAGGCCGGGGCTGGCCCCTCCATCTGGAGTTGTAGAGACGGACACATTTAAAGTTTCAAGCCTGGCCAGTGTCCCCTGGGGCCCGAAAGCAGTCACCTTTGGGTGATGTGAGAAATGAAGGCTGACCCTGTAGGAGGGGCTGGGGGAGAGAAAGGGGCACACAGAGTGGAGGGAGCTGGCCTTGGTGCCCCCATGGCAGGGTCACACAGCTGGGCCCAAGGGCCAGCGGGACTGGACAGCTGAGGGACCCACGACCCACCCGGTCCCACTCTGGCCCCTGAGCACAAATGCAGCTGGGGCGGGCCCTCCTGGGGGCCCCACCCCGTCTCACTCCCGTGAAACAGGACAGCCAGCGAGACTGCCCTGGCCTTCAGCCCAAACTGAGAGGCTGGTGCTCAGCCTGCTTCTTTCTCCCCAGAAAGAAGATGTACTCCCGCAAGACGAAGCCCTTCTCCTTCTACCTGGACATCAAGTGGCTGGCCAACTTCTGGGGCTGTGACGACCAGCCCAGGATGTGAGGCCTGGCAGGGATGGGAAGGTGGAGGGCGCTGGGCATGGCTGAGAGGTGGGGCGCTGGCCTCTCACTGCACTCAGGGATTCTCCAAGCCCCCCACCTTCATGCCTCAAGAACCCCAACTAGAGCCCCAGAATCCGCCTGCATCAGGCAGTCAAATGCCCCACCCTGGGTTCCCCCATTCCTCGACTGGCCCGAGGCTCTGGGCAGGGTCATGGCCCCCACTGCCGCTTCCACAAACACTGTCCCCCCAGAGGTCCCAGCACACCCTCGGGCACTTTGGACCTGGCCCTGCCACATCTCCCCACTCCTGGGCCTCAGCTTACCCCTTCTGAAAAGACGACCTTGGCCATAAACCCAAGGCCCCTTATGTTACACACAGGAACAAGGCGCCAGGAATGGTGCCCTAGCCCAGTGGGCACAGAGGGCCAGTGCCGGCTTCGCAGGCACGCTGGGACTGAGGGGCTCCGCAGGGAGGTGGTGGCACGTGTCTCTGCTCCTGCAGCCACCCACTGCCTCCTGGCTGGGCCCTACACAAGCCATGCTCTCCCTGGCAGACGAAGCTGCCTTCCCGGTCCAAAGTTCTGAACCCGGACAGGACTCCTCTGCGGAGGATACCGGCCTGTGGTCAGAGAGCCTGTGCTGTTGGGGCTGGGGCAGACAGAGCTAATGCCCCATCTGCCCCCAACCCTGCCCATGGTGCTGGACCAAGCCCCCTCGTGTCTTCCAGGTACCATCACACAATCCCCGTCATCAGCCTGTACAGCCTGAGAGAGAGCCTGGCCCTCATTGCGGAACAGGTGCATGGGCTGCACTCCACAGGAGGAGACAGGGCCACTGGCTGGATTGTCGAGGGCGCGGCCTGCAGAGAAGGAACCATCCCTGGTGCACAGAGAAAAGGGAGCCTGCCAGAGAGAGGCCCTCAGTGGGGGTGGGGGAGAGAGGACAGGGCCCCGGGTACACTGGCTGCGGGCAGGGCCAGGGGGATACAGCCCCAGGGACAGATGCAGCAATGGGGCAGGTGTGGATGCTCCCAACCCTTCCATTGCTGTGTGAAGCAGTAAGTGAGGCCCAGTGAGTGGGTGGGCTGGGAGAAGGGGAGGCCGAAGGGGCCAGAGATGTGCCCACAGATAGGTGGGCGTGGATGTAAAGTGAGGGTTGGCAGTTCCTGCAGGCTTGTCCAGCTCCTATGGCAGGGCAAGAGCTGAGCATGAGCACTTGGGTGTGACCAGGGGTTGATTTGGCCACTGCAACATCCACACTCTCAGGACACTGCAACATCCACACTCTCAGGACACAGGCGGCTGAGAGTGGCCTCAGGCCCAGCAGCTCTGCAGGCCACGAGACAGGAAGTCCCACCTACTTTCATCTGGGTCCTGTGTCCCACAGGGCCCATTGCCAGCCACCAGTCCAGAGTCCAGGAAGGATCCCCGGGCTGCAGCCAGCTTCCCATGAGGTTGCAAGGCCGTGCCTGCCACGTTTGTCCTCCTGGGTCCACTCATAAAGCCACTGCCTAGGGCTGGGTTAGTGCCAGGGTGCCCCTGTAAGCTAAATGCCACCCGCACCCGCGGGGGAAGGCGAGGGGTCAGGCGCTCACACAGGGAAAGGCTCTAGGGTCGTAAAGGTGGGTGGGGGGTGTGAGCTGGGCAGAGAAGGAAGAGAACAGGACCAGACAGCAGGGCACAGTCAAGGGCAGAGGCACAGGGACCTGGCAGAGTGCAGATTGCAGGGGCACATGCGCAGAGAAGACGGGCCAGGGCCAGAGTAGAGAGCAGCTGCTGCTCCGGGGACCCACCTGGGGTGGCCATGAGAGCTGGTGGCTGGAGGCCGGGAGGACCCGTGACCAGAGGTAATGGCACTGAGGGGCCCAGGGCTGGAGAGACCACCCCTCACCTGTCCAGAGCTGAGGCAGGAGCAGTGCTGCGGAGGATGCCAGGTCGGGGGAGCTGGCCCTGAGAGGAGAGGGGGCCTGGGAGCCAGCACCCTGAGCCCTGGCCCTGATCCACTCCAGCCCTGTGTAGCCCAACAGCCCTTCCCCTCCTTGCCCAGTCCCCTCCCCCTGCAAGGCACTCTCCACTCTTCTCCCCCAGGGGCCACAGGCAGACCTCCCCTCTGTCTCTCTGAACCCTCCTCTGTCTCTCCCAGACCCAGATGTTTCCTTCTGCCCTGGGGTAGTCCCAGGCCCTGCCCCAGGCAAAGTCAAACTGGGGGCTCCAGGGGCTCCCCTGCACCAAGGCCTGCAGAGTCAGGTTCTTCCTCCCGCACCACAGAGGGCGGGGCTTCCTGCCCACCCCACCCATGTCACTGCCCACCAGCGCCATCTCCCACACAGGGCCTGGAGAACAGCTGGCGCCAGCACCGCGAGGCCGCGGCGTATCTGCATGGGCGCCTGCAGGCACTGGGGCTGCAGCTCTTCGTGAAGGACCCGGTAAGGAGGCCCCTGGCATTGGGCAGCCCTGCACCCATGGGGAAGGATGAGGGGCTCTTGCCCAGCCCCCTCAAGAGGGACACTGGCTCCTGAGAAGGAGGGGGCGGCTGCCCGGTGGTGTGGCCTCGGTGCCAGGGATTAGTCTCGGCAGGAGCCACGAAGTCACAGCTCCCGGCCTCTGATGCGGGATCTCAGGACGGCCTGTGATCTCCCAGTGGGAAGGTGCCCATCCACCGCCTCCTAAGGGGTGGGGTCCCTGCTCTCTCCCGGCCCTTTCTCCCCCGGCTCCTCTGGAACCTGAAGCTGGGGCAGATGGTGCAGGCCAAGAGCTGTCACAAAGGCCCGTACAGGGCCTCTCACCCACGCACTGAGCCAGGCCCCTCCTGCAGGCGCTCCGGCTTCCCACAGTCACCACTGTGGCTGTACCCGCTGGCTATGACTGGAGAGACATCGTCAGCTACGTCATAGACCACTTCGACATTGAGATCATGGGTGGCCTTGGGCCCTCCACGGGGAAGGTGAGAGGGAGCGCCTCGAGGGCCTTTTGCAGAAACCAAACCCGCCACCCCTCCTTGAGCAGGACTGTGCACCAGGTGCAGGGGAGGCCGGGGTCATCCGAAAGCCCAGATTGCAGGAGCGTCCAGAAGGGCCCACTCTCCAAGGGGTATCCAGTAAAGCGTATCCTGTCGCCCCTGCTCCCACCCCAGCCCACTGAGGTCACCAGGTGCAGCCTTTATGATTCCACTCGGAACATCCTTCCTTCCCTCTGACCAGACCCTGGAACCAGGCCGGAAGCCCCACGCCTGGGCCTGGCTGTGTCTCTGAGTGGCAGTGGGGAGGGACCTTCACTGCACCACCCTGTCCTCCCGTGTGGCTGCGGGTGCAGAGGGAGGAGAGCCTGCCCTGGCCTGGGTGCTCAAGGGCCCCCTCTGTGACCTGCACAGGGCTGTCAACTCCCCTCATGGACGCTGGGTGGGTGGTCCTCACTCAGGTGAGCCCATCCTGGCTCTGGCCAGCTGTCGGTCAGGGTCAGGCAGGTCCCAGGCGGGAGGCTGACGTCAGCCCGCCCTGTGCCCCCCAGGTGCTGCGGATCGGCCTGCTGGGCTGCAATGCCACCCGCGAGAATGTGGACCGCGTGACGGAGGCCCTGAGGGCGGCCCTGCAGCACTGCCCCAAGAAGAAGCTGTGACCTGCCCACTGGCACACAGCTGGCACTGGCACACACCTGTCCCATGCCCACCCTGAGGGATCAGGAGCAAACAGACCCTGCAAGGTCCTCCAGGCCTGGGGACAGGAAAGCCACTGACCCAGCCCGGGAGGCAGAACCAGGCAGCCTCCCTGGCCCCAGGCAGCCCTTTTCCCTCCAGTGGCACCTCCTGGAAACAGTCCACTTGGGCGCAAAACCCAGTGCCTTCCAAATGAGCTGCAGTCCCCAGGCCATGAGCCTCCCGGGAATGTTTAATAAAGGGCCTGGCCAACTCTCCTCACTGTGTGGGGTGGTCTGTGAAAGAGTGAGAGGAGAGCATCTCTGCTCCCTGAGCTGCCTGATTGTGGACTTTAGGGGGACACTCCTCATCCTGGAGCCCACAGGGTAGATCCTCCCCTGGAGGAGGTGCTGTCACCACACTCTAGCCCCAGATGTCACACCCCCAAACGTCCTCACGCACCACATCCAGGTGAACCCACACGGCGCACAGGGCTGGTTGGAGACCCCTGTCATGGACAAGGGTACCTGCGTGCTGGAGAGCGCACAGCCAGGACCTGAGCCCATGACACGTGGAAGCCTCCAATGGAAGGTCCCCTATGCTCCCATCCAGCCAGTGCCCACCCCTCAACTGCCTGACTTCTGTGACCATAGATCAGCCTGGCATATTTGAATTTATTTATTTATTTTGAAACGGAGTTTCACTCTTGTTGCCCAGGCTGGAGTGCAGTGGCACGATCTCAGCTCACTACAACCTCCGCCTCCCGGGTTCAAGCGATTCTCCTGCCTCAGGCTCCGGATTAGCTGGGACTACAGGTGTGCACCACCATGCCCGGCTAATTTTTGTATTTTTAGTACAGATGGGGTTTCACTATATTGGCCAGGCTGGTCTCGAACTCCTGACCTCAAGTGATCCACCTGCCTCGGCCTCCCAAAGTGCTGGGATTACAAGCGTGAGCCACTGTGCCCAGCCATAGTTGAATTTCATGGTCAGTGGAACACACAGCAGGTCCTCCACTGTGCCAGCTTCTTTCACTTACTGTTTTTGACACTCACATGTACCGTCGTGGGCGCCGGTGTGTCTTTGTTGCTGAGTGCCGTCCCGTCATATGGACGTGCGTCGTGGGCGCCGGTGTGTCTTGTTGCTGAGTGCCGTCCCGTCATATGGACACCTCATGATTTGTTGGTTCATCACCATAGTTGAGCATCTGGGTTATTTCTATTTTGGGGCTGTTATGAATACGGAGGTAGTGAAATTCTTACTCAAGCCTTCGTGTGGCCATATATTTTCATTTTTCTTGGATAAATAACTAGGAGTGGAATTGCAGGGTCATACAATAGGCTTAACCTTATACGAGACTGCCACGAAATTCTCCGAAGTGGCTCTTCCATGTTTCATTCCCGCAGCTACAGCGTCCAGGGTGCTCCACGTCCTCACCCACACTCCATGTTGTCTTTTTTTGCTAGGGGGTGTAAAATCCTGTCTGATTTGGTTTTAGTTTGCATTTCCCTGATGCCTATTGATGTTGAGCAACTTCTCATGAGCTATCGGCCGTTTGTAGATCTTCTGAAAAGTGTCAGTTCAAATATTTTGTTCATATTTGGATTTTTATCTTCTTATTGTCAATGTGTGATCATTTTAAAATATATTCTAGATACTATCAGATACGTGTGGCATGAATATTTCCTCCCTCTCTGTGGCTTACCTGTTCATTTTCTTTTCTTTTTTCTTTCTTTCTTTTTTTTTTTTTTTTTTTTTTTTTGAGAAAGAATCTCACTCCGTCCAGGCTGGAGAGCAGTGGTGTGATCTCAGCTCACTGCAACCTCCACCTCCCGGGTTCAAGAGATTCTCCTGCCTCAGCCTCCCAAGTAGCTGGGATTACAGGCATGCACCACCACACCCGGCTAATTTTTGTGTTTTTTTGTAGAGACGGGGTTTTGCCATGTTGGCCAGGCTGGTCTCAAATTCCTGACCTCAAGTGATCCACCCACCTCAGCCTCCCAAAGTGCTGGGATTACAGGCATGAGCCACCACACCCAGCTTACCTATTCATTTTCTTAATTGTGTCTTTCAAAGAGCAGGTATTTTCAATTTTGGTGAAGTCGTATTTATGAATGAGTTTTTTTCTATGGTCTGGGCTGTTTGTATCTTGTCTAAGAAACCTTTGCCTACTTTGAGGTCTGGACGGTATCTTCCTGTGTTTTCTTCTAGAAACTTTACAGTGTCAGCTTTTGTATTTAGGTCTATGATACACCTCATATTAATTTTGTGCACAGTGTAGAAAGGGGGTCAAGGTTCATTTTTATCCATACTGATATCCCAGTTCCAGTAACGTTTGTTAAACAGACTTTCCTTTCCCCATTGAACTGACTTGACAACTTTGTTAAAAATCAGTTGACTACACATTCATAGGTCTATTTACAGCCTCTCTTCTGTTTCATTGCATCCTCGTGTCAATCCCATGCTGTTGCAAATATTGTAGCTTTACAATAACTCTTGAAATTAAGAACAAGTCCTCCAATGTTTTTCTCCCTTTTAAAGGTTTTTTGTATTCTACATCCTTTGAATTTCTGTGTACGTTTTAGATTCATGTTGTCTATTTCTTCAGAATAGCTTGCTGAAATTTTGGTAGGAACTGCACCAAATCTATATATCAAGTTAAGGAAAATGGAAATAAAGTATAAATTCCATTTCACAAACAGAAATGTAAGTATTTTAAAATTACTTTCAGCAATGTTTCTAGTTTTCAACATACAGCAAAGTGGGAGGGGGTTATTTAAGGAAAGCCAGGAACCCAGGAACAGGAAAGCCACTGATCCAGCCCAGGAGGCAGGACCAGGCAGCCTCCCCGGCCCCCAGCGGCCCTTCTCCCTCCAAGTAGAACCTCCTGGAAACAGCCCACTTGGGCGTAGATCTTTTGTTAGATTTATTCCTAGGTGTTTGATCTTGTTGATGCTGTTATAAATGGCATTTGAAAATTTTCATTTCCAGTTGTTTATTTTTTAATATATAATCTCATTTTTTTCTATATTAATTTTGTATCTTCTGACCTTCCTAAATTCACAAGGCCTAGTAGCTTCTTTGTAGATTCCTTTAAATTTTCTAAGTAGATAATCAAACTCTCTGTGACTAATGAGAGTTGTACATCTTCTGCCTTTTATGTACTTTTTCTTGCTTCATTGCAACGGTGTAGGCCACAAATACAGTGCTGAATCTCAGTGATGAGTGTGCACCTTCTCGCCTTGGAGACGTGTTTAATGTCTCAGCGTCAGGCTGACGGCAGCAGTGGGGTTTCTGCAGCTGCCCTGCTCTCACAGGCAGGAAGTCCCCACCTGTCCTAGTTTGCAGAGGGTATTTATCACTAACAGCTGTTGTATTTTGTCAAATACCTTTTCTGCCTATGGTGAGATGATCATAAAGTTATGTTTCTATATTCTACGGATGTGCTGTTTTGTTGACTGACCTCTTATTTTCTCGTAATATATTTGTCAGGTTTTGATAGCAAGGTTACATTGGTCTTGTAAAGTGGTTTGGACAGTATTTTCTTTTCCTTTATTTATCAATTAAATTTGTCTAGAATAGGGACTATTTTTTTTTTCCTTATATTTTGGTAGAATTGTCCAGTGAAGCTTTATGGGACAGGAGCTTTCTTTATGGGAAGGATTTTTTTAATGACTTCTAATGTTTTCATAGACATAGAGTTCTTTAGATTTTTGTCTCTCTCTTTGTGCCCGTTTTGGTAATTTGTGTTACCCAGAGCATGCTTGATTCCAAGTTGTTGAATGTGTTGGCATAAAATCATCCATAATATCCCTTTATTATCCTTTAATGCTTACGGGCTCTCTATTGATTTCCCTGTTTCATTCCTGGTATTGGTAATTTATATTTTCTCCTTTTTTTTCTCCCATTGATCAGTCTTGCTAGGGGGTTACTGATTTTATTAGTCTCTCCAAAAAAGCGACATTTACCATCATTTTCTCAATTGTTTGCTTTGTATTGATTTCCACTCTTATTGTTCCTTTTATTTTACTTCCTTTGGTTTTAATTTGCTCCTCTTTTTCTAGCTTCCTATGGTAGAAGCTTAATTGATTTTAAACATTTATTTGTTTTCTAGTATGAGCATTTAAAGCTAAACATTTCCCTCTGAGCGCCTTCTTCACTGCATCTCCCAAATTTTAATCAATGGTGTTTTTGGAATCACTCAGATCAAAATATTTTATAATTTCCTTGTGATTTATTCTTTGAACCACAGACTATTTAGACTTATACTGTGTAATGTTCAGATATTTGGTGGATATTCTAAATGTATTTTTGTTTTTTATTTCAAATTTATGTCTGTTGTGGTCAGAGCTCATACTGTATATGGACTTCAGTATTTTGAACATGTACTGAGAGTCTGTTTTATAAACTAGCAGCAGTCTCGGTGACTATCCCATGGACACGAGATGAACGTGTCTTCGTCATTGTCAGGTGTGAGCTTCTACAGATCCTCAGGTCCGCCTGGATGACAGCATTGTTCAAGTCTTCTTTGTATCACTGGGGTTTTGTTGTTGTTGTTTGTTTTGTTTTGGTTTTTTGCCTGCTTTTTCTATGAAGTACTGAGAGTGGGGTGTTCAGTTCTCCCAGCATGAATGTGGTCTTGTCTCCTTCTCCCTTTATGCATTCATCTTCATGATTTTGAAGGTCTGTTGTTAGGATTGTTACACCTTCTTGATGAACTGACTATTTTTATCATTGTGAAATATCGCCCCTTACCTCTGGTAATACTCTTTGTCTTAATGTTTGTGTGTTTTCTTTCCTTGGGCCACTTGTCTCTCCATACAAAAGAGATGAACGATTTCTATTTCTTTTCTTTTCTTTTCTTTTCTTTTCTTTTTTTGAGACGGAGTTTCGCTCTTGTTGCCCAGGCTGGAGTGCAATGGTGGGATCTCGGCTTACCGCAACCTCCACCTCCCAGGTTCAAGCAATTCTCCTGCCTCAGCCTCCCGAGTAGCTGGGATTACAGGCACCTGCCACCATGCCCGGCTAATTTTTTGTATTTTTAGTAGAGACGGGGTTTTACCATGTTGGCCAGGCTGGTCTCGAACTCCTGACCTCAGGTGATCCACCCACCCCGGCCTCCCAAAGTGCTGGGATTACAGATGTGAGCCACCGCGCCTGGCCCAGTTTCTATTTCTTGATACTCTGCCCATGCGGAGGATTTTCCCTCACCACTCTCTTCTAGGAACCCTGAGTTGGGAAAGTCCATTTTGGTTCGCACCAAAAGACCAAGCCATCATATCCATGAACCAGGCTCAAGATTTTCTTCCTCGGTCATCTAGTCCCAGGGAACCCTCTCAAGGCGATTATGTGTGAGGTTAAAGGAGAGGCACAGGTGCACGTAGGTGATGATAGGGTGACCCAGGCCATTGTTCATCTAACTGACTTGTTTCCACCCACCCTGCTTGGCCTGGCCCTGAAGAGGCCATGTCCATGTACAATGGATTGCTGTTGCACCACCACTGCCACCCCCAAACTTAGGACCCCATAACATTCAGCTCATGGTGGGCAGCTCAGGTCACACAGTTACTTGGTGTCCCCTGGCCAGGGGCCCAGTGTCACACCAAATGCTGCTTTTGAACAGTGAGTACTTCTCTGCTGCAGACAATTTGCTCTCGTTCCAGGACTTCACCTCCTCTTTTGGGGTTTGCCAGAGATGCCACATGGTGCCCCTTTCTACTGCAGATACCATTGGCACCATGGTGGTATCATAGCGTGAATCTACTCAAGAACCTGCCTGTGCCCTGGCCCCACTCAGAACCAACAGCCTTCTGAGTCCCCCAGCAAATGGACATTTCCAAGTGAGGTGCATGCAGCCTCCAAAATCCAATGAGGCCCACACAGCACCATGCCTGTTCTTCACAGTAGGTGGGGCAAGGTACAAAAACTTCCCCTTTACCTTGGAAGCAATGTCTCAGCATGCCCCAGACCACTGAGCCTCTAAAGTCTTAATCTCTGGGCCAGGCCCTGAGACTGTAAAGTTTGTCTCCCACCCTCTGGAATGAATGGTCTTAGAAGGCATCCAAAGAACTTTCCAGTCAATCCTCTCCAGTTCGAATTGGCATGATGTCATCAATACAGTGAACCAGCGTAATATTCTATAGACCATCCAGGTGATGAAGGCCCATTAGGCCTACATTGTGACAGAGAAGAGAGGGTTAACATCAGTCTGGGCCAGACAGTGAACTTATAATGTTATCTCTTCCAAGTGAATGCAAACCGTGTCTGAGCCTCCCCTCTGATGGGGATTGGAAAGAATGCCTTTCTCCCAGGCCAGTGACCACATACAAGTTCCAGAGGCCCTGCTGTCCTGTTGTACTAAGGATACCACGTCTAGCACAGCACCTGGACTACGGGTTACAGCTTGGTTAAGTTTATGTAACCCACTACCATTCACCATAATCCATCTGGCTTCTACTGGGGCCATATTGGTGAATTAAAGTCTCTGAAAGTAGAACTAAATTCCGTTAGTACACCCAGGATGTGGTATGTTTTGCTGGGTTATCTTGGCCATGGGAATAGGGATGATTTTGCAATAAACTTCCCCTTGGCCCTTCCTGCTATTCCAGCTCTTACTCCTGCAATGTACAGCCACCCTGCTTCACAATCAAATGCCAAGGGGATGGCCACAGGGTGGGCCTGGCCCTTCGGTTCCATTATGAATCAGATGTGAACCAAGATTCTGCTTCTACCAGCCCCCATTCTAATGGGGGAGGAGTGATGGCATTTTGTGTCCCCTTTTGTGTGTGTCAGCTCAGGCCCTGGATCTTGCAGCCTTCAAGGGGCCTGGGCATCTCCTGTCGTGAGTCTGTGCTTCCTCTGGCAGATGGCCAGAGGTCCCTTTCAAGGAGGCTCCAGGGAGCTGCTGCTGCATGAATTGCAGGTCCCCTCCAAGAGCCAAAGGTGTGAGCTGTGGCTCAGGCACTGAGGGGTCAATGCCCCTGAGAGGCCAAAGATGGAGAATAGGAAATGTCCAATGGGCAGGACCCATGCAGGTCATGGGCTGCAGGCAGGCAGTGCTGGGCTGATGAGAGAATGTGAGTTGTGGGCACAAAGAATGGTAAGGACAGAGTGGGGGTGGCATCAGATGCCAGGAGAGGACACCTTACATCAGAGAGGGGGGATGTTTAGTAGGTTCTTGTACTGCTGTAGACAACTACCTGAGACTGGGTAATGAATAAAGAGGTTTAATTGACTCACAGTCCCGCAGGCTATACAGGAAGCATGGCTGGGAGGCCTCAGGAAACTGACAATCATGGTGGAAGGTGAAGGAGAAGGAGGCATATCTTACATGGCCGGAGAAAGAGGAAGAGAGCAAAAGGAGAGGGGGAGGGGCCACACACTCAAAAAACCAGATCTCATGAGAACTCACTCACTATCATGAGAACAGTAAGGGAGAAATCCACCCCCATGATCCAATCACCTCCCACTGGGCCCCTCCTCCAACACTGGGGATTACAAGTCTACCTGAGACTTGGGTGGGGACACAGATCCAATTCTACCTGAGATTTGGGTGGGGATACAGATACAATCCATATCAGGGGCCACTTCCACGGGGACGGGAAGAAGCAGATGGGAGTAGTCCTGGGCAGGTGGGCTCATGGCTGTGTGTGCACCCTCAGTTGGCTTTAGTTTGCTCTAAGAACGAGGTAGGAGGTGGGGATGCCTGGGGAAGGGGGTCATTCACAGAGAATGGAGAAGACTCAAAATTATCCATCAGCACATGAGCCTTTTCTACTTCTAGGGGAAATATTTTCCACACTGATATACAAAAAGTGGACAGTACCCTTTCTGCTGTGTATACCCAGCACATTCATTTTTTCAAAACCAAATATACAGCATTTCGTCACCAAGGAATGGCATACAGTGCAGGCAGGGCCAAGTCCTCAGCTCCAGGTCTCCTGCCGATGCTGTTTGCTTGACAACACCACGTGGCTGGGTCAACATGCACCACATGGAGAGCTTGGCACCTGCATCCAGGCCCTGACCCAGGGAGGAGGTGCTCCAAGAGGCCTGCCCTGCCCCACCAGGCACTGAAAGACTCTCAGAGGCCACTGCTGGGGACAAAATCCCTCCACTACCCCCTCAAGGAGAAGCCCGTTTCTTCTTCCAAACATCCCAGGAGCCTCCCATGGTGCAGTGCAGAGTCTGTTGGGGAGCCAAGAACAGGTGGCTGAGACCAGGTGGCCCAGCTCAGCTCTCCTCGCCTCCCAGAGTCCTGGTCTTCTGGAAGATGCTCTGCATGGCAGAGATCCGGTCCTTATCCTGGATGTTGAAGACCTGGAACTACAGGCAGGGTTGCAGGGGAGAAGGGTTACAGGGACCCCTGGAGCCCATGATAAGCTCTCAGGGCCGAGAGCACAGCGTGGAACAACTGGCCCTCCCTGGGCCATGCCGGGCCTTCCTGCCCCGGGTATCTGCCTGGACAGGCATCCTAGAGGCGGAGCGGCCCCAGCCTCTGCTGCTCCCTGAGCCCCTCCTCACACACGGCGTCCCTGGCATGGGCCTACACTGAGGAGGAGGCCCCACACGGTGCTGCTTGAAGGCTGCCTCCGGTGACCACCCCACCCTCACCGCACCCTGCCCACACAGGTCTGCTGAGAGCACAGAGCATGGCCTTTGCCCCCTAATCTGCAGGCTCTGGGGTAAAAATTCTTAAGTGTTGGGCATGAGGGGAGGCCCCAGGAGGCCATCAGCATCTCAACAGGCGGAAGTTTGCTAAATTAGGATAGGAGATGCCCAGCAGAGGGTGGCTACCCTGGGGCCTCACTGCCACTAGGACACAGGAGAGGGTGGCTGAGAAACCCCTGTTTGTGCCCTGGAAGGAGATTGTGTTTGCTCCTGGGATGAGGGTGAGGGCCGGGCCCTGGGCGAGGAGCAGGGTGGACTCCAGGCAGGCTCAGCAGAGGTGGCAGAGCCTGGGCCACAGGGAGGGGCAGTTGGTGGAGCCTCCAGGCACCCACGAGAAGTGGCCCAGGGGACACAGGGTCCCAAGGAGCACGGCTGTGGATTCTTGAGTCCAGGGAGAAAAAAATGGTCCCTCTGGGGCCCAGGTAAGGCCATATCCCTTCATGAGGAATGGAACTCCAGGGTGGGCAGCTGGGGCTCTGAGCATTTACCAAGTGTGAGCTGGGGGGCAATTCTGGTGGGAAACAGAAGCAGGGTCAGACCCACTGCCCTGGTTCCAGGGAGAAGCCCCAGGCCCTGTGAGGCCACCAGTGAGGGGACCCCCACGGCCCGTGTGACCCCCAGACATCACATGTCCCCGCAGACGCTCTCCATCCGAGCCCTGACCTGGCCTCAGCATTCCTGGGGCTGCTGACCTGGGAGAGAATGGGCAGGGAGCCAGGCCAGGGCTCCATTCCACCCTCCCATGCCCCCGGGCCTGCCCAAGGCCCCCGCAGCCAGCACCCACCTTGTCCAGCAGGACGTCGAAGTAGGCAGTGGCCCAGTAAGTGGGGTCACTGGCTGGCAGCTGCAGGAGCGCCTTGAGCCCGGAGCCGATGCGCGGCGGGGGGCTGCGGCCCAGGTGGGTGGCGTGGATGCGCAGGGCCGCCTCGGGCTGGCTGGCGAAGCCCTCCACGCGCTGGTAGATGGCACCAAGGTCCAGGCCGCTGCCCTGCAGCAGGTTGCGCTGCGGGTGGAGGAAGTGGGGCAGCTTCCGCGTGGCCAGGCAACAGAGCAGCACCACCAGCAGGCGGTACACGGCGCCCTGCAGTTCTGCCCAGTCCTCGGGCGCCAGGAAGAGCACAGAGGCCCACAGCAGCACCATCTGCAGGACAGCAGGGTCAGCCCTGGCCTCCTGGCCCACCCGGCCCACCCTGTGCTCCCACCCTGCGCTCCCACCCTCACCCTGGCTGCCCCTCCCTGCTCCTACCCACACCTCTTCCTACCCTGTGCCCTCCCCTCCACGTCCCAGTCGGAGTCCCAGGCCCCTCCCACCCGCTGCCCCCAGCCTGCTGGCTCCCGAAGGCATGAACCCCTCTCTCTCCTCCCCTGCCTGGCTCTGGCCCTCGCACCCCACCCCAGCTCCTCCTTTCACCCCCCAGGACCTCCCTTGGGGGCCTCTGCAGCTCCCAGCATCCTCTGGGCCTTTCTCTCCTTCCCTCCGCCCCTTTGAGCTCCTACTCACCCCCTGCAGCCCAACCCAACGGGCCCATGGCATTGTCACAGTCCTAGCCTGTGTGCTCATGACCCCTGGCCTGAACCACAAGACCTGAGCTGCCTGCGGCCGTTCCAGACACCCTTACCCTCCATCCTGCCCCAGGCCCTGTCTCACAGGCCCTGTCTCACAGCGGCTTTTCAAACCCTCTTCTCCCATGGCCTCTCACCCTGCAGTTGAGTTTGGGGCTTGGGAACCACCATGCATCCAACCTCAAGGGGGGCTGGAAGCTCCAGGTCAGGTGGGGGCCTGAGAGGGCATGGCCAGAGGTCACCTAGGGACTCCGGACACCAGGAGGGGCACCTCTCCCTCAACACTGAGCCAGGTGGAGGGGCCAGCCCCATCTGTGGAGCAGCGCCCGGCTGGCCACACACTCCAGGAAGGGGCCAGCCGAGCAGACCCCAAGACAGCACAGCCCCCACCTGCTTCCTCGGGGTTGGGGTGGGTTGGAATCCCTGGCCCCTGCCTGTTCCTTGTTCTTCTCAGCATCTGATGTTACAAAGCCCCAGAAGGACAGGGTTCTGCAGAATGTCACTGTGGCCCAGGAAGCAGAGAGAAGGGTGTGCCTGGACTCTCCTGGGAACCCCCAGAGGGAGGTGTCCCAGCCAGGTGACATTCCCAGACACTGGGAGGAGGCTGGCTGGGCGGGAACACTGGGCTCTGTGAGGCCCCACCCTGAGATTCTACCCAACAGTGTCCCAGGGCCAGGAGGGCCTCCGAGGTCACGGCCTAGGGATGGCGAAGGCCAGCCTGCGGCACCACGGCACCCGCGGCCACATTCCCTTGACCCTCAGGAGCCACGGCCTCACCTCCTCAGAACCTGGGCAGGCCCTCAGAATCCCCCCAACTCCGACTTGGGACTCATAGCAGCTGCCTGCCAGTCAGGGCTGGCAGGAGGGACACGCCTGGGTGCACCTACCCCTGGGCCCTGGTGACAGACAACCCGCCGAGTCCCGCCCTGGGTACCTTCAGGTGGCCAAAGGTCAGGCCGTCAGTCTGGCCACTGTCACGCCAGCTCTCGTGGTTGACCCGGTCGAGGATGGAGAGGCTGTCCAGGCGATGACCCTGCAGGGAGCCCAGCTCCCCCAGCAGCCTCGTGAGCAGGTAGTCAGTGGAGGTCCTGGGGCCCAGACAGACGCACTGGGTCAGCCCCCGCCGCTGTTGGCCCCCAGCATGGGGAGCTTCTGAGCCCCGGAGGTTCGGGCCCTGGCCAGGGTCGTGCTGTGCTGCGTCTGCTGGTGGGACCCAGCCGGAACCCAGGCTTCTCGGGAGCTGCTGTCATCGGCTGTGCAGTGTGCACGCCTGCTTTTCGTGGAGACTCCCTGGCCCTGAATACGGAGGGATGTAGGAGCCTCCAGGCCAGTCCGGCCCTTTGTGTAGACAGGAAGGTGCCTCTCAGACCTGCCCAGGTTGGAACCACTCAGCCCGGGGGTGTGACAGCTCCACTCATGGCCCCTTCAGGAAGCCCAGGGCGGCAGCCTCCAGGGGTGGCCGCATGATGGGCTCAGAATCTCTGCTCCACACCCCAGCCCCGCCTATGCCCACAGCTCAGAGCAGCTCACACCAGATGACTTGCTGCGTGCATGCTGGATGGGCTGAGGTGGTGGAGCCTTGGCAATGCACCCTCATGGGCCCACCCTTCAAGGAGCCACAACAGGGGCCAGTAACGCGCCCAGTGTCCCCCGCAAGCCTACAGGATGTGGGGCACCAAAAATGTCATTTTCCCATTTACTTGCAAAAATGATTCTGCCCAGCCCAGCCCTTCCCCTTCCTTGGCAGGCGGGCAGGTAGTTTATTCCACAAGCTTGGACGCCGCCCCTGCCTCGCGTGAAGGGGTCAGAGGCAATGCAGGGCAGGTGACTGGCGCTCCGCTGAGCCTTTCCTTGCAGGGGAAAACCACAGGAGGGACATAACCAGCTTTGCAAAGCCCTCCACTGACGAGCGTGGATTCAACCATCCTTCCAGCAAGTGAGGCGGGGTGAGCCACCCTGAGGGGCTGTTGCAGTGGTGTCAGATCTGGATGGGGTGCGGTCCCTGGCCATTGGCTAGGGGTCTCCAGGGGAGCTCAGCCTGTGCCCAGTGCCCCTCTCCTTCCTCTCACAGACATCAATGTGGACGCACCCCCACTGTGTGGGAACCCTCTCAGCTTCTCTGGGAACCCACCTGCCTGGACAGGTTGCCTGACCTCTCAGCTATTTTCCTGCCCCAAGCAAAAGCTGGGTAGTGAAAGGTCTGGTCTAGGGCAGCCATCCACAATTCCAGGTCTCTCATCACCCAGTGTCAGATGCCACCAGGCCCCTTTCCACTAGGGAGAGGACACATTTCCACCCTCCCTACAGCCAGAGACCCCAGTAATCTCAGTGGAACACACATGCCCATGGGGGCAGAGGCAGACGGAGGACCCTGCAGATCCTCCTGGCTGGGGCCAGGGGAGCATGGGGGCAGTGGCCCCTTCCTGCCCCCTCCCCAAGAACCTTGTGACCAGGAGGGTGCGCCTACCTCCAGAGCTGGGCGCTGGCCGGCACCAGGTCCACCCCTTGGCTGAGGATCCTTCTCAAGCTGCCCTCAGGGAATCCGGGCATCTGCTGCACCCCCTCCAGGGCAGGCGCCCCAAGCTTCCTTCTCACCACGGGCACCACGTGGAAGCTGATTGTTCTCCAGCCGCTGGACACCAGCAAGGACAGGTGGAGCTGCTCCTCCCTCAGGCTGGCCGCGTTCAGCGAACCTGCAAAGACCCAAGTCACGCCGGCCCCTCGACTTGCCTCACCTGCCCAGGACACTCCACAGCCCTCCTCCTGCTGCCAACTTGGCCCCTGCCCCTCATCACCTCTCACCTGCAGCCCTCTCTGCTGGCCCCCACCTGCAGGCTGCAGCTCCCCAACCCCAGACACCTGTGTCCATCCCTGGACCTCAGCCAAGTGAGGAGCTGGCCACCATGCCTGCCCAATGGTGACAGTCCTCGGCACAACTGTCAGCTCAGCGACTTGCAGCACCAGTGATGACAGCAGCGTCCTACATGAGGTTTTCCTTTGCCAGGCACCACCCTCACCCCACACCCCAGGACCACGCCTGCTGTGCCTTCCCAGGCCTTCCTGAGCCTGCTCACTCTGCCCCAGCCCTGGGGCCAAAGTCCCAGCCCTCAGCTAGCCCCCTACCTCCTGACGATGGCCCTGGCATCTCTGCTGCCTTCTCTGCAGGGGAGGAGGCAGCAGCAGTCCAGGCTGGGGCCACAGGGCTCCCACTCCAGAGCTGGAGAGGGTGGAGCGAAGCTAGGCCTTTCCTCCCCAGAACTCACCTCCTCCTCCCCCCTGCCCCCTGCCCCCTGCCCCTGCCCCTGGAAGCTTCCCTGAGAGCCCCCTGCCACTCAAATCAACTGCATGCATGGGAAGCCCATGTTGGATCCAGCTAGGGGACCAGTCTACATGATGGGGGCAGCTGGGGAGAGAGGGACAGGCCCAGGCTGAGGCTCAGTTCCCATGGAGAGAAGAGGCGGCGGCAGCTGCCAGTAGTGGAGAGCCAGCTCGGCCACCGCCGTTTCTGGGCTGCCCAGGCCAGCAGGCTCACAGTGACGGAGCTCAGCCACCCCCGTTTCTGGGCTGCCCAGGCCAGCAGGCTCACAGTGACGGAGCTCAGCCACTATTCCTGACCAGGTCTGGATCCTACACTTCCCAGAGAGCCCTTGCCCGAGAGCCCCATGGCCCCTGTCCCCCACAGGAGGCACATTCTGACCAAGAGGTTTCCCACTCCCTCCCCTCCTCGGACCCCACCCGGGACCCAGCCCAGTGCCCACTTCACTAACACAGAGCCCAGAGTCCCTGGAGGGCCTGTTCCAGGGTGTAATGGGGCTGGAGCTGGGGCTGGGGGCATTCTGGTGAGTCCAGGGGCCCTCTGGCCTCTGCCTCAGTTGCCCTACCCCCCCAAAAACAAATTAATATCCGAGAATGAAGAGGTGAGGTGTCACTCAGGGTGACTGCAGACACCCACACGGCCCCCGCCTGACACTGGCCCAGGGACCGGAGGAGAGGCCGCCCCTCCCCTCCCCAGTACTGTCCAGCCAGGGTGCCCAGGTCACAGGGAGCTGGGCCCAGGCAGCATGCTGGCGTTTCCCCGAGGGAATCCTGGCATGTGCCTTGGGAAAGGTCCCCATCATGAGCGAGCATGGGGCCTGCCTTCCCACCATCCCACCGCCCCAGGGTCCTTCCGGAGGGAGCCTGGTCCTGGCTGTGTGGACCCCTCAGCCCCCACAATCTCCCGTGGGGCAGTTCTGGGGACGCCTCTGGGGCCCACCTCAGGGCAACCCTGGCCCTGCTGCCTGGGCGGCCCATCCCACAGGGGCCTCAGTTCCCATCAATGAAAGAGAAGGAGGGCCCCCCCATGCAGCACTTGAGGTGCCTGCCATTCAGAGCCGCCTCTAGTGGCCACACACCTCATCTGCCGTGGGCCACGCACGCTCACTGCCCGTGACCTGGCAGCTTGGAAGGCAGCTGCAACTGCACCAGCCCGGCCACAGGCCACAGCCCCGGGCTGGTCTCACCGGTTCCCAGGGTGGGGGCAGCCTGACCCCTGTCACCTAGGCTGCCACTTCCCCTTTAAGGTGAGTGTCAGGAAACGATGCCTGGAATCTCCCTGCATGCCCAGCCCAGCGCAGCTTCAGGGGCTGTGGGCGCGGCCTGCAGTATCGAGTCTGCTTTCTCAGGAGGCACTCTGGGGGCGTGAGGAGCCTGGCGGCTTAGAGCAAATCCGAATGACTCAGGGCCTGGCACGGCCTCCTGCTCACCCCAATGGGTGGGCCTGTCTCACAGGTGGGGACAGGGCCAAGTGAGGTCGGGAAGAAGATAGAAATACCCACCCCATGGCCTGCATGATTAGAGGTTCAGAAGATGCTGGAGCAGGAAGCCCGAGGGGCTGGGGGCAGGGTGAGGGCTGGCTGGGAGCACCAGAAGCTGACACCCCAGAGGTCAGGTCAGTCACTTACCCCAGGGCACTAGACAGGTCTGGGGAGGGCTTCTGTTAGAATCCACCCTCCTGGCCTCCCAGCATGCAGACTGGAGGCCTGGCTATGTGCGGCGGTGGCAGCACACCCTTCCCCAGAACCCACAGGAGGTGCCCCTGCCTCCAGGCAGGCCCCAGCGCCGGGCATCCCCAAGCAGATCATGGCCTCTCGCGAAGGTGAGCTGACCCCACCCGCTGACCTCACGGAGGACATGAGGGTCAGATGAATACTAGGGAGGTGACTCGAGGCAACAAAGCCCTGTGAGGACTGTGGTGACTCACATGTGACAAATTCTGTTCCAGTCCCCAGTTCCCTTCCAGGACAACCTGACCCCCTGGAGGATGGCTGTACCACTCAGGGTCCCCATCATCCTGGCCCCTGCACAGGCTGAGCCCTGTCCTCCCAGCGACCGTCGCCGTCCAGGCAGCCCCTGCTGAAGGAGCCCTGGGCTCAGACTCACCCTGGACCATATCAACAAGGCCCCAAAGGTGGGCCTGGTGCTGTGGCTCACACCTGTAATCCCAGCACTTTGAGAGGCCCAGGTGGGCGGATCATCTGAAGTCAGAAGTTCGAGACCAGCCTGGCCAACATGGTGAAACCCTGTCTCTACTAAAAATACAAAAATTAGCTAGGCGTGGTAGCCCATGCCTGTAATCCCAGCTACTCAGGATTCTGAGGCAGGAGAATCGCTTGAACCCAGGAGGCGGAGTGAGCCAAGATCGTGCCATTGCACTCCAGCCTGGGTGACAGAGTGAGACTCAGTCTCACAAACAAACAAACAAAAGGCCCCAGAGGAGAGACTGAGGCCAGCCCCTGGTCCACGCAGAAGCCCAGCCTCAGAGCCCACTTGGGGCTCAAGACACCAATAGACAACTCAGCCATAAGCTGATAAGACACGGGCACACACCTGCACACGCATTCACACCCCTGCACTCACGCGCACGCAGGCAGGCACACACACACCCCTCCCACCTGGTGCAACATCATCAGACACTGGAAGTGGGCACGGGATGGCCTCGGGGAGCCTCGAGGTCACAGGCTGTGACTGGCAAGAGAGCCGCCTGCCCAGAGCCGTGTGAGGGACCCTCCTGCAAGGCCACCAGTGAAGCAGCTGCCCCAGACTCCAGCCACTGGACGACTGGCAGCCGTGGAACCCCCGTGCAAACACACACGACACGGAACACGTCATCTGTCTTGTTACAGGCATTTGGAGCTGGAAGACCTAAGTGAGGTCTCCCGACTTCTGTGCCCCAACACACTGTTCACACTTGCACAGTGTCACACACGTGCACACATGCCTGTGCGTGCAGTCACACACAGAAGACAGTCGCCACCCTGTGTGCACGTACATGGCAATCACACACATGTGCACTCACACACTTGCACACAGACACCCACACAGCAGCCCCTCGGTACACGCAGATACGCGTGCAGAGTGGGCTGTGCCTGTACCTGGTGCGATGAGACTGTGGTGCTTGCAGTGTACGATGGCTGCTACCAGCAGGTCCTTGAGGACACACAGGACCTTGCTGGGCACAATGTGTCCACGGCACTTGGCGTCACCCTCCGAGGAGGCAGTGAAGGTATCCTCGGTGGTCCACCGCTCCAGGCCAGCCCCTTCCCTGGGCACACCCAGGTGGCATAATTCAAGGCCATCCTCCGGCTGGGTGGCCTCTGGTTCCTCAATCAGTAGAGCCTCGGCATCCACCCACAGGGGCACCTCCATGTCCATTGGGTCCTCAGAGGAGCGCAGGGCGAACTGGAAGGCCTCCAGGCCACGGGAGTAGTCCACGATGAAGCGGGGGTCCAGGGCATGCACGCGCTCCAGCACCGTGAGCAGCACGTTCTCTGCGCGCTGGAAGTCCTGGGCACGCGGCGCCTCCCGGGACCGGATGGCCTGCAGGTAGTGGTGCCACAGGGGCACCTGCACGGCCATGGCTGAGGTGGGGAGAGCAGGGGCAGGCATCCCTTCAACAGTGGCAGGTGAGGGCCAGTGGCCCCTGAGGAGGACTCCGCAGGCCAGCTGTGCAGATGGGCTGTGAGGAGGCACCTGCCCAGGTGAGCAGCAGGTCTGCAGGTGGGGCCTCAGCTCCCACACAGCAGAATTCCAGAGTGACAGCACAGTGTGGCAGGTGAAATAGCTGAACTATTTAAGGCCTTTGAAGTGGGGGTGAGTCAGTCCCCAGCAATTGGGAATGTCACAGGGGCCATGCAGGGCAGGCGGGGGCTGGGTTTGGTTACCACCCTCCTCCCTCCCTTCAGAAGAGCTCTCTCATCTTAGGCCCAAGGCACGGCCCCTGTCCCAGCCAGGCTTGGGGTCCCTGGAGAAATATTGCCGCTGGACTGTGCCGTCCCTGGGATGGGAGCCTCTGTGTGTTGCTGATGGGCCTCCTTCCACCCTCCTCCCCACAGCCCAGGGGCCGGGTATCTGGATCAGGCCCCCCTGCCCCAGCCTCCCTGCCAGGTTGGAGGGAACACAAGGCACCCCGTGGCTCAGTGAGGAAGGGGAGGCAGGGCGGTGGCTGCCCAGACCCCGCTGTGGGGGAGCCCCCGACTCTCTAAGGCTGCCTGGAAGGCTGGGAACCTGGAGGCTGCGTCTCTGCAATGTTCCCCTCAGACACCTGTGCCCGGCTTACAGGCTGCAGTCCTGGCATGGCTCCTGCCTCTGCCCCAGCTGTGCATCCAGCCATCTGGGCCCTGGACCCCTGGGCTACCAGTCCCCACCCCACCCCACCCCACCCTGCCCAGCCTCCAACCTGAGAGGAGCTGGCACCCACCTAGCCTGGGAGCTGGAGCTCGTCTGGTTCTGGAGAAAAGCAGTCTCCGTGGCTCCACCTCACCCAGGTGGAGAAACTCGCCCCACCATCCCCCTCCAGCACCTGCACCAGGTACCCTGCCAGCCCCGCCCCCCTCCCCTGCTCAGGGCCGTGCAAGTCCCAACCAGCAGGGAGCCGCCCCATCGACCCTTGGCCCTGCCAGCTGGCCGAGTGCATCGGGTGCTCAGCCACAGGGGTGTCTGCAAACAGTGAACATGGAGATGGCCCCACAGGGGCGTCGTGGAGATGCTGCCCCTGTAGCCACCGCACGTGGGCCTCTCACCCCCCGGGGAGCTGCATCTGAGTCAGAGCTGTGGGCAGAACCAGGATCCCAGGAGGGGTGGGGCAGGGGGCAACAGCCACTCACTTCCTGGTGCTTGGAAGCCCCTATGAGGGGCTGCAGCCCAGTGAGCGGGTCTCTGCTTCCATGCCTCCCAGGACAGGGAGCTCACCACCTCACAGGGTAGCCCACGGTCAAGCGAGAGACAGATATCCCTCCTCCAAGCTGGCCCACTCCTGTTCCCTGGAGTTGCTTAGAGCACGTGTCCCCCTCCCCGAGGGCAGCCATTCAGGTTCAAGGCCCCATTTGTCCTGGGCCCTCACCCACGGCCTGCCTAGGTCCCCACACACAGCCGTGTGCCACACTCCTCCATCTCCACAGGACTCTGGCCTGGGGGAGGTGGACGCTGCTGCAGGGCAGCTGGGGTCCTACCCCTCACCCTCGGCCGCAGTGGCCCAGGGAGCTCATCTGCCTGTTCTGGGCCTTGGCTTCAACATCTGTGATTTGATGACACCTTCAGTGTCCCAGCTCCTCCTTCCCAGGAACCTCCCGGTGTTCTGAATTCGCCCAGGAGACCCCCAACCACACCCCAATCTACCCAAAGTGCCCAGGGGCTCTGAGCCATGGGAGGGGCTCGGCTTCTCAGCCCCCAAGCTGCTCCCTCCAGTGGCCACAGAGCAGGGCCCTTCTCCCTCGGGAGCGGCCCCCAGGCTTTGCATCCTCCTTTGCCCCTAAAGCCCCCTCTCCACTGCTGTCAACACCAAGAGCACAAGACCATGTCCCCCCTTTCCTCTCTTCAGCAGGGGATTCCACCTGGCTGACACCCTGTCCTGTCCTTCGCTGGCTCTGGCCTCCTGGCTCCCACCAGTTCCTGAGCTGAATCCAGCTGGTTGCCCCAAGGGACCCCACTCTCTCCACCTGTGCCCCAGCTGAGGTCAGAGCCTCTGATGGGCCAGGCCCCATCCTTGCCCCTTGGCCCTTCTGGCAGGTGGTGAATGACATGGTGAGCTCCCTATGGCTGGAACGGTGTCACACTCCTCAGTGTACCCTAGAGCCAGGCACGATGCCAGGCACACAGGAGCATGTGGAGTACACCAGGGAACTGTGGACAAGCAAAGGTCCCCGGGAAGCTGGACCTGTGGGAGAGAGAGGAGAGCCGCTGCTGACGGAGGGGATGCGGGCACCCGCCCTGGACGGCTGGGCAGCTTTGACCACAAAGGGGCCAAGTGCTCCAGAGGCCTTCAGGCAGCCACTAGCCACAGTGCACCCAGGACTCCAACTCTGACCCCAGGAGGGTAGCGTGGTGAGGGTGGGGAGGGTCAGAGAAACCAGACGTGTCCTGGGGCCTTGGCAACTCAAGAAGGGGTTCCTTGGCACCTGTGGCAACCGCAAATGCTCAGATGGGTGTTGATTCAGTCTCTCAGTAGAGCTCAGGGCCAGAGCACGGATCCTGTATTTCAGGAAGTCCCGGATGTGCTGGGAAAGGCGGGGTGGGAAGCAGACATTCCGGCCTGAACAGAGTCCCAGGGCTGAACCTAGGGAAGCAACAGGGGCACACCCTGAGCCGTGGGGGCTCCACGCAGCTGCAGCCCACAGCAGGGGCATGTTTCCAGGGGTGCGACAGACCACGGCGGAGGTAAAATGACAGAAGTGAATTCTCACAGCTCTGGAGGCAGACGTCCAAGAGCATGGTGTTGTGTGGCTGGGCTCCCTCCGGAGGCTCCAGGGAAGCGCAGCTCCCACCTCTCCCAGCTCCAGTGCAGCCGCGTTCCTTGGCCACGTCTCTCCATCTCCGTCCTCACGTGGCCCTCTCCTGTGGGCAGCTGTGCTATCTCTTTCTGCTTCTCTTACAAGGACACTGGGGAGACCATTTAGGGCCACCAGGCCGTCCCAGATGATCTCATCCCATAGGCCTCCCACAGTTCAGTCTGTTACCACGTAAGATCTCAATTCACCCACGGTTCAGTCTGTTACCGTGTAAGGCCACACTCTCTCCTGTGCTTTATAAGGTCCTGTTCACAGGTTCTGGGGACTAGGAGGTGGCTGTTCCTCAGCCAGCTACGGTCAGCAGCCCCCATACCACCGCGTGCCAGGAGCCCTGCCAGGGCGCTGCCTGCAGGGACCCTGTGCTTGCTGCCCCTCCCCTAGCCCAGCCACCTGTTTGGGAACAGTGGGCACAGCTCTGTGCAGCCTCAGGCATGCAAAAGCAACCAAGACAGGAGTCTCCAGCCGAGGTCTACACCAGCCACCAATGCCTGCAGTACTCCGGGAAGGAGACCCTTCTTCTGCATCGGGCCCTTCTCTCCAGGACACTGTGGTCCGATTCAGCCAAGGTGCCCAGAGTACCTGCCAGGCCTGCTCAGGCTTAGGTGCGGATGCAGAAAAGTCAGACTTGAGCAGACGAGCTTGGCACCATGGTGTGGCCTGAGCAAGTCGCTGCCCCGCCTGGGCTCCAGGTCCTCAACGGACAGTGAGGAGTCCACAGGAGACAGACTCTCAGACAGAATCCAGCCGCCCAGCGCCCAGACGCCCTTTACGCAGATGCCTCTGCGGGGAAGCAGCTTCCGTGCTGACATGAGCAGTCTGGACTTCAGGATAAAGCTGCAATGCTCACCACGAGGGACAAACCCGCGTCCTGACGCCCAGAGCACATGCCCGGCCCCTGCGGCCTCCCCTTCATGGCCTAACTCTGCATCAGGGTGGCGAATAAAATGCAGGACGCCCAGCTGTTAGGATTAATCTGAAGTTCAAATCTAATTTGCATGGCACACAAACATTTATTGTTGTTGATCTGGAGTTGGAATAGAACAGGGATCCCTGTATTTCCACTGCTAAGCCTGGCAGCCCCCCTCGGAGCAGCACTGAGCGGTAGGGGTGAACCCCCGCTGGGAGGAGCAAAGCAAAGAAGCAGGGGCTGGGGGAGGAAGGAGGTGATGGGCAGTTACGCCCCAGGTGGACGGAGATGGCTGGGGAACAGTCAGGTGTGTGGCGGGGTGGGTGGGGTCGTGGGCTGGGGGCTACTTTGGACCACCCTGAGGAGCTGAGCCGCATGGGGCTGAGGGCGGGCTGATCCCTCACCTGGAAAATCCAGTGGGGAGCAGACATTGGAGCAGACTCATTTTTCTGAGGCAGGCTCAGCCCAGGACAGGGGTTGGGCAGGTGTCCCGGGGAGAAGGAAGCTCGACGGCACAGGGGTGGGTGGAGGGCGGTGTGAGAGAGGGGAAGGGGGTGTTCTCTCAGTGGTGGCATGGAGACCGCTCACCTGGGCACACGGGGACACCAGCTCCGTCTGTCCGGGGCTCCAGTCGCCAGCTCAGGGCCAGACCACAGGCTGCAGCTCCCCTGGAACGTGCAGCTGGGTGGGGGAACCCTCTAGGTCTCCCCAGGTGCTGGCCACAGTGGGTTTTGTTTTGCTTGGTGGTTGGCGTTTTAGTTTTTTACATTTTGGTAAATAAACATGACTTTTACCATCTTGACCACCTTTAAGTGTGTGGCTCAGCGCCATGAAGAACATTCGTGTTGCGGCGCGGCCATTGTCACCGTCAGTCTCCAGAGCTCGTCTCATCTTCCAGGCTGAGACTCTGTGCCTGCTCCACACTGACTCCTGCCCCTCCCCCAGCCCCTGGCTCTCACCATACTACCTTCCGTTTCTAGGGCTTGGAGCGCTCCTGGGACCTCAGGTAAGCGTCGGCCTTAGCACGCGCTTATTTCACCTGGCGTTATATCCTCAGGGTTCTTCCAGATTGTGGCATGTGTGAGAATTTCCTTCCTTTTAAAGGCGGAGTAATGTTCCACGGTGGGGACGGACCACATCATCTGTGAACAGACACCTGGGCTCCTTCCACCATCGGCTGCAGTGCAAATGCTGCTATAAACACAGGGGTATGAATATCTCTTTGAGTCTCTGCTTTCAGTTCCTTGGGGTATATGCCCAGAAGTGGGTTCCTGGATCATATGGGAACTCTGTTTAATTTTCTGAGGATTTGTCACACCATCGCCACTGCAGTGCACGAGAGCCCTGGCTTCTCCACGTCCTCCCCAGCACTCATCCTCTGCGTTCTGGGTAAGAGCCATCCCAGGGGTTGTGAAGTGCTGACGTGCTGTGGTTTTTGATTTGCATTTCTCGGATGAGGCGACTCTGAGTGTCTTTCACATGCCTGTTGGCCATGTGTGTATCTTCTTTGGAGAAACGTCTGTTCAGGTCTTTCGCTCATTTTTAATTGTGTTGTTTGTTTTCTTGTTGTTGGGTTGTAGGAATTCTTTTTTTTTTTTTTTTTTTTTTTTTTTAGACAGAGTCTCCCTCTCACTCAGGCTGGAGTGCAGTGGCGCCATCTCGGCTCACTGTAACCTCTGCCTCCCAGGTTCAAGCAATTCTCATGCCTCAGCCTCCTGCGTAGCTGGGATGACAGGCGCACGCCACCAGGTCCAGCTAATTTTTTTGTATTTTTTTAGTAGAGACGGGGTTTGGCCAGGCTGGTCTCGAACTCCTGACCTCAGGTGACCTACCTGCCTTGGCCTCCCAACATGCTGGGATTACAGGTGTGAGCCACCACGCTTGGCCAGAATTCTTTATAAATTCTCAATACTAATCCCCTATCAGATATAAAATTGGTAAATATTTTCTCCCATTCTGTGGGTTTTCACTTTCTTCATAGCATCCTTTGATGCACAAGTTTTCAATTCTGATGCAGTTCAATTTATCTATTTTTTTCTTTCATTGTCTGTGCATTTGATGTCATATCCAAGAAATCACTGCCAAATCCTGTGTCATGAAGCTTTTGCCTACATTTTCTTCTAAGCTCTGTATGGCTTGGGCTCTTACCTTTGGATCCCTGGGCAGGCCAGTAGCCCCAAGCCTCCTCTGGTCCCCAGGCAGGAGGTCCCTCCCCAGGCACCTTTCTTCACTGTGCTGTGGTATTCAGCCTCTGCCACGCTGACAGAAAGCACCAGAGAGCAGGGTCCCCAGGCAGCCCTGCAGCCTCTCCCAGGACCCAGGTCCCCCAGGGCCTGCCACGGCAGCATCCACCGGCAACCCCTCACGTGGATAAACACAGGGTGGGTGAAGAGCGAGGTCTTCTCTCCCACCCCACAGAACCTCTCAGGACCTGCCTGCGCCCACAACCATCTGGATGCCCCCTAAAACCCAGCACATGTATCCAGCTGGCCTCTCCTCTCAGGAGAGTGGAAAAGACCTTGAAAATCACACCAAATGCATTGTTCTCCCGCATCAGACCACTTGCCTCACCAGCCACCACCCCTGCCCTCAGCTGGCCTCCTGTCCACGCCCGACAGATGGGGGTGGGACGGTGCCACTCGGCTGCTGTGTGCAGAATGGGGTGGCACTTCCATGCCCTCTGAAGAAAGTTCATGTGCAGGGCAGCTCTGCAGAGAGGGTAGGCAGTGGACAGAATGTGGCGCCCTCTGTCCCAGCCTCACAGCCTCCAGGGCTGCCCGTCCTGCCGTAATCACACTGGGATCTTTCCTGCCTTCCATCACTGTCTCAGCTCATTCAGTGACTCTGCACCCCCCAGGGCCAGCGTCTCCTCCTCAGAGCCAAGTCCACACCTGGCAGAGTAGACTGTCTGAGAGGACAGCCAGTGACTGCTCAAGAGGAGTGGCTCCATAGCTCCCCGGGGCTGACCTGGGTCACAGCCTCTTTGGGTTCTGTCCGAGGCACATCCCCTGCTGGTGCTAGACAGGAAAAGACACCCATGGCCGGCTGTGTGGGTGCCTGGCGGCCAGAGTGTCTGTGCCTGCTCATCATCGGTTCCTGTGTCCCCATGTGGGCCCAGCACAGCCAGGATTAGGGACTGTCCCCAAGGAGATAAGGCTGTAACTCCTTATCTCCTTGATAAGGAGATACAACGTTATCCTTGATAAGGATAAGCAAGGTTTCCTGTTTCAAGGGAACAATGACAAAACCGGTGATGGCGTATCTACAGACAGGTGTTCCTCTGAGCCCAGGAGGGTTCTTCCTCAGCCTCCAAAGCCAGGCAGGTGGGGCAGGACAAGGAGGACCGCATCTAGAATGGCCATGGGTGCCGAGTACTTTCCCCAGTCCCAGGGAGGGAGGCGTGAGGTCCAGAGAACAAGAGCTCAACCCCCATCAGGCTGTGGGTCAGGACTGGGCAGGGCCCCCCGAGCCCCGCCCTCCCGAGAGCCCACCCCACAGAACGCCTGCACTCAGGGAGGACCCTCTATCCCATCCTCCACTGTCCCAGGGCGTTCCCCGGGGGGCCCAGCCAGGCTCCGGCCAAGGCCTACCCTGTGGGTTCTTCTAGTCTAGCCATGGCCCTGGTCTGGGAGCCCCATAATGGACACCCCGCAGTGAGGCCTTGGGGGGCATGCACGGGGCTGGGCCAGCCCTCGCGCCCTGGAAAGGCATCCTGGGGGGACTCCGGGCCACCGCCGGCAGGCGTGGGCTTTCCTGTACAGACACAGGGGGGCAGGGTTAAGGGGGAGAAGCAGCAAAGGGGGAGAAGTGGAAAAGAAACGAGGATGCGTCCGGTGGAGCAGCCAGGACCCCAAGGCTAAGAGGAGGTGGGCGGCAAGGAGGGCCTGCCTTGGGTCAGGGCCCCACCAAGAGGAGGGACCAACCTTCATGGTTCACCAGGACTCTCCCAGGAAATCCCTCCTCCGTGGGCAAACCCTGCAGTGACTGAGGAAAAGGGGCACGGGAGGACATCTGGGAAAATCATGGACTTGGAGCTGCCGCAGGCGGGGGAGGCTGAACTGCAGGCGGCCACGCCCACCCCAGATGGCACAGAGGCTCCAGGCGATGCCCACCTGGACCGACAAAATCCCATCCTCACGTTTGGTCTCGTCCAGGGCAACTCCACAGCCAGAAGGAACTTTCTAAAACTCAGACAGGCCGGGCGCAGTGGCTCACGCCTGTAATCCAGCACTTTGGGAGGCCAAGGCGGGAGGATTGCTTGAGGTCAGGAGTTCAAGAGCAGCCTGGTCAACATGGTGAAACCCCATCTCTACTAAAAATACAAAAATAAGCTGGGCATGGTGGCGAGTGCCTCTAATCCCAGCCACTCTGGAGGCTGAAGCAGGAGAATCACTTGAACCTGGTGGGGGGAGGTTGCAGGGAGCCAAAATAGGGCCACTGCACTCCAGTCTGGGAGACAGAGCGAGACTCCATCTCAAAAATAAATAAATAAATAAAAATAAAATTAAACACAGATGGGAGCCCCTGCCCACCAGCCCTCCTGAGAGCCGTCACCTGCAGAGGCCACAGGGGGTGTCTCCACCTGGCTGGGCCCAGTGCACGTCACCTTTGGCCTGGATGTACGGCTTCAGGTCAGGGTGTCTCTCCAACACCCCGACTCAGGCCACCGGGCCGCCCCTGAACATGGGCATCTGTGTCAGGACTGACACAGGACTTGCTTCTGGCATATGAGGTCTTATCTCCACCTATCCAAGAGGCCCGCATGGGAGATCACACTAGCCTCCCAGCCACTCCCCACCGTTCACAGGTCCACACGGATGCCCCTTCCTCACTCCACCCGCCCTGCCCCCAGCAGGAACTCTCACCAGAGGCCAGGGCCACACCCTCTAAGCCCTGACCCACCTCAGGGGAGTTCAGCGGAGCCCCAGCAGGAAACGCTGCCCCTCCCCACTCAGGCTGAGGCATGGAGGGCAGGACTCTCCATGGCCACAGGGCCTCCCAGGACTCTGAGGGTGGGCGACCGGCAGTCTTGGGTCCCTGGGGGATCTGGAGGCTGCTCAGGGAGGGGCCTAGCCCATGGAGTGGGTGTCCTCAGTCTGGACCTGAAGCCAGAGGTCATGCTTGGGCCAGAAGCACGAGGTTCGGAAGGACTGACCAGGCCCCTGGCACCCCAGGGACTGTCCAGTGAAGCCCAGCCCGGATGCCCATGGGGCCATGTCTGGCCAGAGAGCCTGGCCTGTCCCTGCAGGGCCACCCTGGAGGTTGTCCTCAGGAGTGGGGGTGAACAGAGCACAGGTGTTTCTCTGGGAGGGCTCCTTTTGAGTACAGGTGCCTCTGCTTCTTGAATTTCGCCTCTGAGGAGGTGGCCTGGGCCCTCAGCCCCTCTCTCGGCAGCCCCAGGGACAAACATGCTGGTCCCCCAAGTTGGCATCCACCTCCACTGCCCGGGCCCCTGTGGCCTTGCTGGGCAGGCTGCCTCCCGGTCTCCTGGGCTGGCTCCAAGAACCTGGGTCTCTGAGAGACTCGGAGATGTACCCATCCCCAGAGGCCCCTGAACAGGGCAGCCTTTCATGGGAGGGCAGCCACTCCTGCTGCAGGGCCCACCTCTGCGGCTGTCCCTTCCCCAGAGGGACTCCTGCCAGCATCAGCTCAAGGAGGTCCCAGCTCAGAATGAGGAGCCCCAGAGGGAGTGGAATGGGGCGGAAACGCTGGCATGGCTGCCTGCCAGGCACCTGACTTCATCTGAGGCCCCAGGAGGCCCAGACTCCGAGCCACAGAGCTCTGCGTCTGTAGGGACAGCCGGCCTGGGGGTGGCAGGCATGGCCCTGCTTCCCTCCCATTGCCCCACCTATGGGAAGCTGCCCTGCCCTGGCATCCAGACAGCCCCTGGCAGCCCCTGGGGTGGGAAGCCGTGGGCAAGTTCTGCAGACCCTCCACCACGCATGCTGACCAGGGACTTCTCCCCTTCGGACAGGGTGGCTGGTGGTCCTTTCCGATTCCACAGGGTGGGAAACAGTGCAGGTTCCCAGGGCAAGGGTGGACCCATGGGCAGGTGACTCTGAAGGGCTCTAGCGGGAGTCAGACTCCAGAAGGACTCACAGGTGCAAGGCCAGGAAGACAAGATTCCTTTGCCCCTCAGGCAGGCAGCGTCCCTCTCCAGGTCTCAGTCCACCACCTGCGACGACCACTACGTTCTTTGACAAATGTTTTTCAAAAGTCATAGTTTATGAGTCCAGATGAAGGAAGACCAGTGCTCTGCATGCTGCCTCTGCCCACCGTGTGTCCAGCAAGCACACGGCTCCCCCTGGAGCGAATGCGGGAGGGGGTGTCTGGGGGAAAGGCCAGCCCCTCCCAGGTGCCGTTGCTCAGGTAGACAGTTTTACCCAGGGCGTCTCCAGGTCTCCAGGCAAAACTGCTTCCAGCCAACAGCGTTCCTTTGTCCCCACAGCAACAGGGTCCTGCACTCCTGTTTCCAGGGAAACCCAGCTCTCAGCGTCCCGGTTGCCACAGCAATGCCTACGGGCTCAGCTGGCCATACTGTCTTACCCACAGGGCAAGAGCAACTGGGTGCCCAGGCTCGGGACACAAGACTGCAGAGCCAGGTGCCACACAGGTGTGGGGCCCGTGGACCAAGGAAGACCCTGGCCAGTTGGAGGAGAACTGCCAGGTAGCAAAGCCCAGACTTCTCTGGGGTCCTGCGCTCTGGGCTGCAATGAGCTCTGCCTCCAGTGAGCCTGGCAATGGGGACGCCTCCCAACAGCCCCTACTGGGGCTGGACACCGTGATCCAGGTCAGTGGGGTGGTCACTTCCCTGCACCCTCCTGAGAGCAGGTTGCCAGGACACTTTGGAAGGGACGCGGCAAAGAGAGGGGATGGCCAGGAGGCACCTTCCTGGCTCCCGGGGCACTTTCCACTTGCTCACGTGTTTGCCTTGAGCGTGCAGCCAGTCACGGATGCAAGCAGGCGCGCCTGCATGCACACACAGGCAGCCTTCAGCCAGGAGAGAGAGCCTGGGGAGAGAGGGCCCAGGGCCGCTGCTGGCTATAGACATTCAGGTGGCCGGTGTCCCTTGCAGCCACAGGTTTGCGGGGTGGAGAGAGAGCCCGGGGCCGCTGCTGGCTGTGGATGCTCAGGTGGCCGGCGTCCCTGGCAGCCACAGGTTTGCAGGGTGGAGAGAGAGCCCGGGGCCGCTGCTGGCTGTGGACGTTCAGGTGACTGGCGTCCCTGGCAGCCACGGGTTTGCAGGCTGCGCACTGGGGTGGGGATGGGCAGGCAGCCCTTGGTGCTGACATTCTGGGACCTCGTTCACTGCCCTCCCATGGCCAAGTGTGGGGCCAGCAGGGCCTCTCGGGGGACAGTGTTTCCATCGCTGCACATTTGTGGGAGGCTGTGGCTCAGCCCTAGTGTCTATTCTGTGGCTTCCAGATGTTCTGGTTCTGTCTTCGTAGCACCTGGTGTGTGACAACAGTGGCTGGGAATTGTCCCGTGTCCCTCTCCCCTTGCCTCCCTACTTCCCAGAGCCCACCTAGGACCCAGCCTGCGGTCCCACCTCGGATATCCCTCCTCCCTGCACTGCCGTCACCTGCTGCTGACCACCACAGCCAGGCGGCCCCACCTCCAACGGACCCCTCGGGACCCCAGGGAACCCCTGACGAACTGGCTTACTCATGGTTGCTTGTTAACCCAGCTCTTAGCATCTCAAAACTATGCCACGGCAGGCTGACATGGCCCTATCCAAACAATACAGATCACCTGAAAAGAGAAATGGCCACAGCTGGTGCAGGTGACCGAGTGACAGGGTAGATGCAGGGTTTGCTCACACACAGGGCTGCATGAGGACTAAGGGCAGGATATTTGAATCAGGCGATGCAACAAGACAAAGAGGTGCCGTGGGGTGAGCTCTACCTCCTCCACCTGGGGTGAGCTCTACCTCCTCCACCTCGGGTGACCTCTACCTCCTCCACCTGGCGTGAGCTCTACCTCCTCCACCTGGGGTGAGCTCTACCTCCTCCACCTCGGGTGACCTCTACCTCCTCCACCTGGGGTGAGCTCTACCTCCTCCACCTGGGGTGAGCTCTACCTCCTCCACCTGGGGTGAGCTCTACCTCCTCCACCTGGGGTGAGCTCTACCTCCTCCACCTCGGGTGACCTCTACCTCCTCCACCTCGGGTGACCTCTACCTCCTCCACCTGGGGTGAGCTCTACCTCCTCCACCTGGGGTGAGCTCTACCTCCTCCACCTCAGGTGACCTCTACCTCCTCCACCTGGGGTGAGCTCTACCTCCTCCACCTGGCGTGAGCTCTACCTCCTCCACCTGGGGTGAGCTCTACCTCCTCCACCTCGGGTGACCTCTACCTCCTCCACCTGGGGTGAGCTCTACCTCCTCCACCTGGGGTGAGCTCTACCTCCTCCACCTGGGGTGACCTCTACCTCCTCCACCTCGGGTGACCTCTACCTCCTCCACCTGGGGTGAGCTCTACCTCCTCCACCTCGGGTGACCTCTACCTCCTCCACCTGGGGTGAGCTCTACCTCCTCCACCTGGGGTGAGCTCTACCTCCTCCACCTGGGGTGAGCTCTACCTCCTCCACCTGGGGTGAGCTCTACCTCCTCCACCTCGGGTGACCTCTACCTCCTCCACCTCGGGTGACCTCTACCTCCTCCACCTGGGGTGAGCTCTACCTCCTCCACCTGGGGTGAGCTCTACCTCCTCCACCTCAGGTGACCTCTACCTCCTCCACCTGGGGTGAGCTCTACCTCCTCCACCTGGCGTGAGCTCTACCTCCTCCACCTGGGGTGAGCTCTACCTCCTCCACCTCGGGTGACCTCTACCTCCTCCACCTGGGGTGAGCTCTACCTCCTCCACCTGGGGTGAGCTCTACCTCCTCCACCTGGGGTGACCTCTACCTCCTCCACCTCGGGTGACCTCTACCTCCTCCACCTGGGGTGAGCTCTACCTCCTCCACCTGGGGTGAGCTCTACCTCCTCCACCTCAGGTGACCTCTACCTCCTCCACCTGGGGTGAGCTCTACCTCCTCCACCTGGCGTGAGCTCTACCTCCTCCACCTGGGGTGAGCTCTACCTCCTCCACCTCGGGTGACCTCTACCTCCTCCACCTGGGGTGAGCTCTACCTCCTCCACCTGGGGTGAGCTCTACCTCCTCCACCTGGGGTGACCTCTACCTCCTCCACCTCGGGTGACCTCTACCTCCTCCACCTGGGGTGAGCTCTACCTCCTCCACCTGGGGTGAGCTCTACCTCCTCCACCTCAGGTGACCTCTACCTCCTCCACCTGGGGTGAGCTCTACCTCCTCCACCTGGCGTGAGCTCTACCTCCTCCACCTGGGGTGAGCTCTACCTCCTCCACCTCGGGTGACCTCTACCTCCTCCACCTGGGGTGAGCTCTACCTCCTCCACCTGGGGTGAGCTCTACCTCCTCCACCTGGCGTGAGCTCTACCTCCTCCACCTCGGGTGAGCTCTACCTCCTCCACCTCGGGTGACCTCTACCTCCTCCACCTGGGGTGAGCTCTACCTCCTCCACCTGGGGTGAGCTCTACCTCCTCCACCTCAGGTGACCTCTACCTCCTCCACCTGGAGCTCGGCCAGCTCTGCCTGGGTGTTGGCTCCATGAGTTCTGAGAGCAGGGCTGGTGAATGGAGGCTGGAGAGCCAGCACACTACGTTTGCAGGACACTTGCAGCCCTGTGAGGATTCTCATCCCCTCGGATGTCAGGAAAGCCGAGGCGTAAGGGTTGGAGGGAGCTGCTGTGGTTAGCGGCTGGTCTGAGGGGGAATCCCAGGCCGATGCTGACATCAGGCAGGGGCATGAGCACTGTGCAAATGTGGCTGAGAGATGCTTAGCTTTGTCTGCCCCCAAATTCCCACTGTCCCCAGGAAACTCATCTGGAGGCTACGCAGGCCCCAGTGAAGTCTGCTCTGCCCGCCCTGCTGACACCTGTTATTTTTGCTGTAGTGATTGAGATCTTGATGCCATTACCCCAGAGTGAGCAGGGAGCAGGCGGGTGCCAGACGCCCAGATCAGCTGTCCAGATGGGCAGCAGAACCGTAGGGACACTCCACCCTCCAGCTATAGCCTGGGAGACCATAGGGCCTGAGGAAGGCCGTGGCTTGAGGATGCAGGAGGCCCCCTGTGACCAGGGGTGGTGGCTCTGGACGGATGGCGAACATGCTCCCAGGCCCGGAGAAGCCTCTCTGACATCCCTCTTCCTCCGGCCACAGCTGCTCTCCCCTCCTTTGGAAGCCCCCCAGCAACCTCTGCACAGCACCCCAGAATGCCCCCACCCTGGAGCTGGAATTGGATGTAAAGGGGCAGGCTTGGAAACTCTCAACCTCTGTCCCTGGGGTGAGCAAGTCGGACTTGGGGAGTGCAAAGCCCCCTGAAATTGCCCGTGAAGTGGGGGGTATCTGTGACTGCCTTGAGGGGTGGGGGTGTGCCCTTCCTCGGAATCTCCAGCACCCAGACCCGCAGCTGATGGAGAAGCATGGCGCAGAGTCCCGGACGAGGAACCCAGCACAGAAAGCCCAGTCCCCTCAGAGCTGGGGGCTCCTCAGACTCCCGTTCCTTGGCTTGAATTTTGATTTGTGCTATTTTTCTAGGAAATTGTCCATTACATCCAAATTTTCAAGTTGTTGAAATTGGCAAAAGTTGTTCACAATATCTTCTTCCTGTCTTTTGGATGTCTGCAGGATCCGTGGGGTAACCAGCTGTCCCTCTTTGCTGAGGGGCTCGAGACAGGGGTTTCCCAGGACTCCAGACAGCCTTGGGTCTGGAACCCCAGTCCTGGGCACAGTGGGGAGGAAGTGGTTGCCCCGAAGTGGCATCCCCTTTCTCGTTTCTGATACTAGCCGCGTACCGGCTCATAGTATTCTTATCTTGTGTTTCATTAACCTACATATGCATTCTTCCTTTAACCTGCATATGCATTCTTCCTTCGCTTTCAGTTTCTCTGGGTTTGTTCTTCATCTCACTTCTGGAAATATGTGCTTGACTCATTGATTGTTCAGCCTTTTTAAAAATTTCTTTTTTTCTGGCCGGGTGCAGTGACTCACACCTGTAATCCCAGCACTTTGGGAGGCTAAGGCGGGCGGATCGCTTGAGGTCAGGAGTTTGAGACCAGCCTGGCCAACATGGTGAAACCCCGTCTCTACTGAAAATACAAAAATTAGCCAGGCATGATGGCAGGCGCCTGTAATCCCAGCTACTCAGGAGGCTGAGGCAGGAGAATCGCTTGAACCCAGGAGGTGGAGGTAACAGTGAGCCAAGATCGCACCACTGTACTCCAGCCTGGGAGACAGAGCGAGACCCTGTCTCAAAAAAAATAAAATAAATTTTTAAAAAAATTTTTCATTTTTCTTTAAATTGTGGGAAAATATACATAACATAAAACTGACCATTTTAACCATTTTTAGGAACAATTCTGTGGCACTAAGCACATTCGTAGCGTTGAGCAACCATCACCACCATCCACGTCCACAACTTTTTTTTTTTTTTTTTTTAGACAGAGTTGGTCTCTGTCGCCCAGGCTGGAGTGCAGTGGTGCGATCTCGGCTCACAGCAGCCTCCGCCCTCCCATCTTCAAGCAATTCTCGTGCTTTAGCCTCCCCAGTAACTGGGACTACAGGCACACGCCACCATGCCCAGTTATTTTTTGTATTTTCAGTGGAGACGAGGTTTCGCCACGGTAGCCAGGAGGGTCTCGAACTCCTGACCTCAAGCGATGTGCGCGCCTCAACCTCCCAAAGTGCTGGAATTACAGGTGTAAGCCGCCACGCCCGGCCCCAGAACTTTCATCTTCCCAAACTGAGACTCTGCCCCCATTCAACATTCACGCCCCATTCCCCCCTCTCCCAGCCCCCACCATCCTACTCTCTGTCTCTATGAACTTGGTGACTCTAGCAGCCTTGTCTAAGTGGATCAGATGGTATTTGTCCCTTCGTGGCGGGCTTATTTCACTGAGCATGACACCCTCGAGGTCCACCCATGTTGTAGCAGGCGCCAGCATTTCCTTGCTTTTTAAGGCTGAGTAATGTTCTACTCATAGAGGGACCACACTCTGTTTATTCATTCATCTCTGAATGGACGCCTGGGTAGCTTCTGCCTGCCGGCCGCTGTGAAAATGCTGCTGTGAACCTCGGAGTACAAATATTTCTTCGAGCCTCTGCTTTCAATTCTTTCGGGCAGATGCCCAGAAGTGGATGGCTGGGTCGCGCGGAGAGTCTACATTTAATTTTGTGGAGACCTGTCATGCTGTCTTCCGTAGTAACCGCACCGTCTTACCCTCCCGCTTCTTTTCCTCTCTGACGTACGCACTTCCCTCCAGGCAAGGTTTATCTGTCTGTACTGTTGTTACTCATACCACTTTTAACACCAAATGTGTGGGTTTTTCCTGACACCAGCCAATTCTCCACCTCCCTGGACACCAGCTAGCTGTCCTACAATTCAATCCAGTTCGGACCCTAACCATCCAGAGCGGGCACAGACCCACAGTTTAAGGACTCAGTCCCATAAAGCTGCCCCACCTCAGATGCCAATCACAAGTCCTGGGCCTCCCGTATTCTGTCTGACTGGCTATGAATTAGGGGTTCTTCCAACTCCCTGCTCAACTTGATAATTTGCTGGAACAGCTCACAGAACTCTGGAAGTGACTTTCCCATTTGATTACTGGTTTATTATAAAGGACACAACTCAGGACTAGCCGGAAGGAGAGGTGCCCAGGTCAAGGTACAGGGGGCAGGTACGGAGCCTCCAGGCCCCTGGGCACACCAACCACCCACAGCACTGCCTTGTATTCAGCAACCCAGCCTGCCCAGCCCTGTGGTTTAGGGTTTTTATGGAACCTTCATTAAGTAGGCAAAATTCATTAAATCACTGGCCGTTGGTGATCAGCTCCAGAGACAGCTCCTCTCCCCTCCCCAGATGTCAGGGTGTGGGGCTGAAAGCACCAACGTTCTAATCGTGCCGTGGTCTTTCTGGTAACCAGCCCCTACTTTGCGGCTATCCAGGGGCCCTGGCCATCAGTCGTCTCATAGGCCAACAGAAGACACGCTTATCACTCAGGAGATCCCAAGGGACCAAGTCTAGGGTCCCCACCACGGGACAGGAGCGGTGGATGGTTTCCAAGCAGCCAGGCCACGGTGCCCGTCGCTGAGCTCCGCACTGTCACAAGCAAGCCAGAGGCAGATGCTCAGCCCATCTCCCAATCTCCCAGGCCACATCCAGGCCCTGTCAGGCACAGCCAGGGCCACTGTGCTAACAACACGGGCCCATCCTCCCGCTCAGGAACCCCCACTAGCCCCGGGGTCCAAGGATCGTGTCCCACAATCCTCCACAGAACATTTGAGGCCCTCACGGTCTGGAGCCAGGTTCCTGCTCTGCCTCACTCACCCCCATCCCCACTGCCCCTCCCCCAGACCCTGCACAGACCCCTGGAGATGCACCCCCTCCACCTTTGCTTCCACAGCTCCCTCCACATGGACACAGTGCCCGGGCTCTCTAGCTGGTGGGCTCTTTCTTATCCCACCTCCCCCAGGAAGCCTGCGTGGGCGCCAGGGACACAGGGATAAACAGGAAAGACAGGGTCCTTGCCCTCCTCGAGTTCCTTGTTCTGAGTCATTTTGCCATTGGTGATTCGGACCTGAGGCAGTTCCAGCTGAGCTCTCAGTCTTCTGAGCAGGAGCAGTGCGCTGTGTCCGAGCCTGTCTGTGTGCCAAGCATTGTGTTGGTGGCATAGAAGGGAGTGAGAAGTTGTCTCTCCCCATCCACAATCCCTGCCTCAGTGCCTAGCCGGCCGGGGTCCTGCCTGCAGGGGTGGCCTAGATTTATCAACACCTGAGGAGCAAACTGACACCCACAGAGGCATGTTCCCGCTCCTGGGTGATGCCCAGGCCCAGAGTGTGCTCCACAAACACAGAGACTTAAACTGAGCAATTGCTGAAATACAGCATTTTGGAGGCCAGGTGTTATCCCAGGCACAGAGAAGCTCTTTTTCCTAAGGAAATGGAGCCTGGCAGGAGGCCACCCAGCCCAAGGCCCTCTCTGCGGCGGGCCGGGCTGCGGAAGGACGGCAAGCAGACGTCCGGTGGCTGGACTTGGCCGGAGGCCCTGTCCTCAGATGTGTTCTTCAAGCTGTGCCTGCTCCTGGCAAGGCCAGACTTCCCCGCCCAGGGATGCTGGGAGGGCCATGGAGGGCCCGGGAGAGAAAGGCAGCAGCCGCAGCATGGCTGGGCTCAGACACAGGAGGAAAGGGGCTGCCGCCCGGCCCGGAAGCTGCTTGGTTCCCTGCCCTTTGCTCAGGCTGGGAAGGGGGCACACAGGGGAGGAGAACTGCAGTGGAGCCAAGTCCAGACACCGCCGCTGGGAAGGCTCATCAGTGACCACCCTTGTGCGCGAGTGGGGGCCCAAGGCTGGGGTCCCAGTCCTAACGCTGCTGCTGAGCAGGTGCTCTTGAGCAAGTCTCAGAGGTGCCAAGCCTCACCCTCCTCACCCATTAAGGCGGAGGCCAGAAGCCTCCAATGCAGGCCAGGACAATGGATGTGAAAACGTTTGCAAGTGGAGAGCGTGGAGAACCCTGCGGGCCGATGCTGGCGCGCGCCTTCACTCTCGTGGACACACATCTTTCATTTTCCACTGAGCACTGGTCCGAGATGCCGTCCAAACCCCCAGCCCCAGCCTCCGTTCTACAAGAGCAGGACCTGGCAGCCCCCTGCAGCGCTCCTCGCGGCCACACGGGGGCACTGTTGGAGCTCAGGGAAGGGACCCTCCACCCTCTGGCTGGGAGCTGCCTCCATCCCACCCCTCACTCAGGAGGTTCGCCCTCCACCCCACCCTTCACTCGGGGGTCCACCCCTCAATGAGGGTGACCCAGGCTGACCGAGGAGCCTGCTGGTGGGTGGGCGGGGGTCCCGATGGACGTGCTCCCCCTCCCGCCCCCAGCTCAGGCAGCTGTCCAAGCAGGACGGGACGACGGGGTGGTGGGGCTGCTGAGGGCTGGTGGGGCCAGTGACCCTTGGGTCTGAGCTTCAGCAGGCCCCTGACCGTCCCTGCTTCAGATGGCTTTGACGAGGGTGTGGGGGATTTCCCTCCAAGTCTTCTGACCCCTGACAGCATCTCCAAGGTGATGCCCCAGGCGCAGGGATGGGAATCAGCGCAAGAGCGTGGCCTCCAGATAAAGCCAAGACTCGGGTTTTTCGGTGCAGACCTACAGTCCCTGCGCCCTCCCTGCAGGCGGAAGCCTTTTGCAGGCAGTATGGGCTGGCAGGTGCGCTGTGGCTCCACCCCACCCCAGTGGAGAGCTGGGGTCGTGTCCCTGGCCTCAGTTTCCCCATCTGCAGCATGATGATAAGGTGACCTCCCGGCCCCCCATTCCAGGGTCTTGGCCAAGGCCCTGGAATGGGGAAGGGGTGTAAGAGGAGAGGCCCTGGTAGCAGCCCTGAAACCCCCGGTCCCCAGCAAGTGCCAAAGTGCAGGTGGGACCCTGGATCCACACGAGGGTTCTGATTCCATCAGAGTGTGGGAGGTCATTTGCCTCCAGGCAAGATTCCAGCAGCTTGCATTTCCCAGGGGCTGGTGGCCAGTTGGGGGCAGGCAGCTGAGGCCACACGTGGTCCATCCACTGCACCCTCACAGAGCCTCAGCCCCTGGCCCTGGGATCCAGGAGGGCCTGGATGGCCAACGCTCCCATTTCACAGATGGGGACATGAGGTGGGGGGTAACACCCACGGTCTCTGTTTATTGGTGGCATAGCAAGGACCCCAGTCCAACTCTTTTAGAGGGGAGCCCTGCTCTAACCCTGTGGAGGCAGAGATATGGGGAGCCCACATTTCCCCCAAGGTTTGGCTGTCCCTCTCCACACAACCAAATGGGGTGGCGCAGCAGTGAGGACCCGCTGGCTCTCCCTGCTGGGCCACCCCCCTCAGGGCCAGGATCGGGTTGAGTGGGCCAGCTACCCCTAGCGTAGCTCCACTCAGGGGCTGTGACCTCCCTGGGGTCTTTAATGCAGGTTGAGCTGAAGAAGGTGCTGGGGGCAGGAGGAAGAGATAGGGGCCGGGCTCAGCTGTGAGTCTGGGGCCTTAGGGGAAAGTGACCTCCAGCCCTGGTGTTCCCTCCCACTGCGAGGCCTTCTAGAATACAAGCCTCCAGCGGACGCTGGGCCACAGCCTGGGCCCACCCCGCAGAGGCCCCGGGCGGGAAACGGGCAGGCCCAGAAGGACCCACAGGTCGCGGAGGGGACGCCCTGCCTGTACCCGCCGGCGCAGGTGGCAGCGCAGAGTCCCTGGGAGGGGCCTGGGGAGTGGGCGGTGCCGACCCTCAGGACCACCCTGGAGCCGTGGGGAAGGAAGCAGCATCGGCGGGGTCCTAAGCGCTTAGGCTGGCGGCACAGGCCTCCGGACACGCCGACCTCCACCTTCCCTTCCTTCCCCTCCTCTCCCATCCCTGCCTCTCCCCTGCTTGCTCCTTCCCTCAGCCCTTCTCTCCTCCGGGTGGTTCCATGGGGGCGGCGCTGCCCTCACACTCCAAAGTCGCGCCCACTCTACGCCCCCTGCGCCCCCCTCTGCGTCCCCCTGCGCCCCCCTGCTCGCCCCCTCCTTCCCCGGTGCCCCCCGCCCACCTGCACGACCCCTGCGTCCCCCGCCCCCCCCATGCGCTCCCCCCGTGCCCCCGCGCCCCCGCGCCCCCTGCGCTCCCCGCTCCCCCCGTGTCCCCCTGAACGCCCCCTGCGCTCCCCCCGCGCTCCCCGCGCCCCCCTCCGGCTCCAGCTGGGCCGCGGCCTATTGCAGGCACCCGTCCACAGATGGAACCCATTACGCCCCAGCGCCTCTCGGGACGTCCCGCTAATAAGTGACCCTCTGTAAATGTTAGGAATGAGTCAAGTTTACTCCGCGCTGCAGCCTTCCCGTTAGCGGGTGGCGCCGCCGATGCCCGGGGGAGCGCAGGGCGGGAGCTGCTGAGCAGGCGGAGGGAGGGCGGGGCAGAGCCCTTCCCAGTCTGGGGGATTGAGCGGAGCATGACGGTCTCTGATCAAGGAGCCTGGGGTGCCTCTTGCCACCCTGCTGGGCCTCCGTTCTCCGCTGTGCAAAATAAGGGGTTTAGAACAGAATGGCTGAGCCCCTTCCAGCAGCTCTCCTCCTGGTTGGTGGTCTTGGCACCTGGGTCCCAGCTGGGCCCAGGAGGAGGAGCAGGGACTTCCCTCCCCCTCCCCCACTGGGCTGCTGCTCCCAAGGGGGGCCCATTACTCCCTCCAGAAGAAGAGGCAATGGGGGAACCTGCAGTGAAGGCGCCTCCCAAGACCTCCCAGGGGACTGAGAGACAGACCCTGGTGCACGGGCTGTCGGGAGGACGGGCGGGCTGGCCCCAGACCTCAGCTGATAGTGGGGAGGCGTTTGCTGAGTGGCTGCCCTTTGCAGGGCAGCAGAGTCGGAATAGGGCCTCTCCAGGCGCCATGCTGAGCCTGGGTCTGCGGTGACTCTCCAACCCCGGCGAGGGGGGCCGCGATCTTTGGGGTGCAGATGGAGGAGGAGGCCTGTGTCCAGGGAGCATCCGGGATAGCCAGACAGCATGCACCAGGTGCAGGAGGCCTGGCTGGGGTTGGGAGGAGGGTGGGGGAGCAGGGCACAGCCACCAGCCCAGGCCTGAGGTCAGAGTCCGGGGACGCAAGCAGGGTCTCAGGGAGGGCCAAGAGATGGGAGGCAGGAGGCAGCCAGGTGGTCACCCACGTGGACCCTGGTCAGGAGGAAAATCCAGGAGGCACAAGGTGGGGGAGCTGCCCTGCGGACCCCAGGGAGAGGGGTCCTCTGTGCTGGCGTGGGAGCCAGGCAAGGAGGACTTGGGTGGACTCTGGCGTGCCATGCTGGAGAGCCCTAGGAGTGGACATCCCCTCCCAGCTTCCCCTGGCAAGCATCCAGTCACCCTTTAGTAGTTAATTCACTGCCTGAAATTCAGATATCCTTAAGGCAGCAGGCCGGGGACAGCTGTGGCCTTGCGTATTCCTGCGGGATCCTGCCTGGGCTTCTGCTGGTTTGGCACAGGCGGCCTGTGTGTCCTGCCCACAGTCGGTAATCTATTTCACCTGGCAGGAGTCCCCTGCCCTGGGGTCCCGGCCCTCCCCAAGCTGTGCCCCTGCCCGGCAAAATGCCATTAGAGCCCAAGACCCTCAAAACCAGGCTGGGGTACCCAGGACACCCAGGCACTCCTGGGGCAGAAGGGCAGCCATTCAGCAAACACCTCCTGAGTGTGAGCCCAGGTCCTGGGCCTTCCTGCCCACTTCTGGGCCTATTGGAGCCTCTTCCCTGGCAGTCGGCTTTCATGAAGGACCCACCTGGGTCCCGATGGACCGAGCCTGTGGAGGGGCAGTGGGCAGCTGAGCAGAGAAGGATGGGTTCAGCCTCAGCCCTCTGACCCATCCTCAGCCCCCACCCCCCAACAAACACACACAAACACACTGGGCTCTGTGACTGCTGCGTGGGATCTAGGTCCCTCCTCTGGCCCCACCGTGCAAACAAGCTGTGAGACCACCTGCTCCAGGTGGGCGAGGATGTTGGGTTTCTTGTGGAGCAGAGGCAAAGGAACCTGCCTGTCAGCATCCCCTAGGGAACTGGCAACCGCTTAGCCAGCGCTCAGCCCAGCCCCCACCAAGACAGGGCAGAGCCCCAAGCGCAGTACCTGCTCCTGCTGACCTCGGCTGGGTGTGGTCCTCCTCTCCAGAACCTGGGGACAGGCGCAGCCCCACTCCGCAGGTGCAGAACCAAGGCATGCGCCTGAGTGACCTGCCCAGCCTCACCCTGTCCTCTCCAGGGCACTCTGCTGCCTTGGGGTGGCCCTGTGGCGGCTCCCATTCAGTGGGATCGTAGAGGGTGCCTGGCAGCTGTTGGGGGCTGCCATCTCCAGGTATCTCTGGGGGTGTCTTTCAGAGACTGGAGGACACCATCCTGAGTCCCACAGCCAGCAGGGAAGACCGGGCGCTGACCGTGCGTGGGGAAGGCCGGCAGGCCTCGCCCACCCCCGTGCCCACCCGCATCCGTGAGATCGTGGCCGGCAGCCTGAGTGAGGAGCCACCCCAAGGTGATGGTGTGGGGGACAGTCCTGGGCCCGGGGCTGGCCAAGGTGACGGCGTGGGGGACAGTCCTGGGCCCGGTGCTGGCCAAGGTGACGGCGTGGGGGACAGTCCTGGGCTCGCGGCTGGCCAAGGTGATGGCGTGGGGGACAGTCCTGGGCCCGGGGCTGGGCAAGGTGATGGCGTGGGGGACGGTCCTGGGCCCGGGGCTGGGCAAGGTGATGGCGTGGGGGACGGTCCTGGGCCCGCGGCTGGCCAAGGTGACAGCGTGGGGGACAGTCCTGGGCCTGCAGCTGGCCAAGGTGACGGCGTGGGGGACAGTCCTGGGCCTGGGGCTGGCCTCACCCCCCACAGGGCCACCCTCAGGGGCATCATATCGATACCCACAGGGCACTCAGCAGGGCCTGAGCAGGGCTGCCGCTGTGTGGCACACTTGTGGCCACCTGCGTCTCCGCTTCATTGGTGGTTTCTTCCTCAGCGTGGAAATGCTGGACACTGGCACTCAGGGAGCACAGACGCCCACCCCCCTGGGCTCTGCCTGTCCTGCACCCGCCCCAGGCCCCTGCTCTGCCTCCAATTATCCACCTGGCAGCTGAGGAAACAGCTCCAGGCCGCCTGTCCTGTGTGTGCCCAGGACTCCCTCGTGCATGGGTCCCAGGGATCCCTCTCTCCCAGGGTCTGTCCAGCCTCCTGCAGGCCCGGGGAACTGGCTGTGTGTGTATTTACAAAAGCACCTTATTACTCGGGGACCAGGTCCCTTCCCCCAGAAGCAACAGGGCTCACAACTTCATAGACAGCGCGAGTGCCCAGCGTCCAGGCCGCCCACACACTCTGCTGCCATTGGTTTGGGGCTCGGCCTGGGCCTGGGTCTGCATTGGGGTTCGAGGTGGTAGGATTGCAGTTAACATGAGAGGAAGTGGGGCTCAGAGTATGAAGTCTGCCTCCCTATGTTAGGGTCCCGGGCTCAGATCTGGGACCCCTCCCAGGAGATGGGGGCAGGTCCAGCAGCTGGAGCCTGGTGGCCAGCCCAGGGTCCCACCGTGGAGACAGGGCACAAGGCTGAGTGTGGGTGGGCCCTGGTCTGGCCACCCAGGCTGACCCAGGTACCGTGCAGCAGGGGTACAGGAGCCGACAGCCACTGTGGCCCGAGTGCAAGAGGAGAACGAGCTCCTGCAGGAGGAGCTGACCCGGCTGGGGGACCTGCTGGCCCAGGCCAGCGCCGAGCGAGATGAGCTGGCCAGCAGGTGCCGTGTGGTCAGCGAGCAGGTGCGTGTGTGCAGCAGACTCAGGGCAGGCGGGAGGTGGCAGCCTGGCCCTTCGTGAGGGGTCACTTGTCGGGACGGCAGTCAGAGCCTGGGACCATCGGCAATTTCTAAGACTCGGAAAGACAGAGTGTCAGCCACGTGACATTCAAACCCTGGGCAACAGACAGGGAAACTGAGGCAACAGATGGGATAACTGAGGCCAGAGGTGGGAGGCCAAGCAGCACGTGCCCAGGCCTTTCTGATGCCCAGCGTGTCCCCTAGGTCTCGCAACCTAGCTTAGGCACTGACTTGTCCCCGCACCTGCCCGGGAGCCCTGTGGGGTGGCCTGGCCAGTCCTGACTCGCGGGGCCCAGTGCTCTGCCCAGCACTGGCACAAAGCTGGCACCTGCACAGCAGAGGAAAGCAGGCCAGCAGGCACCGACCCCAACCCCAGATGGAGCTCGCAGAGAAATGGCTCCACCCCAGTTCCCTGGCCCTTTTCTGACAACTGAGGCTGGCCGGGGCCGCTTGGACCTCAGAGGAGAGGGGACAGAGGCAGGGCTGTATCTTTGGTCCCCTGGTGGCTGTAGTGCCTTCCAGGGTGACCTGTGAGGTGAGCAAGAGGCATATTTAGTCACAAAATGTGGAGCTGGGGAAGGCCTCCCATTGTGTAGACAGGGAAACCGAGGCAGAAAGGTGAAGAAACCTGCTAGGCCAGAGCCTCTCTCCTATGTCAGCCGCTCCAAGACATGCTGGCTTCTGAGGCAGGACTTGGCAAGGAGCCAGTGCGTGGAGTGGGGTGTCCAGCCCACCTTGTGGGGTACTCAGGGCCCCTGCCACACCCATGCCATCTTCAGAGCCCCCCTGGTTCTGCATGGCATGTCAGATGACCCCACTTTCCAGATAAGGAGTAGAGGCTCAGAGCCAGCCAGTGATCACCCAGGCCACACCACCATTACTGGGGCTGAGATCTGAACCCCTGAAGCAGATCTGGCCCCTTCTTAGTCACCTGACCAGTGGCCAGTACTGAATGCCTGAGGGGTCCCCAGGGGGCCTCACCTTCTAGAAGGGTCCTTCCCAGGATCATGGCAGCACCAGCCCCACAGCGGTGCCCTCAGCTCTCTGAGGGGCCCGTTCTCTGCTCCCCACCCAGTTCTATCACGCCCTGACCCCCACACGGGAAACACGTTTCCATCCATTGTTGCTGGCACCCCTGGGAGCCCCTGAGGGCAGGAGCTGGGGTCCACCCCACCTGATGGGGGCCCCAGCACATCCGTGAGCTGCCAGCCAGCCTACTCTTCCTGGGAGCCCCTACAGCTGTGGGGAGGCCTTGGGGGAGGCATCTTCCTAGCACAGGGTGGGGAGATGTTGGGAACAGGCCAGTGGGAATAGAAGCCACAGAAATGCTGCCGACAGATTAGTAAGCTGCGTGAGTCAGATCCAAACTCGCCAGCAGCCCAGTGCACGCCAGCTCCCGGGCGGCTCAGCAGGCAAAGTGTGGGTGCCAGGAGGCTGGGTCTAACTCCAAGTTACCCCCAAGACAGGCGGAACGGGGTCTGGGTGGCCAGAGTGCCTGACCATGGCATCTCCATCCTGGGGTGGCACCCCCAGACCCCGCCCGGCTCCTCCAGGGTCTTCCAACGCCACCTTCTCTTCCAGCTTGTGGCTGAGGAGGGGCCCCTTGGCTCTCCCATGCATTTGGCCCAGGCATAGCCACAGCTGAGGCCCCAGGCCTGCTGCCCTCCCCTCCACCCCTCCACCTAGGCCATCCTTGGCCCTTGATTTCCTGGGCCCAAGTTCGGTCTTGGCCCAGTGGTGGCAGAGTGGCCCTGGGCAGTGGGCCCACATCATGGTGGGTGTGGTCCTGCTCCCTGTAGGTGAGGTGCTGGACTCAGGCAGGAGGCCCAGATGGAGAGGAACCACACTCAATCTCCAGGGGGCAGCCCCAGAGGTAGCCCTGTGACCTTCCATCCTGCCCCTGTGTGCCTGAACCAAGCCCTGAAGCCCCTCCCCCTACACTGACGGCTGGGCTGCCCAGGTAGCTGGGGCAGTGGGGCCTCAGTTTACCCATCTGTAAATGAAATGTGGGCATGCTCCAGCAGCCCCCAGAGCTATGCCCCCACTGGGCCACCATACTCACACTGTCCTCAAGGCCTGATGGGATTGGCACATCAGTGCAACCCAGCATGCCCCTGCCCCTCCCCTCCTCTGCCAGCCGTGGGCACTTGGCACAGGGCAGGAGGCCACCTGTCGGGTTCATTGTGTGGAAGGGCCTGGGCCTCACCAGACCCAACCCCAGCCCCTGCTGTGGGGCCCCAGGGAGCCCTCTCTTCCCCACTAAGGTCGGCTTTGTGCCCAAGATGCCCCAGCCCCTGCCTGGCGGGTTCAGGAGCAGCCAGACCAGGTGGGCTATTGCTCCTCCCCAGCTGCAGGCCCGGCTGGAGACCACCGAGGCTCAGCTGCGGAGGTCAGAGCTGGAGCACAGCGTGGATCTGGAGGAGGCCCTTGGCCGTCTGGAGGCTGCCGAGGAGAGGTGAGGCCAGGTGCGGGGCAGTCAGGGCTGCAGGAAGCACAGCCATCCCCCCGAGAGGCAGTGGGACCCTCTGTGCCTTGGGGCTACTGACAGCTCTTCCCAAAGCAGCTGTGAGTTCAGTTTCCCTGTGGGAGCCAACCCAGGCCTCCATGGCCTGGCAGGGCAGGGCAGGGGGCTGGAGAAGGCACGGCTGGGAAGGGGGACTGACTTGAGTGGCTGGGCAGTGTGGGGGCCTGCAGCGCGCTCCCTCTTGCTGTGGGGAGACCCCAGGCCGAGTGGAAACAGTGAAACACTCAGCCTCCTGGGCTCAGCGTGGGCCTCTCACGCAACCAGGCACCACCGTCCCAGCCTCTGAGAGCGGCTCAGCAGCATCCCTATTATAGTAGCTGCATCACGATTGTACCCATCGCTATCAGACCCCTCCCCCGCTCCACAGGCCAGGAGCAGGGGCTGCTCACCATGGGGGACGGGACTGGTGCCAGCCTTCCACGTGGCAGCCTCTCCACGCTCTGCCATCCTCCCTGCCACGGGTCAACCTGGCTCATGAATAACAGGGAGGGAGTGGCAAAGAGAGACAGAGCCTCATGAATGACAGGGAGAGAGTGGCGGAGAGGGACAGAGCCCCCCCCGCCACCGCTGTCAGTGAGCACTGACATTAGGACCCTGGCAACAGACCCTGGCCACCAGCCACACCTGAGTCCAGTGTGTGGATCACCCACTCACACCCTGAGATGGAGCTGACGATGTCATGCCTGGGCTTATCAAGGGGGCCTCTGCCCGGCCCCCACCCTGCCTGTACTAACCCGGCCCCCCACACTAACCCAGCCCCCCACACTAACCCAGCCCCCACACTAACCCAGCCCCCAACACTAACCCAGCCCCCCACACTAACCCGGCCCCCACACTAACCCGGCCCCCCACACTAACCCAGTCCCCACACTAACCCAGCCCCCACACTAACCCGGCCCCCACACTAACCCAGCCCCCACACTAACCCAGTCCCCACACTAACCCAGTCCCCACACTGACCCAGCCCCCACACTAACCCGGCCCCCCACACTAACCCAGCCCCCCACACTAACCCGGCCCCCCACACTAACCCAGTCCCCACACTGACCCAGCCCCCACACTAACCCGGCCCCCACACTAACCCAGCCCCCACACTAACCCGGCCCCCCACACTAACCCGGCCCCCCACACTAACCCGGCCCCCCACACTAACCCAGTCCCCACACTAACCCAGTCCCCACACTAACCCGGCCCCCACACTAACCCAGCCCCCACACTAACCCAGTCCCCACACTAACCCAGTCCCCACACTGACCCAGCCCCCACACTAACCCGGCCCCCCACACTAACCCAGCCCCCCACACTAACCCGGCCCCCCACACTAACCCAGTCCCCACACTGACCCAGCCCCCACACTAACCCGGCCCCCCACACTAACCCAGCCCCCCACACTAACCCGGCCCCCCACACTAACCCAGTCCCCACACTGACCCAGCCCCCACACTAACCCGGCCCCCCACACTAACCCAGCCCCCCACACTAACCCGGCCCCCCACACTAACCCGGCCCCCACACTGACCCGGCCCCCACACTAACCCGGCCCCCCACACTAACCCAGCCCCCACACTAACCCAGTCCCCACACTAACCCAGCCCCCCACACTAACCCGGCCCCCACACTAACCCAGCCCCCAACACTAACCCAGCCCCCACACTAACCCGGTCCCCACACTGACCCAGTCCCCACACTAACCCGGCCCCCACACTAACCCAGCCCCCACACTAACCCGGCCCCCACACTAACCCAGCCCCCAACACTAACCCGGCCCCCCACACTAACCCAGTCCCCACACTATCCCGGCCCCCACACTAACCCGGCCCCCACACTAACCCAGCCCCCAACACTAACCCAGCCCCCCACACTAACCCGGCCCCCCACACTAACCCGGCCCCCCACACTAACCCAGTCCCCACACTATCCCGGCCCCCCACACTACCCCGGCCCCCCACACTAACCCAGCCCCCACACTGACCCGGCCCCCCACACTGACCCGGCCCCCACACTGACCCAGCCCCCACACTAACCCAGCCCCCACACTAACCCGGCCCCCACACTGACCCGGCCCCCACACTAACCCAGCCCCCACACTAATCCGGCCCCCACACTAACCCGGCCCCCACACTGACCCGGCCCCCACACTAACCCAGCCCCCACACTGACCCGGCCCCCACACTGACCCGGCCCCCACACTGACCCGGCCCCCACACTGACCCGGCCCCCCACACTGACCCAGCCCCCACACTAACCCGGCCCCTCACACTGACCCGGCCCCCACACTGACCCGGCCCCCCACACTGACCCAGCCCCCACATTAACCCAGCCCTGCACAGCAACCAAGGCCCACCAGTCTCCCAGACCTGGGGAGGTTAAGTTGTCTATAGAATATCGACACATTTGGTTCATCCTCCAGGAATCTGGAAAAGGAATCAAAGTGCTGAGAAACTTTTGAAAACCAGTTTTGAGGGGGAAGAAAAATAACCCAAGAGGAGGCTTAGGCCTGGCGGGGGTGCCGGCTCCCGAGGTCCACCCACCTGGCGGACTTGCACCCCTACTGCAGCAAGTGTGGACCTACTTGTGGTGGGGAAGTCCCCAGGGTGCAGCAGAAGCCGTCCCCCACCACGGGCATGTCTGACTCCCTCTCCGCGTCACCCCGCCCCGCGAAAGGCACCTCCCTCCCAGCCCCTGGCACCTTGTCTCAGGCATTGAGGGACGGGCCAAGGTTGCAGAGCCAGAGCCAGGAGAGCTCGGGGCAGGGGCAGATATCGCAGGGAGGCAGGAGGGCACTGGGCTGGCACCTGGGAGAGCCACCTTGATGCTGGCACTCAGTTTAGGGGTCCTTTGTGGGGCCCATGGCAGGTGGGGGCAGAGCAGCGGCTGTGCACCTGAGCCCAGGTCAGTTAGGCCCAGAGGGTTTGGGGTTCCATTCAAGCCCCTTGACTTGGGGACTCTGAGCGCCTCTCTTAGGAGAGGCTTCCTACCCCCACCATGCCCTGTGGGTTCTCTGTCCAGGAGCACCGGCCTCTGTCAGGTGAACGCGCTCCTGCGGGAGCAGCTGGAACATATGAAGAAGGCCAATGACGCGCTGGGCCGGGAGCTGGCCGGGATGACGGGCAGCGTGCAGCGCCTGCAGGGCGAGCTGGAGCTGAGGCGCTGGGCCCAGAGACAGGTGCTCCCCCAACCCTTGCTCACCTCATGGCGGCCGCCTGTCTGGGTGCCTATGGCTGGGTAGCAGGCAGGGACATGGTGAGGGTGCACTGGCTCAGTGGCTGTCCCTCTTGGGGACGAGGCCACAGCTTCTTGCCACACCATGTCCCCAACCCGGCTTGGCCACAGCAGTCTGTGGAGTGAGGGACTTCGTGGTCCACCCCTACTGCCCCCCACCCGGAGAAGGAGGGCAGGGATCTCAGAATGGGGCACTGGGGCCGCACCCCAGCTCTGGTGTGGACCACGCTCTTTGGAGAGGCAGGTTGTTCTCCGTAGGCCGAACTCCTGGCCAGACTTCAGGAGCAGGGACCTTGGAAGGAGCCTGGGGCTGCACTGCTGCTCACAGCACCTGGCCGTGGCCCCCCAGGTCCCCCTGCAGCCTTTCCCACTCCAACTTCTGAGACCCTGAGGCATGCAGGGGGTCAGGGCACAGAGCTCCAGGCACCAGCCCCTGTGGGAGGGAGACATCCAGGTGTTCATGCCCTGCTCGGATCTCTCCATGGTCGTGGGACCCCCTGAAGCTGCTGTGGCCTTGGGTACCGTGGCTCTCCAGCCAGGCAGTCCCTGAGGGCCTGAAGGTGTTCCCAACAGCCCTCCAGCAAAGGGGGACTGGACGCCCAGCCCCTGCATGCTATGGGCACCACGGGCAAGGATTTCCCCAGGAAGACGGGCCCCCCGGAAGATGTGCTGCGCCAGGTGGAGGCAGGAGCCGGAGGGGCAGCCGCGTTTCTGGCCTCCAGTTGCCTCCACAGACGTCCCTCAGACAAGCCTGTCCCAGAGGGGCCGCCACTCGCCCCCGAGGTCCCAGCCCCGAGCCCCCCACAGCTGCTGCTCCTGAAAGGCAGGTGTCAGACAAACCAGCCGAGGTTTACACCCCGAGAGGGAATGCCGGCCTCTGCATAGCGTCAGCGGGAGCCGTGCTATCAGCAAGGAGTCATCGCCTATGCCAGGCCTTCTGGCTCGAGGCGTTTGAGGCAGATCTCATGTTCCCACTGCCTGGTCCCTGTCCTTGGACCGCTGGACAGGTCACCTGAGGATCCCGGGAGCCGATTCTGCTGTGTGAGAACAAATGCCAGAAGGAGAGGGTCCCTGAGCTCAGTTTGGCATTCGATCACCCAGGTCTTTATTTTCCCTTTGTCCTTGAGAACTGTTCTCACTGGTTGACAGCTGCTTTCTCTCGGCACCTTAAAGATATGCTTTCTCTTTCTCCTTCCGCTGCTGCTGTTGAGAAGTCAGCTTCCAGGCTGCCTGGATTCTGACTGGCTCCTTATCGAAGTAACATGTCTTCTCACCGGCTGCTCTGAAGACCCCTGCTCCGACTTGTTGTTGTGTCGTGTCCCTGTGTTGTGTCTGCGTGTAGATTTATTTGTTTATCCCGCTTTAGGGTTCGCGGAACCTCTGTGTCGCTTGTTATTTTGGGGAAGTCAATATTCTTTAAACATTGCCGGGGCTCATCATCCATCTCCCCTCCTCTGAGCTCCGGCTAGACATGTGTTAGCCATTCTTACGCTGTCTCCCAGGCACAGTTCACGGATTTGTTCTTTTTATTACCCTAGACTATATTCTAGATAATTTCTTCAAATTTCCTTTCCAGTCCATCAGTTTTCTCTTCTGATGTCTAATCTCTGTTAAATTTGCCTACTTAGCTTAAATTGCCAATATTGTATTTTTCCTCATTAAGAGTTCTGTTTGATTCTTTCCCAAATATTAAATAGCTTACTCTTAACTCACATTTTCTTTTTTTCTTTTTGAGACAGAAGCTTGCTCTGTCACCCAGGCTGGAGTGCAGTGGCACAATCTCAGCTCACTGCAACCTCCGCCTCCCGGGTTCAAACGATTCTCCCGCCTCAACCTCCTGAGTAGTTGGGATTACAGGCGTGTGCCACCACGCCTGGATAATTTTTGTATTTTTAGTAGAGATGGCATTTCACAATGTTGACCAGGCTGGTCTCGAACTCCTGACCTCAGGTGATCCGCCTGCCTCAGCCTCCCAAAATGCTGGGATTACAGGCATGAGCCACCTCGCCTGGCTTCTTAACTCACATTTTCAAGCCTTTTATTTATTTGTTGAACCATGTTAAAAATAGTCTTTTTGTAGCCTGTGTCTGACTATCCAATATCTGAAATTCTTTAAGGTCTGGTTCTATTGTTTCTGCTGGTTTCTGATCATGGTCCTTTGTTTCCTTGTGCCTTTGGTGATTTTTTATTTTTTAACTAAGAGCTGCTTATTTTCCTTGGAACTCTGTGAAGTTTCTTTGAAACCTGAGGTGAATACAGTATTTTCTAGGAAGGGTTTTTATTTGTTTCTGATAGATGCCAAGGGGCTCTAACAGTCTTTGGGGCCACATTGAAGTACATTTTCAGCTTCAGTTTTCTTGAGACTATCCTGGTGATGTAGTGTGCTTCCATATCCACAAGGAAGACTTTTTTCTCTGTTTAACTCCGACATTCTGGACAGGCAGTTTTCCTTATAATCTCTTGCAGGGTCATGTGTGCCTGTTTTGTGTGTGTGTGTGTGTGTGTGTGTGTGTGTGTAGCAAGAAATTGCGTACACTCCCCGATGGTCTGTGACTTCACCAACTCCTGGCCTAAGTGTTCCAGCCGTTCAGGCCAGCCCAGCCCTGCATTCAGGAAGAGGCTGTGAATCTGGACTCTCATGAGTTTAAGCGGCAGGTTAATCTGGCAGCCACACCTCCATGTTGCCAAGAAGTGTCTCAGCCTGCTCTTGTGATGAACACGGAGTGCAGGAGGCGGTGCGGCTGAAGCAAGCGTCTACCCCGTACAGCAGGCACGGGGTGGCATGCCCTCGGAGGGCGTGCAGACAGGTGTAACGGGCTCAGAGGAGCACGCCCTCGGAGGGCGTGCAGACAGGGGTAACGGGCTCAGAGGAGCATGCCCTCGGAGGGTGTACAGACAGGTGTAATGCACACAGAGGGGCATGCCCTCTGGAGGGTGTATGGCCAGGTATGGGTTCACAGAGTCATGCCCTCCAGAGTGTGTATGACCAGGTGTAATGGGCTCAGAGGAGCATGCCCTCGGAGGGTGTATGGCCAGGTATGGGTTCAGAGAGTCGTGCCCTCCAGCGGGTGCATGGCCAGGTGTAATGGGCACAGAGGGGCATGCCCTCTGGAGGGTGTACAGCCAGGTGGAATGGACACAGAGGGATGTGTTCTCCGGAGGGTGTATGGCCAGGTGTTATGGGCTCAGCTGGGGGGAATCTCAGGTGTGGGATCAGGTGAGGGGGTCAGGCAAGCTTCATGAAGGTGAGTTGATCTAATACCTGAAGTTCTTCAAGGTCTCGTTCTATTGTTTCCGCTGGTTTCTGGTCATGGTCCTCTCTGGGGGTTCTGGAGAACGGGCAGGATGTGAGTGCTCTACCTGAAGGCACCCTGGAGGAGCAGGGGTGGGGCTGTCACAGGCAGGCAGAGGTGGTAGAAACACAGTAGCACCCTGAGTTCCAGAGGTCAGTGAGCAGGAGAAGGTGAGTGCAGGGCCTAGAAGGTGGTGTGGAGACTCTGAGACTTCTGGCTTTCATCTTAGCTCCCTGCAAGGCTGGAACCACTGTGCACACACAATTCCCCCCATTCCTGCCCCCACACAGAGTCCTCCCACTCCGCTCCGTTACAGCCTAATCACTGGCCTTGTCTCGGTTGTGGCTTCCCACCCTCCTCCCTGCTGAACTGGGTACCCAGTGCTAGAGGCTTCTAACTTGCTTCTGTGTCCCTGGCACCTTCGAAGTGCCAGACCAACACCTGGACATCTTCAGGAGCCCTCCAGAGTAAGGAGAAAGACTGTACTGGAGAAAGGCAGCCCGTCCTCTTCCATTGGAGTGGCAGGGCAGGAGCCCTGTGCTGCAGAAATGTCTGCCCCAGCAGGGGCCAGGCCTGGTTCTGGGGTGTTCCAAGCCTGAGCAGTTCCTGAGAGTAGCTGGGGAGCCGCGACTGAGTCAGCACCTTCTCTCTTCAGGGGCCCACGCACCCCACCCTCCCACCTCCATGCACGCAGGCTGGCCTGGGAGGGCTGGATGTGGTCACGTCCCCAGATCATCTCCTGGGGAGGGGCACAGTATGGCCCCAGGGTGGGGTTGGGGGAGCCCAGGGCTCATTTGCCTGTGAGATATGGGGGCTTTGGGATGCTGGGTCCACTTCCAGCCCCCATGGAGAGGGACATGCACTTGGAAAAGAGTGGGCTTCAGGGAGGGTAAAGGGGCCCCAGCCTGAAGTAGACAGGAGGCCTCTTGCTTTCAGACCCGGTCAGGGGGCCTGGGGCAGCCCCGGGACCTCCTCCTCCTGTGGAGACAGGCCGTGGTGCTGGGGACAGACCTGGCCGAGCTGCGTGTAGCCACTGAGAGGTGAGTGCCAGCCGCCCCACCTGGGGCCAGGCACCAGGCTGCAGGGAGCTGAAACCCCCTTGGGGAGGGGGAAATCGGTGCCCAGGGCGGGCTCTCCCGTGGGTGCAGTAGCCCTGGCCTGCCGGCTTCTCACCCAGCCCTGGCTGGGCCTCAGGCCGGCCAGTGGGAGCAGCGATGAGGGCAGCCTAGGAGGGCAGTAGGGGAGAAGGACAAACAGGCCAGGGAGGTAGGTTGGGGACACCAAGGAGAGATGAGAGGAGGGTGAAGAGGACACTGTGGGGTGGGGGACACCTACCCAGATGGAGCTTCTGGAGTCTGTCCAGCCCTTGCTGGGTGCCACACTGGAGGTCAGTCCTGGTACCACCCTGCTAGCCCTTAGGTACGTAGCAGCCCCTTGCGCAGGAGGAGTCGGGGGCTCAGAGGGTCGATGACTCGGTGAAGGCTGCTGAAGCCTGAAGTGTGCAACCTGGTCCTGCCCCTGCTCACTCCTCCCCAGCTGCCTTCCTGGTGTTTGGTGACACATGGGAACAATCAATGCCATGCAGTGGGGGCTTCTCCTGACGATGGCCAAGGAGGGGGTCCTCTGTGGGGCTGATGGGACCAGGCCCTCCCTCTGCAGATGGGTCCTGAGTCCGCCACAGATGCTGCCCTTGTCTCCCAGGGGCCTCGCTGACCTGCAGGCAGACACGGCCAGGACAGCCCGCCGCCTGCACACCGCCTGCCTGAACCTCGACTCCAACCTGCGGCTGTCGGCCAGCAGCACGGCCAGCACCCTGGGGCAGCAGCTTCGGGACAAGGCTGGGGAGATGCTGCAGCTGCAGGGCCGCTGGGACGCAGAGAAGGTGGCGCTCCAGGCCAGGTGGGCGCCCAGGGCCAGCAAGCTTGCACAGGGAGGGCCCGGGGGGTCGGGGCCCATCCAGCGTGCCGAGCAGCTGTGGATCCCAGATGTGGTCACACCGTTCCAGGGCAGGTGGGGCCCTGATGTCACTGGTGGTGCACACTCTTCAGAGTCACCATCCCAGTGGCTGCAGGGCACTCCCCTAATGCCCAGGAGGCAGACACTGGGGTCTCCTACAGTGAGGGTTTCAGGGAGCACGGCAGGGAACTCACTGGGACTGCGTCCTGGGGGTCAGCACCCAGAACTGGAGTTTTCAGGCTTAAAGCAGGAACATTCTTCTAGGGGCAAGAGCTCACCTTAGGTAAATCATATAAAAACCGAGGCAGGAAGAGGGACCAGGCCACCTCCTGCCCGATATGAAGGACACCCACGCCCTCTCTGGGGGTCTATGAGCCCCGCCGTGATTGTGGAAGGTTTTGGACCCACCACCCACATCGGGGGCTCAGAGGTCTCTTGAGGGCAGCTTCAGCAGAAAGTAGGGAGGCGGCTCCCCAGTGGAGGTCTAACCTGCTGGCCGTGGGGCCAGTGCCTTACAACCCAGGGTCCAGGGCCCACTTGTCCACAAACACCCCACCAGGCTGACAGGCAGAAGCCCTCCCTACCCTCAGGGGGTCCAGCTGAGTCAAACACACCACAACCCAGCCCCAAATGAGCAAGACAGGACATGGGGGCCCAACGGTGCCATACAGCTGCAGGGGCAGCACACCAGGGCCTGAGCCACAGGAAGGGGGACCTGGGGTCTTTAGGAAGAAGGTGCATCCTGGGAAGGAAGGAACAGTAAAATTACTTATTGTTAGACTAATGGTGACAGGTGCTCCAGGCAGAAGGACTGGCCAGGAAAAGGCCTGTGGTGGGCACTCCCTCTGTTGTGCCACAAGGACAAGGCAGAGCCTCGGGCAGCCACTGCATCTGAGGCTGGAGAGCTGGTCAGGGTGTGGGCCTTGACTCCTGAGACACTGGGAGCCACTGAAGGCTCTGTGGCAGGAGAGACACATGCTCAGACCAGGGACAGAGGCCACTCAGACGGAGGCATCACCCAGCACCGGCAGGGGGGCCACCGCACAAAGGAGTCCGGGCAGAGCCAGGGCATGCTTGGGTGCCCGTCCTCTGGGCCCTGCCCTTCACCCCCACACCCCCCGACTCCTCCCAGACTCTCGGAGCAAACCCTGCTGGTGGAGAAGCTTACAGAGCAGAATGAGCAGAAGGCGAAGACCATCGCTGCCCTCAGAACCGACCTGCAGAACCTGGTTGGTGGGCAGGACGGGGGTGGCTGTGTGGCAGGGGTCTGTCACCCTTGCTCAGGAGTCTCCCCTGCCACAGGAAGCCTGGTGCGGCAGTGGACGGCCTGCAGGGCAAGGTGGGGTCCCTGCAGTGCACTTTGAGGCACGTCAGGAAGGTGTGGCCCCTCGCCTGTCCTCCCAGTGGCAAAGGTGGAGGTAGCCCGCAGGGACCCTCAGGACTGTCTGCGCGGTCCCCACCAAATCATGGCCCTGTGCTCTGGGCCCCTCTATCCCTTCCTCTCTGCACCTTGAAGGTGGCCCAGGAGGACGCCCGGTGCCTGGAGCTGGCAGGTAGCAGCATCACTGAATTGGGGGAGCCACGGCGCCCACTGAGGAGCCCCCAACGTGCCACATCCCCCCATCAAGGGGCGTCCCCACCACACATCTGCTCCCCAGCCACCCTGGACCCCGCACTGCAGGCCATGCGGGCAGCCATAGAGAGGCGGTGGCGGCGGGAACAGGTGGGCAGCCGCAGCCCACAGGACTCCCTGTCTCCCTGAGGGCAGAAACATGAGCCCCTCAGGCTGAAGGGTAGTTATGGGGCCTGCCCCTGAGCCCCATGGCTCCAGGGAGGGGCCCCAGTGTCGGGGGTGTCCTTTCTGGGGAGTCGCAAGCCCTGGTGGGCCTCGGTGGGCAAAGCCTGCCTAGGCCAGAGAGGCCCACAACTTACCCCACCCGAGCAGGAGCTGTGCCTGCAGCTGAAGTCCTCCCAGGCACTGGTGGCCAGTCTCCAGGAGCAGCTGTCCGAAAGCCGGCGGGAGCTGTGGGCCGCACAGAAGCTCCAGCAGGAGCGGGCTCGGGAGCAGGCACGGGAACGAGAGGCTCTTCGGGGCCAGCTGGAGGCCCAGAGGCTCGAGGTGCAGCAGTGCCGGGCATCCTGCAAGCTCCTGGGGAGGTAATGGGGTGAAGGGGTTGCACGGCCTTGCACAGGGTGTATGGGATCCTGAGGGCCCAGGGCTGCTGTCAGGACAAGCACCTCTAGAGCTGGAGGGGTTGCCAGCCGGGGAGGGGTCCTTGCCTTCTAGCAGAGTTGTGTGAGCACCAGTTGAGCGTGGGCCAGGGTGGGACACACCCGCCAGTGAGACCCTGTCTGCTTCTCAGGCTCCCTCTGCCCATGCAGTCTCAGGGGCTGGCATCCACCCAGCCCCCAATGCCCACCAAGGCACGCGGTGCACCTTGAATGTGTCCAGGGCCGCCCCAACTCTGCCCCCACCATCCCCAGGGAGAAGGCTGCTCTGGAGATGGTGGTGGAGGAGCTGAAAGGGAAGGCAGATGCTGCAGATGCGGAGAAGCAGGGGCTGGAGGCCGAGGCTGCAGAGCTGCAGAGAAGCCTCCTGCTGCAGGCAGAGCGGAGGGAGGAGCTGGCTCTGCGGAGGGAGCGGAGCTGCAGGGCACTGGAGACCAGGTGCGCGGCCGTGGCTGGGTGGGCAGGGCCCCTCCCACAGAAGAGACCCCACTCTGCCACCATCAGCCACTTGGCCTTGGGCCACGGGTCTGCTTTTTCACCTGTCTCATCTCAGGGTGTGGTGGCCCTAACAGGGCAGGGGCGGGGGCTCTCCAGGCTTCTCCCCAGGCTGCACCATCCTCCAGACCAACCCTCACTTCCTCTGGCCCAGTGCCCCACCTGGGCCACCACCCCGTGGGCCCATCAGATGTGGGGCCCCACCCCTCCCGTCCCCCCGGAGGCACTTGTGCCTCCCCTGCCCCGGAAATGAAGCCTGGAAGCGAAGGGCTCCCTGCCTTCCTGGTCCTCCAGGGACTCCATGCTCCTCCTGGGCCTCCCTGGGCTTGGAGGGAGTTGCAGGTGGTCGCCTGCCTGAAATCCCATGGGGCAGCCACTGCTCACCCTGAGCGACCTCCCGCCCTCTGGTCTGGGGCCTCAGTCAAGGCCGCCTGCAGCAGCTGGAGGAGAAGGTCTCCGGGCTCAGAGAGGAGCTGGCATCGGTCCGGGAGGCACTGAGCACAGCACAGCTGCAGCGGGATGTCGTGGAGAGTGAGAGGGAGGGACTGCGCAGCGCCCTGGCGCGGGTACACTCTGCTCCCCACAACCCCGCCCCCTCTCCTGTCTGCCCCCACCCACCCTGGCCTCACTGACCTGGCCTCCCACTCCCTCTCTCCTGCCTGCCGGGCCCCTCAGCCCATCACCAGAGATCCCAAAGTCACCAAAGTTCTCTCCCGTCCCCAACCAGTAGGCACCAGCCTGGCCCAGCTGCTGTCAACCCTGCTGGCCACGCCTGCTTCTTTGTGGCCTCTCCCTGGACCACCAGCCACCTCCTCTGGCTGGAGCCTTAGTGCCTGGAGCCACCATTGGCCCTGAGACCTCCCCACTGTGGCGACCTTCCCACCATGTCCGCCCAAGAGCTCTGGCTTGCACACCTCCGTGGCTCAGGGCTCACTCCTTTCCCAGCGGCAACAGCCCTGCCCTGGAAGCTGAAGGTCCCTCCCTGGCATCCCCCTCCCTGCCCCAGGCCGAGTGCAGCAATGCGGACCTGGAGCTTCTTGTGAGGCGGCTGAAGTCGGAGGGAGTGGAGCAAAGGGACTCCCTGGCCGCAATGGCCGCCTTGATGGAGGGGTTGGCTCAGGACAAAAGTGCCCTGAACCACCTGGCTCTCCAGGTGAGACAAGGGCCAGTGGGGCGGGCCTCGCTGGAACCTGTTTCCCAGGTGGCTGTGGGTCTCCCAGCCCTAGGCCTTCTTTCCATCCTCCCAGATCACTTCCTCTCCTGGTTTGAGGTTTTGGGGACAAGGGAGCCTGACTAGCCCTGGCCAGGCCTGAGGGAGGGAAGAGAGTGCCCCTGGGCCAGGCCTGAGGGAGGGAAGACAGTGCCCCGGGGCAGGCCTTGGGGATGGCTGGCCTACAGGGACCGAGGATGGGGGGAGTGGATGCAGAGCCCCCGACACCTGGTGGCAGCTGGAGCAGGAGCGGGACCAGCTGCGGGAACAGCGGAAGACTCTGGAGCAGGAACGGGCCCGGGCCGGGGAGCAGCTGGCACAGGCGGAGCAGCAGCTGGCGCTGGAGCGGGCAGAGCGCAGGGGCCTGCAGCAGGCCTGCGGACGCCTGGAGCAGCGGCAGGAGCAGCTGGAGGGGCAGGCAGCCCTGCTGGGGCGAGAGAAGGCCCAGCTCCAGGAGCAGGTGGGCCAGGTGAGGACGTCTGCAGGGCATGCTGCCGCCGTCTGGGATGCGGCTGGGTGGCAGGTCTTGCCTAAGGTACTTCTGGGAGTCAGGCAGGCTCAGGATGCCCACATCAGCTCTTTCTGTCTTGGTAACGGATCAGGCCCAGTGCTGGCCTCCCCGTGGGGGTGGGGGCAGGGGGAAGGTATGCAGAGAAGAAGATTCCCATCAGGCCTGGCCACCATATCCATCCCGCCACTTGGCAGGGGAGCCCGGGCCTCAGGCCAGTGACTTCTGCACACTGGGCTCTTAGTGAGCTTTGCTGTTTCCTCCTCTGTCTTGTTTCTCCCTGGTCCACATCCACACAGCTGAACTCTGCGACTGCACATTCACTGGTGCCTCACTCATTTATTCCCAATTTCCCCATCTTTTGTTGAGGAAGCTCAACTCACTGGAGAAAAAAACAGTCTTGGTTTTTTCCAATCCTGCCTCGTTCATCCGTGTGAAAACCCTGTCCATGCTGAGTTTCAGGCCCCTGTGACTCAGATTCCGCAGCCCCCGTCACATTCAGGACAGCTCAACCCTCCTTCCGTTTTCAGATTCTGCCTTGTCCTTTTCTGGGGTCACCTTTTTCCTCTTTTTCTATTGACATTTAATAAGTCAGTGTACAGTATCAATGAATTTTGACAATTGTACAAAGCCAGGTAGCCGCCACCAGGATCAAGACACAGAACATTTTTGTCAGTCCAGCAGGTTCCCCCACGTGCCTTCAGCCATTGCCCAAAGCCCCCGGCTCCCACCCAGGTGACCTCTGCTCTGATGTGCAGCACCACGGACTGGATGCACCTGTTTCCGAATTCCTTATAAATGGAGCCATGCAGTGTGGACGCTTTTGTGTCCAGCTTCTCTCTCTCAGCATCATGTCTTGGAGATCCATACATGTTGTTCAGTGTATCACTAAGCCCTTTCTTTTTAACTGCATAGTTATATTCCTTGGGATGAGTAAACCACATCTGCTTACTCATCCACCTGTTGCTGGACATTTGGATTGTCCAGCAACAATGTTTCCAATACTGGTCCTGCCTACAAGGTCCTTCCTTGACCCTGCCTACAAAGGGCACTTTTACATATCACTGGGACCAGCACCCAGGTGATGTGAATTCTCTGCCTGAACCCTGCCTACAAAGAGCATTGTGGCTTATGTCTAGGTCCATTATGTAAGTGATGTGACTCCCTTCTACTGCCTTGGCCCTGTACTTATGTTGCATTGTGTGACACACACTTGGTGATATGGTTTAGATTTGTGTCCCCACCCAAATCTCATGTCAAATTGGAGGAGGGGCCTGCTGGGAGGCGACTGATATGGGACTGTGATGCACAAGGCTGCTATAAACCTTCTTGTACAAGTCGCATACATATATTTTTATTTTTCCTAACTAAATACTTAGGACCAAAACTGTGCACTCACTGTATAGGTGTGTGTTGAACTTTTATAGGGAACAACCAAGCAGCTTTCCGAAAAAGCAGGCAGCTTTCCAAAAGTGGTTCAATCACTTTGCTGCAGCCAGCAGTGTAGAAGAGTTCCAGTTGCTCCTCTGCCTTCTCGACATTTGGTATTGTCTGTTTTTTTGGGTTTTGTTTTTTGTTTTTTTAGCTATTCTGTATATGTGAAGTGATACATCACTGAGGATTTCATTTGCATTTCCCTCATAACTGAAGATATTGAACACATTTTCATGCATGTATTGGATATTCGTATGCTTTATTTTATCAAATGTTCAAATCTTTTTCCTATTTTTTAAACTGGGCTTTTGCATTTTGGTTATGAATATACAGGAATTTATATATCATGGATACAAGTACCTTGTCAGATACATGTCCTATGACTATTTTCCCCAAGGTTGTGGCTGCCTGTACATTTTCTCAATGATATTTTTTATGGATGGACATAAAATTTTAACTTTGGCAAACTCCAATTTATCTATTTCTTTTTTTAGTTTTACAATTAGTATTTTCTAGGTTCTGTCTGAAAAATTTTTGCCTACCCCAAGGACAAGAAGATATCCTCCTACATTTTCATCTGGCTTTCACATTTGGATCTATGATCCATTTCAAGTTTATTTTTATGGACAGCAGGGGTTCTCCACGTGTGCTTCCCAGACTAGCAGCATAAACATCACCAGGTGATATGGTTTGAATCTGTCTCCCCACTTAAATCTCATGTCAAATTGGAGGAGGGGCCTGGTGGGAGGTGATTTGTTCATGGGGCCAGATTTCTCCCTTGCTGTTCTCTTGATGTTGAGTGAGTTCACACAAGATCTGATGGTTTAAAAGTGTGTGGCACTTCTCCCTTCACTCCCTCTCTCCTGCCACCATGTGAAGAAGGTGCTTGCTTCTCCCTTCACCTTCCGCCATGATTGTAAGTTTCCTGAGGTCTCCCAGTCATGCTTTCTATTAAGCCTGTGAACTGTGAGTCTGTTAAATCTCTTTTCTTCATAAATTACCCAGTCTCAGGTAGTTCTTTACAGCAGGGTGAGAACAGACTGATACACCTGGGGACTTGGTAAAAATGCAAATGCTCATGCCTCACACAAGACTTACTGAATCAGAAACTCTGTGGGCGGGGCCCAGAAATCTGGATTTTAATTAGCCCTCCTTGGGATCCTGCTGCACACTAACGTGTGAGGACCACATGTGTATGGTATGATGTAAGAACTAAGGTCCATTATTTTTCATACTAATACCCAGTTTTTCCAGCACCATTTTTTTCAAGTCTCTCCTTTGGTCCTTGATTAAATGTGGCAACTTGTTGAAAATAAACGGATCATATATGTGGGATTTGTTGATCTGTGCAAGTCAATCTATTCATTCTTTCACCAAAACCACACTGTCTTGATTATGATAGCTTTTTAGTAAGTCTTGAAATTGAGTAGTGTACACACATCCACCTTGTTCTTTTTCAAGATCGTTTTGGCTGTTCTAAATCCTTTGCATATGCATATACATTTTAGAATCATCTTGTCAATTTCTTCTTCCCTCCCCTGCAAAATAGCCTACTAGGAGTTTGATTAAAATTGTTTAGAATTTATAGATCAACTTGAGGAAATGGACATCTTAAATATACTGAATATTACATCCATGAATATGGTATATCTCTCCATGTCTTTACTTTCTTTCTCTCAGCCATGTTTGTAGTTTTCAATGTAGAGTTTTCTTCCACATCTTTGATTAGGTTAATTCTAGATTTTTATATCATGAATTATATTACGGTTTTAATGTCATTTTCTTATTGTTCATTATTATAGAAATACAATTTCATATGTTTATTTTGAGTCATGTGACCTTGACAAATTCACTTATAAGTACTAAGGTTGTATGTTTATATAATTATTCATCTGTAACAATAGTTTTACTTTTTTTCTGATCTGAATATCTTTTATTTCTTCTTCTTATCTTATTGCACTAAGACCTGCAGAACAAAGTTGAATATAAGTGGTGAGAGTGGCCATACTTCCACCCAAGGCAATCATGGGGAAATAATTTGATGTTTCACCATTAAATATGATGTTATCTGTAGGCTTTTCATAGATGCCCTTTATCAGAGTAAGGAAGTTCCCTTCATTCCTAGTATGCTGACATTTTTAAAAAATTATAAATGGGTACTGGGTTCTGCTAAATTCTTTTTCTGGAACTATTAAGATGATCACATCATTGTTCTCCTCATGTTGTTAATGTAGTGAATTACACTGATTAATTTTTTAGATGTTAAACTTGCATACATAATAAGCCCTACTTTGTCGTGAGTTAGTATCCATTTTATATATTTTTTATTCAACTTATAAATATTTTGTTAAAGATTTTTGCATCTATATTTGTGAGTAATATTTCTGTAATTTTCTTTCCTTGGAATCATCAGATTTGGAATCAGAGTTGTGCTCCTAAAATACACTGGAAAGTAGTCTCTCTTCCTCTGTTTCCTGAAAGTGTGTGTGTAAAATTGGTATTACTTATTTCTTAAATGTTTGGCAGAATTCACTAATGAAATAATGTGAGTCTGGGGTTTTCTTTGTGAGAAAGCATTTGATAATGAATTCAATTTCTTTAACAGATATAAAATCTATTACAATTTCTTATTAGTTTTTATTTATGTTTCTTCATCTGCATCCTAATAATTTTGCATGTTGTGTTTTTATTATTAGTCAATTCAAACTATTTTCTCTTTCCCCATGTGATTTATTCTTTGCCCCGTGGATTATTTGGACATATATGGCCTAACTTCCAAATAGGGTTTTCTAAATGTCTAATTGTTATCAATTTCTAACATAATTCCATCACGATCGGAGGACATACTCTGTATTATTTGAATGGATTTAAATGTATTATGTCCCAGTCTGTTGTCTATCTTGAACACATCAAAAGAATGTGTATTATGCTATTGCTGAGTGCATTGTTCTATAAATATAAATTAAATCAAGTTGCTTAGTAGTGCTGTTTAAATCTTCTAAGTCCTTACTGGGGTTTTTTTGTGTGTTGATTTATTTCTTTGATTGGTTGTTTTTGTCTACTTGCTGCATCAGTCAGTGACAGAAGGGCATTACAATCTCTAGCTGTGATAATGGAATTGTCTGTTTCTTCCACTAGATCTCCCCTTAGTTTCTTCCACAGCCAATTTTTGCTTCATGTGTTTTGAATTTCTATTATTAGGTGTATATATATTTAGTATTTTATTTCTTCATGAGGAATTGGTATTTTATCATTATAAAACATCTCCTCTTATCTCTAGCAATACTCTTTTTTGATATCTACTTTTTTGATATCTACTTTTTTGATACTGATATAGCCACTTCCATTTTCTTATGCTTAGTGTTTCCGTGGTATATCCTTTTCATATATTTACCTTCAACTTGTCTATGTCTGCTTATTTAAAGTGTGTGCCACCATGATCAAGTGGGTTTCATACCAGGGATGCAGGGATGGTTTAACATACATAAGTCAATAAATATGATATACCACATAAACAGAATTAAAAACAAAAATCACATGATCATCTCAATAGACGCAGAAAAAGCGTTTGACAAAATCCAGCATCCCTTTATGATTAAAACCCTCAGGAAAGTCGGCATTGAAGGGACATACCTTAAGGTAATAAAAGCCATCTATGACAAACCCATAGCCAACATTACAGTGAATGGGGAAAAGTTGAAAGCATTCACCCTGAGAACTGGAAGAAGACAAGGATGCCCACTCTTACCACTTCTATTCAACACAGAACTGGAATTCTTAGCCGGAGCAATCAGACAAGAGAAAGAAATAAAAGGCATCCAAATCAGTAAAGAGGAAGTCAAACTCTCACTGTTTTCCGATGATATAATCATATACCTAAAGACTCCTCCCAAAACCTCCTAGATCTGGTAAATGAATTCAGCAAAGTTTCGGGATACAAAATTAGTGTACACAAATCAGTAGCTCTGCTGTACACCAACAGGGACTAAGCTGAGAATCAAATCAAGAATTCAACCCCTTTCACAATAGATGCAAAAAAAAATACTTAGGAATATGCCTAACCAAGGATGTGAAAGACTTCTACAAGGAAAACTACAAAACACTGCTGAAAGAAATCATAGACGACACAAACAAATGGAAACACATCCTATGCTCATGGACGAGTAGAATCAATATTGTGGAAATGGCCATACTGCCAAAATCAATACACAAATTCAATGCAATTCCCATCAAAATATCATCACCATTCTTCACAGAACTAGAAAAAAATCCTAAATTTCATATGGAACCAAAAAAGAAGCCACAGAGCCAAAGCAAGAACATGCAAAAAGCAAATCTGGAGGCATCACATTACCCAACTTCAAACTATACTATAAGGTAACAGTTACCAAAACAGCATGGTACTGGTATAAAAATAGGCACATAGACCAATGAAACAGAATAGAGAACCCAGAAATAAACCCAAATACTTACAGTCAACTGATGTTCGACAAAACAATCAAAAACATAAAGTAAAGAAAGGACACTCTATTCAAGAAATGGTGCTGGGATAATTGTCAAGCCACATGTAGAAGAATGAAACTGTGTTTCTTTTTGTTAGTTTTAGTGATTACCCTAAAATTATGATATGCACAGTCTATATCCAAATATTATATTACTTCACAAACAATGTAAGACCCTTCCAGCAATACATTCCATTCATCCCTTGCTATGTTTCGAATGTGTCCCCTCCAAAATGTAGGTGTTGAAACTTACTAATTGTGATAGTATTAAGAGATGGGACCTTTAAGAGGTGATTTAGGCCATAAGGGTTCCACCCTCATCAGCGAGATTAAAGCCTTTATGAAAGGGGCTTGCAGCATCATTTGTGTCTCACTTTCCCTTATGCCTTCCACCATGTGAAGGTGCAGCATTCTTCTCATCCGGAAAATGCAGCATCAAGGCACAGCCTTGGAAGCAGAGAGTAGTCCTTGATAGACAGCTGAACCTGCCAGCACCTTGATTTTGGACTTCCCAGTCTCTAGAACTGTGAGAAGATAAATTAATAAATTTCTGTTCTTTATAAATTACCCAGTCTCAGGTACTTTGTTATAGCAGCACAAATTTACTAAGACATCTCTTCCATACTTTTTGCTCTTGTTGTTCTATATTTTATTTCTGTGTGTGTTGTTATAAACCGTACATTACTTTATTAATACTTTTTACTTTTAAATGATTATTTTTAACCATTCACACACACACACTCAATCATCTTTTCACAAACATTTCAGTTATTTGGTAACATTCTTTTCCTTCTTGAGTATGTTTTTAAACATATTAATTACAATACTTTTTGGGTCTTTGTCTGATAACTCTAACATCTGGATCCCCTAATGAGCTATTTCTATTGTCTTTTATTTATTTATTTTCAGTAGTTTGGCCTTGTCTCCTAGTATGCTTAATATTGTTTGTTTTTTTATTATGCTTAATAATTTTTGATTGAATGACAGACTTTGTGTTTTTGTAGATATAATTCATAGAGATAATTTAAGGCTTTGAATGATATAAGCTTCTTCTAGAGGGAATTTGCTTTTGACTTTGGGAAATCAGAATAGGGATAAATTGCCTTTATCCAGTCCAGGATTTAGCTGCTTTGTAACTGTACTTCAGTCTTTTGTGAGGAGTCGTCTATTTCTGGCTTATCCCAGGGTATAATATAACTCTCCTATGTTCCTAATGGGAAATCTCAGGTGTTTACCAGGGTTCCTACTCTTTAGTTAGCCCTAAACTCCAGGTTTTATTTTCTTTTTATTTATTGTCTTTTTTTTATTATCTTTATTTCAGATAGGACTTTCAAAAGTACTATCTGACTTCTCAGACTGTCAGCTGCTATTTTTTTGTTCAGATTCGTAGTCTCCTGGTCCTTTACTACTTCTGAATTATAAAAAATACATACTTTTTCAAAGCAGTACCATTTATTTTATTTTCTGAGACAGGGTCTTTGTTGCCCAGGCTGGAGTGCAGTGGCATGACCATGGTTCACTGCAGCCTCGACCTTCTGGGCTCAAGTGATCCTCCCACATCAGCCTCCCGAGTAGCTGGGACTACAGGCACACATGACCACGCCCAGCTAATTTTTGTGTTTTTTGTAGAAATGGGGTTTTGCCATGTTGCCCAGGCTGGTCTCAAACTCCTGGGTTCAAGTGATCCACCTGCCTCAGCCTCCCAAAGTGCTGGGATTTTGCGCTCAGCCAGCAGTACCATTTTTTAAAATCGCAATATACAATCTCAGGCTTACCTCAAGGCATTTCCTTGCTCTCTGATATCCGCTCTTCTTTTCGTTCCCCGGCTGCTTTGGTATATCTGAACTCTAAGTTATATCTCTTCAATCTCATAAGCCTGCTGAAATCTTAGGCCATGTTCCCAGTCTTTTAGCTAAAGCTTTTTTTTTTTTTTTTTAATTTTTAAGCAGAGTCTTGCTCTGTCGCCCAGGATGGAGTGCAATGGGGTGATCTCGGCTCACTGCAACCTCCGCCTCCTGGGTTCAAGCAATTCTCCTGCCTCAGCCTCCTGAGTAGCTGGGATTACAGGCATATGCCCGGCTAATTTTTGTATTTTTAGTAGAGATGGGGTTTCGCCATGTTGGCCAGGTTGGTCTCGAACTCCCGAGCTCAGGTGATCTGCCCACCTCGGCCTCCCTAAGTGCTGGGATTACAGGCATTAGCCACCAAGCCCGGCCTAAAGCTTTATTCTTGGATACTGAGGCTCTACACCCCCTGTCACTTAGGACTTGGCAGATACCTCAAAGGGGAAATCTGTTGTATTCATAGAATTTCAGACTCACTTTAATATATTTCTCTCTGTAGCCTGAACACCTGGGACCTGACTGCGTTAGTATCTCTCTAATGCTTTTAAACAGATTATTGGATTGTACGTTGTATTGCTTTTCTAGTTGCTTTAGATGGGAGGGTTGGTTTTCAACAACCCACCTCACCATTATCAGAAGCAGAAAGTCCTGGTTTTTACTTTTGAAGAATGTTTTCGCTGGGTATAGAATACTAAAATAGCCATTATTTTCTTTCAGAAATTTAATGAAGTCATTCCATCATCTTCTGGCCTTCATTGTTGCATAGAAAGCAAATGTCAGTCTTGTTCATTTCACGCCTATGTGTCTTTTTCCCTTTGTTTTTTAAAAAACATTTTTCTTTATCTTTGGTATTCAGAAACTTTACTAAGTTGTATATATGTGACATTTTCTTTTAATTTATCCTTTTGGGGGTTACAGCTCATTTTAAGTCTGTGGCTAGATGTATTTTATTAGATTTGGAACATTCTTGGCCTGTATCTGTTCAAATGTGCCCTCTCATCTCCTTTTGAGGCTGTAATTACACATATGATGGGCATTTTTAGCTTGTCCTATATGTCTATAACATTCTTTTGTGTATTTTCTATCCATCCTTCTATCTCTTTATGATTCAGTCTGAACACATTCTTTGTCTCTCTTCCAGGTTATTAGTCCTTTCTTTTATTCTGTCTAATCTGCCATTGTCTATTAATTTTTTTTTTACTTTTGGTTATTATATTTTAAATTGTCTTTTTTATATTTAGTATCCAGTTCTATTGTTAAACTTTACGTCTTGCTATCCATCTTCTTGAACACGTGAATCAGCTATTTTAAAGTTTGTGTCTGATAACTCCAATATCTAGATAACCAGGGTAGGAGGATCTATATCTATTTTCTGTTCTTATTAGTGGTTTTTTTGTCATGTGGTCCTGTCTCCTGATAGGCCAGATCTTGATTAGTCAATCTTATATATAATAAATTATAGAAATAATTTGAGGATCTTGATGATGCGATTCTTCTTCCAGAAAGCATTTATTTTTGTTCTTGTTGTTGTTTGTTTGTTTGTTTTTGAGAGAGGGTCTCACTCTGTCACCCAGGCTGGAGTGCAGTGGCATGATCTTGGCTCACCATAACCTCTGCCTCCTGGGTTCAAGCGATTCTCCTGCCTCGGCCTCCTGAATAGCTGGGATTACAGGTGTGTGCCATCGTGCCTGGCTAATTTTTGTATTTTTAGTAGAGACGGGGTTTCACCATGTTGCCAGGCTGGTCTTGAACTCCTGACCTCAAGTGATCTGCCTGCCTTGGCTTCCCAAAGTGCTGGGATTATAGGCGTGAGCCGCCTCAGCTGGCCAGAATTTACTTTTGACCCTGGCAGGCAGTGAACGTAGAAGGTCACTGTAATCCAATCCGTGACTGGGATGATTCGCACGTGAGCTTCGGTGTCTATGAAGGATGGTCTATTTCTGATTCACCGCTAGTACTAGGGTCAAGCCCTGCTGTGAATACAACTTGATGTCTTGTGATATTTATCAGAGCCTCTCTGTTTTGGTGGCTCTGAACCCTAACTTTTGTCCCCCTCAGGCCATGGTACTGCCAGAAGTTCTTCTTGGCATCTCAATTTTTCAGCCCAAACTCTTAAATGAGCAAATGCCTTGAGGAAGAGGAGACATTAAATGCTGGGCTCATTCCTCTGTACCTCCCTTCTCTCCAAGATCTTCACTCCTTCGGTCCCAGCTGTCTGTTCAGCTGTCTGAGGTGTCTTGCATATTCTTATGATATATTCTTTCTAGATTTTTATGATGTTCTTGGTGGAAGTGTTGGTCTGCAGCAATCTAGTTTTCTGTTACCTTCTATTGCCATTTCTATGCAGCATTTCCTGACCCCTGGACACTGGAGGACCAACAAATGGTACCATTTAGATTGACAGTTGGCTCCTACCTAGGAGTGCCCAGTTCAATACCATCTCCATCCACTCAGGGTACCTGAGTGGATGCCCCCTCTATTGTAAAAACATACATGTGTTTCTGAGATCCACCCACTTCTTCCACTTTCACCTCCATGCCATTCTGCATAAAATCACTTCTTCTGAAGTCCTTTCTTCCCCTCAAGAGGCCCATGCTCACCCACCCACTTACTCTCTTTCTCTGCCGACTGTCCCCTCCCCACCTCCCCTAGGTCACATGCCAGAAACAGGCCCTGGAGGAGCAGCTGGCTCAGAGCCTGCAGGACCAGGAGGCCCAGATGGGCACTCTGCAGCAAGCCCTGCAAGGAAAGGATGCTCTGTCTGAGGAGCGGGCCCAGCTGCTGGCCAAGCAGGAGGCCTTGGAGAGGCAGGGCCGGCTCGCAGCTGAAGAGGCAGCTGATCTCAGGTATGCAAGGGCCTGCCAGTCAGGGCATGTCCCACGTGTCCTTGCCCACAGAGAGTCTGCAGTGTGGCAGGGTATGGGGACAATCGCACCATGACATAGGACTGGGAGGGAGCGTGTGCCCATGAAATGGGCTGTGAGTGGAGGCGAGCACAGAGCCTTTGGGTTGGGGGAGGGCATCTGGAAGAGGTCAACCCAGTGAAAGCGCTGGGGTCACCCTCCTGAAAGAGGTGGTGGCAAGTGCAGAAACACAGCTCAGACCAGGGGAAGGCAGATGTGGAATGTCTTGCTCATGGAGCTGAGGAGTTCAGGGTGAATCCAACTTCAGGTATGGCTGGATTCAGGCACTCCCACAGTGCCCTCAGAATCCTGCTTCTCTCTCCCTCAGCACAGCTTGACTCTGAGATCTTTTTCCCAGGCAGGCTTACTCTGAGAGGTGGCAAGATGGCCAGCAGCCACCCCAGGGTCCCCCTTCCAGCAGATGCAGAGCACCCTTCTCCCTGCAAGGCCTGAGAGCGGCTGCCATGGGCCGTCTTGAGCTGTGTGACATCCCTGTACCAATCCTAGGAGCTGGGAGTCACAGGGCCTGATCCCAGGCTTGGGCTGCACACCCATCCCTGGAGCCAGAAGCAGGGTCAGCCCAGGGACACATGAGGTGGAGAGTGTGGGCGGGTGAGCCCAAAGGCCCTCAGGGCAACTCCCAGAAGTTGGGACGGGCACTCGCAGGCAAGAACAGGATGTGTGTAGGCTGTTGCCTGGTGATCTGAATGGGTCCTGCAGCCTCTGCAGAAACCCAACAGCTGATGGCTTCTGTGCCTTATAGGCCCTGCTTAGGGCCCTGCTCAGGCACTGCTAAGCATTTTTGTTGAAAAGATTTCCTCCTGGAATTCTAGAATCTGGGAGGCATGAGAAACCTTGGAGTCTGGGATCCTCGAGCTTCACAGACAAACCTCTTCTCCAAATGAAAGCTTGCACAGCAAGGAAAACCTGAGGGAGGCTGCTGCGGGTTGGGCTCCTGCCCATGCTCCCTCCTGGGCCCTGGGGGCTCCAAGGACCGGGGTGGAGGTCCCTTTCCTGCTGTCAGGGTCTACTGCCCAGAACACAGGCCCCAGCCAGAGCCCTCAGCAGCCTGGGTGCTGCCCTGACAGCTGCCCCTACCTCAGCCCTGCCACTGACCCGAGGTCCCTGCACATGGCAGCCCTGCAGGCCCCAGCATCACAGGCCACTGAACAGGGCATCCTGATGGCCCATTGAGCCTCTGGTGACAGAGGGGCTTGACCTGAAGCCACGTCTGCCCGGACACACTCTGTGTGTTTATCTGACTGGCCCAGTGGGGCCAGAGAGCGTGGAAGCTGCCATTGATGAGCTCGCAGGTAACATTCAGGACCATTAAGTGTGGGAAACCGTGCTGCAGCTCCTTGCTTCTGATGAGGCCTCCCCACGGGTCTGCTTTATGAAGGGCTCCACTCTCGGATCCTCAGGCCCTGACAAGGCTTCAGCAGTGGGGACCTGCTCCCTCCCTTCATGGAGTCCTGGCCCACTTGTCAGCCAGCAAGATGGACCAAGGTCCCCGCCAGCCCACACCCCAAGCAGCCCTGCCTTGCTCAGAGCACCCCGTGGTGGGCCAGGCCTCCAGTCCAGGGTCTCAATGGCAGAGCCCCTGGAGTTTCTCCTGGGCCCCCAAGGAGAGAGAGGCTGGGCACACGCTCAGGTCCCCAAGCTTCAGGCAAAGACATCTGATGTCTGAGCAGCAGAGGCCACATCCCTTACAGGAGACCAGGCGGGCCTCTAGGAGGAGGGGTTTCCAGGCTGACTTGAAGGAAAGGTTTCCTACACGCAGAAGGGGGAAGAGCTGCCAGGTGAAGAGAGCACTCAAGCCTGGGAGTGTTGGGATGGGGGCCATGAGGAACACTTACGGGAGGAGGGACCGGAGAGGGAGCAGAGTAGCATGCAGCAGAGTGAGGTCTCTGGGGGTTCTGACCTGAGCCCAGAGGACTTCCCTCTGCGAGCCCTGGCGAGCCCCAGAAGGCTTGGATGTGCTCTACCCCGATGAAGGGGGTGGCGGTGGCCAGAAAGATGGAAGAGAAATGGAGGCAGGGCCTGATCAGGAGCTGCCAGGGTCTCTGTGGCCCATGGCCCACCCTGACCTCATCTGTTTGGGGTTGTGCACCTACCATTTGTGTGTTCATATGGGTGTCTGTGTTTGAGTCTTTGTGATGTGTTTGTACGTGTTGTTTAATGCCTTGCTTTGTTCACGGATAAACACCCAGCACAGGGCAGCGAACAGCAACAATGAAACTTGCCATTGATGGTTGGATCATTGATGAATTAACTGTTAGAAATGTGAGGTCTTTTATCACCCCTCCCTCCCAGGAATGGGCACTGCTGTGTGTTGGTGTGTGCTCCAGGTGTCTTCTGAACAGTGGCATCTCCATGCACAAATGCACCAAGCAGGCTTTTCACATGATGGAATCACGCCGTATGTGGGGGTCCAGTTGCGTGCGTGGCTTTTTGGGGGGACTCTTTTCATGACATGAGAATAGAAAATAGTTTCCTCATCCTTGTTAACAGCACATGGTGCTCCAGAGATGCACCATAATTTCTAAAACATTCTTCCATTTATTTGCATTTCAGCTGAGTCTCATTAACACCTGTGTAAAGCTATAGAGAGCATTTTACACGCAGGATCTTGGGGATGACTTGCCCATTGTTTGCTGCATCTTTGCAGGGTGGAGAGGGACTCCCTGGAGAGCAGCCTCCTTGAGGCCCAACAGCTGGCCACAAAGCTGCAGGAGCAGCTGGAGGAGGAAGCCCGGAGCGCAGGACTCGCGCGGCAGGCCTTGCAAGGTGCTCCAAGGGCGCTCCCTCAGCTCCTTCCCCGAAAGTCAGCCATGGAGGGGCCCCTGGAATGGAGCTCAGTGCCCACACGTGCTGCACCCCCTCTCCGGAGCCCACAGGGGCATGAACATGAGCTTGGAGCTCATGCGACTGAGCGACTTGGGCCACCCTCGCCCATGAGGAGCAGCAACACCCTGCCCAGGCTGCACCTGGTGCCAGCCTGAGGCTTAGAACTGGGCTCTGGCCACAGGGTCAGCATGTAGCCTCCAGCTGCAGCCCTGTACCCTTGACCCTGCTCAGCCCACCCTGCCATGTGCTGGCCACCCACTCCCGGAGCCTGGAGTGGACAGTGCTTGCCCCCAAGACTGTCACTCCCTAGGAAGTCCCAAAGGGTTCAGGGGTCCACATGCCAGGCCCTGGTGCATCTCACCCATCACCCCACAGTGGAAATGGAGCAGCTACAAAGTGACTGGGAGGTCCAGGAAATGAAGCTGCGGCAGGACACGGTGCGGCTCCAGCGACAGGTGGCACAGCAGGAGCGGGAGGCACAGCGGGCCCTGGAGAGCCAGGCGTTGGCCCACCGAGAGGCCCTGGCACAGCTCCAAAGGGAGAAGGTCTGCTTCCCAGGAGCCCACCAGTAGCTTCCTAGAAGGCTACCAGGTCCCGGGGAATGGCAGGCCCTTGGGAGGAGGGGGCCCTGGGAGACAGAGCTCAGAGACATAGGCGCCTGGCCAGGGCTGGGCAAGGACCAGCTCACTCTTTATAGTTCACGTGGGCATCCAGGGCCTTCCCCGTGGAGCCCTCATATTGGGCTTGGGTTTGTATTTGGGGCGGGCCTCCCTCATGGAAGAGGCTGGAAGGGCTGCTGGCTGGTCTGGTGCAGTCTGAAGGATGAGGGCTGGAGGGGGCCCCACACCCATTAGAGCCGTCCCACAGGTCACAGGCTTCTGGAGGCCTGGTTTGACATGTCTTTACACCCCTCCGTGGCAGGTGCACTGCAGAGACTCAGGAATGGTTTACAAACTGATAGATGAATATGGGATGACAGGTGCTGAGACACAGAGAGGCCCTCCCTGCTCTGCTGACCCTGAGGGGAAGACGTGGGGGGTGTGCAGCTGGCTGGTCTGGACAGCCCCTGGGGTCCATCAGCCCTGGCATCCCACGGGCCAGGTCTCACTCAGGACCATAGACAACTGCTGGCCTCACCTGCCGGACCTCACAGCCCATCCCTTTACCTTGGCCCAGGAGACCCTGAGCCTGACCCTGGCAGAGGAGAAGGAGGTAGCCAGATGCCAGCTGGAGCAGGAGAAGGAGCTGGTGACAAAAAGTGCAGCTGAGAGGGAGGCTCTGAAGGGGGAAATTCAGAGCCTGAAGCAGGAGCGGGACGAGAGCCTTCTCCAACTGGAGCACAAGATGCAACAGGTGATGGTGAGGCTGGGGGGCAGCGGGATTGCTCACACCCACTGCACCTGTCACCTCTGGCCCAGCACAAGGGCTGCATGTGGCCACACCTTAGGCAGGTCCAACCGCCTACCCACCCATCCATCCATCCATCCATCCAACCATCCGTCCACTCACCCACCCACCTATCTGTTCATCCAGCCATCTGTCCATTCATTCACCCATCCATCCACCCATCCACTTGCCCATCCATCCATCCTTCCACCCAGCTACCCATCCATCCATCCATCTCTCCATCCATCCCTCCATCTGTCCATTCATACACCCACCTACCCATCCATCCACCCATCCAACCACCCACCCATTCACCCATCCATCTGTCCATTCATTCACCCATCCATCCATTTATCCATCCATCCATCCAGCCATCCATCCACCCATTTACCTGCTCATCCATCCATCTACCCATTCACCTCCTCATCCATCCATCCACCCATCCACCTACTCATCCATCCATCCACCCATTCACCTCCTCATCCATCCATCCACCCATCCACCTGCTCATCCATCTACCCACCCATTCACCTCCTCATCCATCCATCCACCCATCCACCTGTTCATCCATCCATCCTCCCATCCACCTGTTCATCCATCCATCCATACACTCATCCACACACCTACCCATTCATCCATCCATCTGTCCATCCATTCATTCATCCATCCGTCTGTCCATCCATTCACCCATCCATCCATCTGTCCATCCATTCATTCATCCATCCGTCTGTCCATCCATTCACCCATCCATCCATTTATCCATCCATCCATCCACCCATCCACCTGTTCATCCTTCCATCCTCCCATCCACCTGCCCATCCATCCATCCATACACTCATCCACCCACCTATCCATCCATTCATCCATCTGTCCATCATCTCTCTATCCACCCATCCATCCATGCACTTGAATGACCCTCCACACACTTGTCATCATCCACCCACTCACTTGAATATCCATTCTTCTTTCCACACATTTAGCTATCCACCCAGATATATGGCCATGCATCCACATTCGTAGCTGTCCATCCACACACCTCACCATCCATGCAATCATTCATCAGTTCATTTGACTATCCATCCAACTATCCATGCACCCAACCTTCCATCCACACAGCTATCCACAACCCATCTGACCATCCATCCATCCATCCACTTAACATCCTTTCATCTGTCCACAAACTCAGCTGTCAAGTCACATATCCAACCATCCATCCATGTGTCTATCCATCCATCTACCTGGATCCGCCAACCAGCCAGTCATCCAATCATCCATCAGTGTATCCAACTCAAACACCAAGCCAAGCACACAACTACCAGCCACACATCTGGCCATCCTTCCATCCCATCAGCAGTTGAGACTCAGCCACTAGCCCTATAAAAGCTACCGAGTCTAGGCTGTTCCAGTATATCATGCTACCCCGAAGAATTCACTGTTGAGTGAAAGGAATGGACACATGAACACGTCCACATTGTGTCCCATGGGGTGATAAGGACTATAAGATGTTGGTACAAATTACAGGCCGGGTGCTGTGGCTCACACCTGTAATCACAGCACTTTGGGAGACCGAGGCAGGTGGATCACTTGAGGTCAGGAGTTCAAAACTAGCCTGGCCAACATAGTGAAACCCAGTCTCTACTAAAACCACAAAAAATTAGCCGGGCATGGTGGTGGGGACCTGTAATCCCAGCTACTCGGGAGGCTGAGGCAAGAGAATAACTTGAACCCAGGAGGCAAGCTTGCAGTGAGCTGAGATCCAGATACTCCTTCTCAAAAAAAAAAAAAAAAAAATGACAAACTGCAGGAGGAGTTACAGTAGCCGAAATAGCCAAGATTTATTGTCAAACTCTCTGCATTTAATATTTGATTCTTGCAACACTCTGAGGCACATGCTCTAATTATCCCTATATTACTGGTGAGAAAACTAAGGTCCACAAATGTTGAATGCCTTGCACAGGGTTGTGCAGTGCACCTGCTGGGCACTGAGGTCTGTGCTCTTAACTGCCCCACTACTCACATCCTTAGATAGAGGAAGGGAAGGACTTACAGGAGGAATGGTAGTGTTGAGTGGAGAGGACGTGGACATTGGCAGGATGTCTGGGCATGGCATGAAGTTCTGCACAGCTGCCAGGCTGCACGTGAGTGGAAGCAGTGAGAGAGGTGTGCAGTGGAGCTAGGACGGGCCTTGGGCGCCAGCATCAGGTGATAGGGAGCCAGTGGATGTTCTTGAGCAGGCGTGATATGATAGGAGTTGGGCGGAAACGAGTCTGGGGCCAGGAGACTGGGGAGAGGCTGAGGCAGGGTCCATGCGAGAGGGGCTGAGAGCCAGGCAAAGGAGGAGAAAGGTAAGTTCAAAGCCCCTTGGGAGGTGGTGATATTATTCCCATTGGATATATGAGAAAAGAGGCTCCAGGGGAAGCAACACATCTGGGGAGTGGGTGGCCCGTCAAGGCCCCCACGCAGCCCCTCATTCCCATCCGAGACCAACCACTGGGCAACGTGGCCTGTTCTCATGTGGTTATTTAATCCCAGCTTCCCAGTGGCACACACAGCCCCCAAGAGAGGGGACCTCGGTCAAACAGGAGTGCAGGCTTGGTGGCTCATGCCTATGATCCCAGCACTTTGGGAGGCCAAAGCCAGCAGATCATCTGAGGTCAGGAGTTCAAGACCAGTGTGGCCAACATGGTGAAACCCCGTCTCTACTAAAAAAAAAATACAAAAATTAGCTGGGTGTGGTGGTGGGTGCCTGTAATCCCCGCTACTCAGGAGGCTGAGGCAGGAGAATCGCTTGAACCCAGGAGATTCTCACTGAGATTGCAGTGAGCGGAGATCACGCCACTGCATTCCAGCCTGGGTGACAGAGTGAGACTCTGTCTCAAAAAAAAAAACAGGAGCACAGGCTAAGAGGGCAGACAGACACCATGTGCTAGTGCCCTCCCTCCCCTGGACCCACAGCAGAACCACAATAAGGGGCACCCCAGGGGCACAGCACAGACGGGCTGGCCTGTGGGGAGCCCTTGCCGGTGCAGCAAGTGAGTTTTCCCAGGACCTCTGCTTGGCCAGCTGCCCTTTATTCTTGGCGGCCTGTGTAGAGAAATTGAGTGGAGAAGTGGGGCTGCGGGGTCTAGCAGGACACTTCCCCACACTTCCCTGAGGAACCTGTGATGACCCAGTCACAAAACAGTCTTTGGGGATCTTATTTCTGTAATGAAGAAGAGGAATTATATGTGGAGCAAGAGCCAAAGACCTGGAGCCGCTGGCCCAGGAGGGGCTGTCTCCACTGGAACCCTCCATTCTCCGACCCGCTGTGTCTGAATGGCGGCTTGCCCACACCTGTTTGCAAAGTGAAGCTCTCACCCGAGAGAACGACACGCTTCTATATTTGATGAAGTTTTGCCTAAAATTCTAATAAATACTCCCTTGCTGTGTCCAGTAATGAGGGGTACAGGAGGGAGAGGCAGGGCCCCAACCCTTGCAGACCTTATAGTCCAGTAAGGGCAGATTTATAAACAGCCAACCGGCCTCCAGCCGAGCAAAACAAGCAGGGCCTCAAGGGAGGGAGGAAGGGGAGCACTGATTTTTAAAATTGTTTAGAATATAGAAAGCCATTCAGTGAAAAATCCCCCACTCCTGCCCCTCCCCTTCACTAGGCCACTCAGGGAACAGTTGTCCTTTCTCTTTGATTCCTCTGTAATATGCCCATGCAATTCTGACCCAGAGAGCACAGACCCCACAGGGCATGGTTCCCAACAGGATGCCCTGTCTCAGACACCATCCACAAGTCCGGGGGTCTCCAGGCCACCCACACTTCTGACCACCTGACTACAAGTGTGGGGGTTCCCATGATTCTCTCAGGTTCAGCCATTCACTAGAATGACTCACAGAACTCAGGAAAGCCTCCTGTTACTCTTAGAGATTCATTATCAAACATGGAATTCAAGACCAGCCAGAAGAGGAGACACACAGGCAAGGTGTGGGCACGTCACAGACAGGGGCTGCTGCACCCTCCCCGTGAGCCAGCCCAGCACCCTCCTGCACCCCAGTGTGCTCAGCAGCCAGGAGGCTCCACTGCATTTTGGTGTCCAGAGTTTTATTGGGGTTTCACTGTGTAACGTGATCGGTGGAGTGATTGGTTAGGTGATTGAAGCCCACTTCTCTGACTGCTGGGAGGTTGGGCTGACATCCCGTGGCTCAAAGCCCCAACCCTCTAATAACGGGTCTTTCAGCAGACAGTCCCCATCCTGAAATTCAGTAGGAACCCACCCTGAGTCACCTCATTAGCATAAACTCAGGTGTGGTCCCAGGGGCCCGCCAGGACTAATGCAGACGCTCCACACTTCTGAGAAACCCCCAGGGTTTAGAAGCTTCCTCCGAGGATCCAGGACAAAGACCTGATACATCTTCTGTTATGCAACACCCTCCAAAGATTGCTTGCAAACAGAAATATACAGCGTTACCTCCCCAACACTGCATTTTTAATACAAAAGGAATGAAAAGTCTATGCCGGCTCCTGGGCTTTCCTCTTCTCACTTATCAAAGCATCTCGGTGGCCTTTCCCAGCTGTGTATCTGCAGCTTTGTTCTTCTGTTTCTGGGCTGCATGCTGAGCTGCCAGAACTGGGTCTTCCTGTGGCTGTTCTTCCTTCCACGGGCATCTGGGTTGCCTCCAGCTTTGTTGCCATTACAGCAATGTCACAGACATTGGTGACACTGCGCATAGGTCAGCCCACACAGGTGCACACGTGTCTCTGGGCTGCCCTCCCCCAGATGGGCCTGGGCATAGAGAGAATATACATGTGTGGATTTGACAGGCATTGCTTCCACAGCCTGGTCCACGGAGCAGCGTGCCACCCTTGGAGCTGAGGGTGTCTCGCTCACACGCATCTCCCACACCATCAGGGAGATGGAGCATTTTCGGGCTTTTAAGCTTTCTTCTCTGCACTGCATCAAGTGTTGCCTAGAGGGATGGGGGTGGCTCATGAAGGCCCCCAAACTGCATGGGAAAGGGCAGGATTTTAGACAGGCAGAGGAAGGGGAGGATACCCCAGGGACGTGCCCAAGTGCAGACACAGAGGTGGGACGATGTCGGACAGAGGGCAGGCGCTCAGAGGGTGAAAGGGCCCAGGGCCCAGGGCTGCCTCTGTAGGAGCTGCCCCTCCTCCCCAGTGGCAGGGATGTGCAGACAGGAACATGAACGTGCTGTGTCCAGGGGAGCCTCTGCACTCAGCATTCTGCCACAGCCTCTCCTTAGAGGGGGGCCTCTTCCCTCCCCCGAGACTCCCCAACTTTCTCACAAGCATACCCCGTCCTGTTCAGGCCCTGTCCCTGAAAGAAACAGAGCGGAGCCTTCTGAGTGAGGAGCTCTCCAGGGCCAGGAGGACGCTAGAGCGGGTACAGCAGGAGGCACAGAGCCAGCAGGAGCAAGCGCAGGTGAGCCCCATGCAGCCAGGCCACGTGCACAGCCAAGCAGGTGCTGGCAGACCCCAGGGGGCCACCCCTCCTGCCTGGTCCCAGTGGCATGACCCTCTCCATCCCCTCCCTTCCTGAGCCTCAGTTTCCCCCAGGTGCCTCCAGGGCTCCTGGTGGGAGGGGCACTCAATGGGCAGGAAAGATCCAAGTGAACCAAAGCAGTGGGTACCAGGACTTTTCCTGGCTCAGTTCTCCCTTAGCTTTGGGGCTGGCAGGGGCCAGAGAGAGGGGGCCTGGCCCAGCTGGGGGCCTCCCATGAGCCAACAGCAGCGAGTGGCTGAGCCCATATGTGCACTGGAGCTGCTCGTAGAAAAGCACAGCTGGGGACATGAGCACCAGCCTTGTGGAACTCACTCACCAGAGAGATCCTTCCAAAGGAGAAACAACCCGAGGCGGCTGGCCCTGCACCAGAGGAAACTCTCGGCAGGAAAGGACACCCACATTGAGTCCTGAGCGGAGCCAGGAGAGAAGCGTCCGCGGAGGGGCTAGGACAGCCCCCCAGCAAAGAGCCGCCCACCCTCAGCCAGTGAACAGAGGCCCTCCCATGCACAAAGGCTGCTGCAGGCTGCCAGCGGGGGTCACCTGGGACCCCTGGGTCCTCCCCTGGAGCCCAAGTCCAGGGGGCTGGACAGGCAGCAGCAAATATGGCACTGGGCAGGAGGGCTATAGGGAGGAGCGCTCTGGAGAGGAGGGCTCTGGGGAGCAGGGGAGGAGGACTCTGAGGCCTGTGCCTCCAGCTCATGGGCAAGGCTGGACACCCACTGTTATTGCTTGCAGAACGCCAAGGCTTCAGCCCATCTGTGATGGGGCACCAGGTCCCGCATGGGAGATGAAGAGACTGGGCAGGGCTCACAGCGAGGGTGGCCAGAGCCCAGCGATAGGACATAGATGGGGGCCTGGCTCACAGTGGGGGGTGGCCAGAGCCCAGCGATAGGACATAGATGCAGGAGTTACAGCAGGATCTCCAAGGGCCCAGGCGGCCTGAGGAGAGGCTGTTTGTGTTGAGGTCGGGGCTGCTGTCCTGGGTGGCAGGGGCTGGCCCTGAATAGACACAGGTGCGAGGGTGCCCTGGGCAGGGAGGGAATGGGCTCAAGGCACCGGACGCCACTCCTCTCCTTGCCAGGAACAGGTAGGATTGAGGGCGAGGCTGATCGCCAACCCCCAGCTCTCTGCCCTCCCTGGCCACACACACCCCATTAGCTGGGCCCACACCTGCCTCCTGCCTCTGTCCTTCCAGCTCCCAGCATGTTCAGTGACGAGGCCGTTCATTCCCGTACTTGTTGGCTTATTTTAAATTCAGGCGAGCCTTTCCTCCCTGTCCCTGGCAAGGACGCAGGGTTGGACACCTACCTGACTGGCGTTGAATGTATGGTTCAGTGTGCAGTGAACAGAACACAGGCCATGGTGCCAGGCGCGGGAGGCAGCCCCCTTCTCTGCCCATTCTGAACGGGAGCCCTTCTCACTGACTGCACAGAGGCACGCGCAGGCCGCCTGCTGGGGGGCCGGGGCGTCCAGGCAGCGGGGCCTTGGGGGACGCTCGGTGACTCGGAGCCGGGATGGAGGGCTTGTGCCCCATCCCCAGGGCACTGCGCAGCGGGAGAGGGCGCTGCAATGAGGAGGCGGCTGCTGGAGTGTCGCTTCACCTCCTCCTGCCTGATGCCACAACCCGGACTCCTAGTCCCTTCAAGCAGGGCTGCCCAGAGGAGCTCCTGGCAGCCCAGGGGAGACTTGCCCCTCACTCCATGAAGCCCCACCCTGCTCTGTTCCTGCCCCTGAGGCCTGGAGGGTTCCACGGGGCCCAGGAGGACCAAGCTTGGCATCGGGCCTGTGACCATGCCCCTCCCTCCTCCCGACCACTGGCCCAGCAGCTCTCTTGGCTCCACCCCGTGGGCAGGGACCCAGGAAAGCCCTCCTGGGGCCCTGGGAGCTGATGCCTCTGGCTCACAGAGGGGCCTTCTCTGGAGCCAGTGCTGGCTTCTGGAGCCTTCTCTTGAGCTGGCCCTGAGTCTCCCCCGGACTCGGTACCAGGCCTGCCAGCCAGCCGGCCTTCCTGGGGAGCTCGTTAAGGGTTCCTTTGCCACCTCGGCTCAGAAAATGGAAATTAAAACTGTTGAGAGGAGCGGGAGGAGAGGAATGCCGGCCAAGGAGCACCAGGCGCCAGATGACAGGACAGCGTGCGCCCCTAGGCTGAGTCACCACTGCCATCGGGCTCCCAGCCGATGCCCTGTCCCTGAGGCCCTCACAGGGGTATCCTGCAGCCAGGCCTCAGGGGCACCCATCACTGGCAGTGTTGGGGCATGCTGAGGCACAGAGCCATGGCCTAGTCACCCAAGATGGCCCTTCTCAGTCCAGAGAGACCAGAGGGGGTTGTAAAGAATGACGACAGGAGGCAGCAGCATGGCTCCTTTCCCAAGAGCAGGGGGCACAGGCTGCAGGAACCCCCACCCTAGCAGAATCCAGGTGGACAGGAGGGGCTCCAGAGATCTGGCACAGGGGCAGCCATGTGGGCACCTGTGCCCCCAGGAACACAAAGCCAGCTCTGGAGGGAGCCATCCCCCACCAGCCGCCCCCCGCCAGCCGCCTGCTGCTGCCTGGAGGCTTGGTCCAGTCCCCTGAACCCAGGGGTGCAGAGCCTGAGCAGGGCAGGGCTCGGACCCTTCATGTTGAGGACACTGAGGCCCAGGAAGCTGAGACCCCCTGAGCCCCATCTGCCCTGCTGCCGCAACCTGGGCAGGGGTGCAGTGGGGAGGGCCTTGAGAGGAAGCGGGGTGGTGTCCCGAGGGGCCTGGGGCTTGGGGTGAAGAAGGTGGTATTTGTCCATGAACAAGGGGCCATGGGCTGAGCCTGGGGCCTCCTGGCCCGAGGATCCCTGCTGGCCACACTGCCCCAAGGCCCGAGAGGACACCTCGGGTGGTGTGTGCGACAGGGAGCCGACTCCAGCTGAGCTCAGTCCCAAATGGAGGGTAGAGCTGCCCAGTGTGTGGTGGTCCCTGTAGGGATGGGCCCTGCCCCAGGGCGCAGGCTGAGCTGAGGGGCTGCCTCCTGCTGTGTCCGTGGGCACTCACACATCACAGCTGTCAGGGGCCGTGGATGTCTCCTCATCCCAGCAGCCTGTTTGACAGTTTAGGAAACCAAGGGCCAGTTACCCCGGGGCTTGCACGATCAGCAGGACCCGGCTCCCCCTCCCAGGCCACTGCAACACCTCTCTCTCCAGGGTCCTGGCCTTACCTCACCCTCCACTGCTGGGCCCAGCTCCCTGGTGCCACCGTGGGCTCCCTTCTCCCCGCAGGCCACCATCAGTGCCACGACTGAGGAGCTGAAGGCCCTCCAGGCCCAGTTTGAGGATGCCATCACAGCCCATCAGAGGGAGACCACGGCCCTACGCGAGAGCCTCCAGGACCTAGCGGCTGAGCGGGGCGATGTGGAGAGAGAGGTGAGAGGCAGGGCTGGGGGGCTCCTGGGGATGCCAGAGGACAGGAGAAAGCAGGGCAGGTACCAAGAGAGGAGAGAGTGGGGGTGCCAGGAGGAAAGAGAGGCTGTACCACAGAGAAGGGAAGAGTAGTCCCTGGGACTAGGAAGAGGCAAACAGCCATAGGGGCATGGGACAAGGGGCCCTCACACCACGCACTAAGCCAAGCCCAGGCTCTCAGGGCAGATGAAATGGTGCCTGGCCCAGGCCATTGGCTAAGGGAAGCTGACACCAGTTTTCAGGGGAAAGAAGGCATCATTTCTAAGCCTCCTGAAGGGGTGAGTTTGACTTCAGGGTGAAAGTGGGCCTGGCTGAGTCAGGTGGACTTGGCTGGGTCACGGTGCCAGCTGAGTGGGAAGGGAGCTCCCTGGAGGCTGCCGTGGGTCCCGACGCGGCTCCTGCTGCCCTGCTTGTCCTGGGAAGGTGCACAGCACACCTGCCAGCTCCCAGGGCACTGGAGGGGCACACCTGCCGCTGGGAGGGCCAGCATGTGAAAGGGTGGCCAGAGCCACGCAGCCAAAGGCTCCAGGAGTCCAGCCGGCCCCCTCGTTCCACGCACAGTTAAGAAAGTGGAGTCAGGAAGGGCCTGACTCTGGAGGCACTGGGGCAGCTGTCGCCTCCCAAAGCCTTCCCGAGAGACAGGCATGACCTGGGGCGAAGGGGAATTCGGACCCTTGGCCAAGAGGCCCATCGAGCCATCCACTGAGGCACGGGGAGGCCCTAGACAAGCTGGGCTCTGCCCACACAGCAGGAGGCGCGGACTTCACTGGGCTGGACACTAAGGTCGGGGGAGGCTGGATTTGGGGCAGCAGGCAAGAAAATAAGTGGGTTAGTGGAGATTTCGGGGTGTGCCTGGGCCTGGCCAAGGGCCCGAGGTTGACACGGAGGCCCCCAGGAGCCACATGATGGTGACGTGGGGTGGGGGACAGTCTTGGGCAGGGGGCAAGAGTGGCCAGGGCTAGGCTCACCTGGGCTCAGCGGGCAGGCAGATTGGAGAGGCATTTCTGAGGGGGGTTGGCAGGACGGGGGGACGCCTGTGTGTGGCAAGGGCAGGAGGGCACGCGGATCTGGGCTAGAGGAGGGGAGGGTCAGCTGGAGCCCCAGCGGGGCCCACGGGGACGGGGCGACCTCGCACACTCCCTGGGCTGCTTGCCAAGGCTGGAGGCTGCGCAGCTGACCTGGTGCTGGAGCGAGCGGCTGGCGCACACCACGCCCCAGAGGCCGGGCCGGCCGGCAGGGGAGAGTGAGAAGAGGGGCTCAGCCCTCCCCAAGCACCCCCGAGAGGCAGGCTGAGAGAGGAAGAGAACATGATTTAACATGACCGGCTGTTTACATTGGCCCCAAGGAGAAAGGTCTCCTTTCAACAGATTTCAAAGTCAGGCCCGGTCAGCGACCACACGGGGAAGCAAAACGAGATTGCAAAACTGGGGGCAGCAGGGGGAGGGGGAGGGGGAGGTGTGGAGAGGGTGGGGGTGCATTGGTTCTGCTGGCCTCAAGGAAGGGAGTGCAGGCCTCATGGGAAGGTCAGGCTCTCAGAGGAGCAGAACAGAGCAGGGTGCCCAGAAAGGGAGTGGGGGCTAAAAGCTGAGGACGGTTAAGGGGGACAAGAGGAACAATCACAGAGAAAAGCAAGCAGAGCCCGTGCAGGCGCCAGGCTGGCCCAGGGTCACCATGGAAACCATAACTTTTTCACAACCTTTAAACTGGAGGAACTTCCAGTCTCTCAGACCCTGCCTGAGGTCCACACGTGTGCACACACATGCATACACATCATCCACGCAGTGAGACCACACACACCGGTGTACACTTGACACTCAGAGTGGTGTGTGCATGCTGAATGCAGACACACAAGCCTCACACACTCACACACACTCACGCTGGAATCACATATGGACACCACACAGTGCACACAGGCGTGCACAGAAACGTGCACCAAGCACACACACGCATGTGTGCGCACACATGCACATACGTAGTGCATGCACAGGCATACAGACGTGCACACACATACATGCACACACGTATGCACACCACATACAGAGTGGACACCTGCACTGGCTCACACACACACACTCATCACACTCACACACTCATCACACATACACTCACACACACACACGCACTCACACATACACTCATGACACATGCACACGCTCATCACACACGCTCATCACACACACGTACACACACACGTAGTGCATGCACAGGCATACGGACGTGCACACACATGCATGCACACACACGTATGCACACCACGTACAGAGTGGACACCTGCACTGGCTCTCACACACACACACTCATCACACACACGCACTCACACATACACTCACATACACTCACACACACGCACGCACACATACACTCATGACACACACGCACACACTCATCACACATGCTCATCACACACATGTACACACACACGTAGTGCATGCACAGGCATACGGACGTGCACACACATGCATGCACACACACGTATGCACACCACGTACAGAGAGGACACTTGCACCGGCCCACACACACACTCATCACCCACACACACACACACACACGCACGCACACACGCGCACACACATACACTCACACTCACACGCACTCACACTCACACACACACACACACTCTCACCCTCCCCTGCTTTCCCTCCACAGCCCCTCCTCCCTGCAGAGCTCTGGAGCTGCCTCCCTGTAGGAGATTTTTAAAAGAGGCTGTTTATACAATTTCTAGCAAAGAAATAATTATTATAATCACATTAAGTGATTTGGCCGTAAAATTCCTGTAAAAGGGATGGCTGTTCTCATGAGGCAGAGGGAGCGGGTGGGGTGGGGGCGGGAGTGGGGGCAGGCCCTCCCCTGCATTTGTTTTGCTTGTTTTCATCTCCTCTGCGCTGGGAAATGAAAACAGTTTCTTTTATGATGCATGGGCCCTTTTGCTGGTCCTTGACCTTCTGGGCGGGTTTCTGCTGAGCTCGGCGGAAAATGCTCAGCACGGTCATGGCTCCCACGTGTGGGGGTGGAGGGGAGCGGAGGGGAGGCTCTGGCCCTTCCCAAAAACAGAACAACAATAACAGCGGCAGCCTCGGGAGCCAGGCCGGTCGGGGGCCTGGACAATATCCCGTGAAAACAGCCAGAAAGAGGGGTTTGCTTTTGTCAAGCCAGCGACTTGACATCGCGGAGTCTTTGTGGCTTCCATCTCTGGGCATGCCCCGCTGGCTACCTCCGCCTCCTCCTCTGGGACACACGAGAGCCGGAATGGAGCCTTCTCCAGGGTTTCTGGTCAGGCCCAGAGCTCAGACCTGGGAGGCAGGAGACTGGGCGCCAGGGCCGAGCCCCAGCAAGTCCCCACCCCCAGAGCGTAGGTGCTGGGGAGGGCCTTCCTGCCAGGCTGCAACTGTCCTCCGGACCCCACCCCTGGGTTCTCCCGGGCACTGTGAGATGCCTGGTGTCCGGAGCGGGAAACCAAGACCCTCCTCCCACTGCCCCCCCATTGCCAGAGATCCTCCTCCCACTGCCTCCCATGCCAACGGGGGAAGGAAGGCCAAGGGAGTGGGTGAGCCCCCACTGTGGCAGAGTCACTGTGCCGGGGTCACTGGGCCAGGGTCACTGTGCCAGGGTCAGGCCCAGCCTGCCTGCTGAGGCTGCTGCCCACACTAGGACAGGCAGCGGCCTGGGCACCACACTGTCACCTAAGGAGAGGACTAGACGCCGGGGGCAGGAGGTGGGAAGGGCCCCAGGCAGTGACAGTGCAGACACGTGTGCTGAGCCGCATCCCAGGTAGGCCTTGCTTACCAGTGGTCAGCGTCCTGGGGGTCCAGAGAGGCCGCAGCGTGGGGCCGGGCCCAGGGGCTCAAGGTGGGGTCTTCTGGGCTCTTAGGCTGGCCCTGCCTCAGCCCGTGGAAGCCGCCCTGCAGCCTCCGCAGCACTAGGGATTGGTGGCTCCATGGGGTGAGCAAAGCGCATGGGGACCAAGTTGGGCAGGGCACCTGTGCCTGCCACACCATGTCAGAGGCCACAGGCCCCTGTGGCTATCCCTGGAGCAGTGGTCCCCAGCGGGCCTCTAGAGCTGAATGGTCCTCCCCAGGCTGAGAGGCTGCGGGCACAGCTGACCGTGGCCCAGGAGGGACTGGCCGCACTGCGCCAGGAGCTGCAGGGCGTCGAGGAGAGCCGGGAGGGGCTGCACAGGGAGGCCCAGGAGGCCCGCCGGGCGCTGAGTGACGAGGCCCGCGAGAAGGACGTACTGTTGCTTTTCAACAGCGAGCTGCGGGCCACCATCTGCAGGGCCGAACAGGAGAAGGCCAGGTATGGCGGCCACCCAGGAGCAGCTGGGGGTGCCCTGCAGCCTGCTGCCCACCCAGGCCGTAGGGAGGATGGGGCAAGGGGGCTAGGCAGGGGCGTCCTGTTGACTTGGGCCCCACTGATGGTGGGGTAGACATGCCAAGCAGGCCTCCCGCTGCCCAGTCCAAGAGGTCTGCAATGCTGGCCAGTGCGAGGGATGGCTGAGGACATGGACACACCTGTCCCTGCCCACAGGGAGTTCCCATCCAGCAGGCAAGATAGGTCACAGGTGGCCTCCAGGAGGTGGTGCAGAGCTGGGGAGCAGAGGGAGGCCAACGGCCTGGCTGGGGCTCTAGAAAGGCCCCTGTGGGGCAGCTGGGCAGGATGGCACAGCCCTCACAGCAGGTGGCAGAGGTACCAGGCTAGGCTGGATGTTGAGCGTCCGGGAGTGTGACAGAGAGGGGGAGACAGGGAGGGATGAGGTGAGGAGGGGCTGAAGAGGTGGATAGTGGACAGGGGCCATGCGGCCGGCACCGGGACCTGGGTGGACATATGTCTGTAAGGTGACAGGGAACCCTGCAGAGGCTGAGTTTGAGGACACTGTGCAGAGTCAAGACTGGGGCCAGTGCCTCACTAGGGGAGGCAGAGACCTGCTGGGCAGCTGTGCTGGCCCCACCAGGAGGTGCGGGGGCCCCAGCCTGTGGCACCCTCGTCAGTTTTAAGCGGTCCAAGGAGGAGAAGGAGCAGAAGCTGCTCATCCTGGAGGAGGCCCAGGCGGCGTTGCAGCAGGAGGCCAGTGCACTGCGGGCCCACCTGTGGGAGCTGGAGCAGGCAGGGGGGGACGCCCGTCAGGAGCTCCGGGAACTCCACAGACAGGTAGGGCGGCAGGGAGGGGTCAACATCCAACCAGGCACCCTCCCGCCTGGTGGGTCCCGGCTCCTCCCAGGGGAGCCCCCAGCCCTGGCCTTGCTGCCGCCTTTGAACCACTCTGTCCCCAGACTTTGGGCCACGCCCTGCTCAGGCTCACAGGGTCCCTGGTTGGGTCTGTCCCCATGGGGCACAGATGACAAGACTGGAGAGGGCAAAACCAGGAATGCTTTAGCGAGGAGGAAGGGAACCATGCCCAGCAGCACACGGAAGTATCCTACATGCAACACCTTCCGGCATGCACAGCAGCACACGGAAGTATCCTACATGCAACACCTTCCGGTGGCGCTCGGGAACTCAGGCAGGCTAGAGGGGAGGCCTGGCCTCTGCAGGGCAGGGTGCTGGCAAGCCGGGTCCCCCCAAGGCCTGGCTCCCTCCTGTAATGGCGGCCTCGGGGCAGTTGGGTCCAATGCACCCCAGCCACTGCCCACACTCCCTAATCAGTGCCCACCCCGCCCCACCTGAGCCTCCTCCTTGTCCCAGGTCCTCCAAGGAGGTTCCGAGGAGGTCCCAGGTAGGTGTCTACAGAGTGGCTGAGGGTGACAACTCCCAGGGCAAGGTCCTTTGGGGCACCTTAGCCCAAGCCTCCCTAAGTGTGGCCAGCTGCCCTCAAGGGACGTGTGAGCGGAGGCAGGAGGCAGGGAGGCTGCCTGGGTTCCAGCACAGAGACCAGTGACCCTGTCCGTGCGGCCCCACGCTCCCAGGTGAGGACACTGAAGGCCGAGAACCAGAGGAGGAGTGGAGAGGCCCATGAGCTGCAGGCGCAGTGCTCGCAGGAGGTGCTGGAGCTGCGGAGGCAGGCAGCCAAGGCAGAGGCCAAGCACGAGGGTGCCCGGAAGGAGGTGGGAGGGCTGCCTGTGGTCAGAAGGGAAGGAGCTGGGCGTCGGGGAGCAGAGGGAGGAGGCCCACCCCACTTCCTCACTGTCTCCCACGGGCGCACCCCAACATCCCTCCTACAGGTCCTGGGATTGCAGAGGAAGTTGGCAGAGGTGGAGGCCGCAGGGGAGGCCCATGGACAGCGGCTCCAGGAGCACCTCCGTGAGAGCCGGGGGGCTGAGCAGACCCTCCGAGCAGAGCTGCACAGTGTCACCAGGAAGCTGCAGGAAGCCAGTGGTGTGGCTGATGCTCTCCAGGCTCGCCTGGACCAGGCCTGTCACCGAATCCACAGCCTGGAGCAGGAGCTGGCCCAGGCTGAGGGTGCAAGGCAGGATGCGGAGGCCCAGCTGGGCCGGCTGTGCTCCACGCTCCGCCGTGGCCTGGGGCTCCAGAGACAGAGCCCGTGGGCCTCCCCGGAGCAGCCTGGTTCCCCCACCAAAGGTCAGAGTCCTCAGTGGAGGCAGGCGGGCCCCTCTCCCAGCTCAGTCCCTGGCCTGGCACCTCTCTTTCAGGCCTCACAACTCACACAGTGAGGGACTCGGACAGGCAATTGTAGGAACCTGTGGCCGTCTCCCCAACCTCCCATGGCTGGGGCAGCAGAGAGGAAAGGGGAAGGGCGTGTATCTGTCACTGTGTTCCTGTCCACGACCCCTCCGCTGTCACCTCCCGCAGGCTCCGACAGCTCCCAGGCTCTCCCTGGGCAACAGGGTACCAGCCCCCCAGCCAGGCCCCACTCGCCCCTCCGATGGCCCTCGCCCACACCCGGAGGCCGCAGCTCAGAGCTCATGGATGTGGCCACCGTGCAGGACATCCTGCGGGACTTTGTGCAGAAGCTCCGGGAAGCCCAGCGGGAGCGGGTAATGGGGGCTGGGGTCCTCCCGCCCACGGCGGCACCCCCCGGGGGTCTCTGGGAAGAACACCTGCTGTCCATCCATCCGCGCGTCCCTGGGTCTGAGGGTCAGTGTCCAGGCCGTCCTGTTTGTTGTGATAAACACCAGCACCACCATGGCCCCCAAGCCCAAGTGCCTTGGGTGGCTGGAGGCCGCCCCCTTCCTTATACCAGGCTGAAAAGCCCCTGGAGCCAGGCCCTGCTGTGACACCCACCAGGGCCCAGGGTAGGGCATTCTGCAACTCATGCCACCCCTGAAGAGCTGCCGGGGCTGGGCAACTGCAGGACAGAGCCAGCAAGCTCCCCTCAATGCTCCCAAAGACCCCTCCGGTGGGGCCAAGCTCCCCAGTGGCTGCTCCTGGCTTCAGGGCTCCCACAGAACCACCCGTGAGCGGCCCCCTCCCACCTCGCTGGATGACTCCAGTGGGCAGGACTGTGGGAAAGACAGAGGCAGGCCCTGAGCCCTGGCCAGGGTCCTCTGTGCACACTCCTTCCCTTCGGGCCCACCCTCCCACCGCTGCCAGCCCCAGGGGGCAGGGTCCCGTCTGCACTCAGCCCCAAGTCCCGCCAGGGGCAGCCCCTACCGGTCCCCCTGACCACAGGCTGTGGGCCGCCACCTGCCAGCTCTCCCACACCACACCTGTGCTTGAAACCTGGACCCTTTAGGCCGAGTCTCACTGGGCGCCTCCACCTCCCCAGGCCTGCAGGTCAGCGCAGCTTCCCAGTGTGATCACCTTCCCCGCACCTTCCCCGAGCCCACGGCCCACACCACCCACTGCCCTGCCCTGCACACCTGCAGGCCAGACCGTGAGCGGCCCCAGCTGGCCCCGACCCTCTAGCAGACACCTTGGCCCTCCACCCGCCCATTGGACTGCCCCCGCTGACCTCAGTCCTTCTGCCCAGGATGACTCCCGCATCCAGATGGCGACCCTGAGCAGCCGGCTGAGCGAGGCAGAGTGCAGGTGTGCCCGGGCCCAGAGCCGCGTGGGGCAGCTGCAGAAAGCCCTGGCTGAGGCGGAAGAAGGTGACCTCCCTTGCCCTGCCCCGCCCACCCTGGGAGTGGCTGTGAGAGTGGCACCACCATGTCCCCACTGCTGCCGGCTATAAGCTTTCAGTCCCTGGGGCAGCTCGGTGGGAAGGGAGCCTGGGGGCAACACCCAAACCACCAGGCCTGGCGAGGCTGGGTCAGCGCTTGGCATCGGAGTTCTCAGCAGCGACTTCCCCAGCACAGAGGAGTGACGTCCACAGGCCCATCAGGGCCCTCCCGATCCGGCCCCCAGCATCCTCTGCCCCCCTGCCCCACCCTGGCCTCCTGCAGTTCCCACTGGGGGCCTTTGCCCTGGCTGTGCCCTCTGCCTGGCACCCTCTCCCCCAGACAGCCACACGGCTCTCCCCGGGCAGGCCCTGCCCCTCGTCACCCCCTCAGAGAGGCCCCTTCCTTCTGCCCCCCACTGCCTCACACTCACGAGTTTCTCTGCTTATTGCCCCTCAATTAAAGGAAAGAGGCAGGAGGGAAGGATGGGTGGGAAGCCGGGACCCTGGGGCAGCCCCAGGACCCTTGAGCTGCAAGGATGGACCCCCACCTCCACGTGGGAGCCAGTCACTCAAGTCCACAGAGCCCTGCATTGCCTGCCTGTGACCTGGGAGGGGCATGGGGGCCCCTCAAGCCACCCTGCTTGCCCCACAGGCCAGCGCCGGGTGGAGGGCGCGCTGAGCAGCGCCCGGGCAGCACGTGCCCTGCAGAAGGAGGCGCTCCGCAGGCTGGAGTTGGAGCACCTGGCGAGCGTGCGTGCGGCAGGCCAGGAGAAGCGGCGGCTGCAGGTGGGGCAGGCGGCAGGGTGGGTCCCAGGTGGGGCACAAGAACAAGGCCTCTCGGTCACCCTCACACCCTGCAGGGAGGCCACAGGGCCGGGAGGTGGGAGAGAGGGGTCTGCAAGGGCTTCTGTGGGTGTTCGGGGCTGGAGCCAGCCCGGTGGGGCCCTGGGGCAGAGGTGCAGGCTGGGCTGTGGCAGGCGGCTTTGGGGTCATCGGGACTGGGGTCGTCCTTAGCAGAGCTGTCCTTACGGTGGTTCTAGCCCTTGTTTTACAGGTTGGGGAAACTGAGGACTTGGCCCTGGGGGCACAGCGAGTGGGGGGCAGAGCCCCAAGTCTAGGCCCTTTCTTCTTGCTGAGGCCACAGCGGCAGGCATGGGGCGGCCCTGGCCCAGCCTTGGGGCTCTTTATAGGGTCACACTGTCCTGCTCCAAGACCACTTTTCATTCCATGTGGCTCAGACACAGAAGGGGCCTCTCAGGAAGGGCTGAAGTCAGTGTCCCTACATGCCAGGCTTTGTGCTGGGGAGGTGCCCGCTGGGTCTGAGGTTTTCAGGTGAGGAGCCTGGGCCTGGAAATGGAACGGCCAGGCAGTGGTGGATGGAGGCCTGGCCCAGGCCTTGGTCCTCAGTGCTGGTGGGGAGCCCCAGGCCCAGCCAGCCCAGCCCCACAGGTCCAAGCAGCCCCCGGGGTGTCCTGAGATCCTCTTGTCAGGACTGGGCCAGGGGACAACTGTTCCGCTCCAGAGAGCTCCCTTGCAGGCCCCAGGGGCCAGAGAACAGCGTGCCTGGCTGAGGCTCCCCAGGGCAACTGCCCCCAGGCGTCCCTCAACCCATTCTGGAAAGAGGGGGCCAGCACAGTGCAGAGGAGACAGGGCACAGAGACCGGGGAGCCACTCCTCTCCAAGTGTCCCTCCAATGAGGGAGGCCTGGGTGAGCCATCAGGAGGGACGGCCTTGCAGGTTGGCAGAAAGGCCCCAAGGGCAGCCGGCCAGGCCTGTGCTGTTCCACGCGGGGCTCAGCCCCGGAGCCTGGTGGCCCTCAGAGGCCACCAGAGGGCTGTCAGCACTCAGACTAGCAGGCAGGCTCTGAGTTCCCAGTAGGCCCTGAGCCTCTGAGGAGGTGGCTTCTGCAGGGGAGAGGGGAGGGGGCAGAGAGCAGAGGCCAGGCTGCAGAGAGAGCAAGGTCCTCATTAGCCAGCAGTTTGGAAATTTCTGTTTTGGAAAGACCCTTCTGGTGACAGCTGCTGGGGCAGTAAGACTAGAGACGTCTGTGGAAAGACCCAGGCGGCCTGGCCAGGGATGGGGTCAGGACTTGTGAGATGCCCAGGAGATGGGGGCACCTGAGAAGTCAGGGGACCTGGAGCGGGCTGAGTTGGGCCAAGTTTCATTTTATGTGTATAGTCACATGTATGTCTCCCACATGCATGCAGAAATAACGTGCTCTGCTCACAGGTTACACATTTTGAAAGAGACCTTCTATTTTATTTTATTTTTTGAGATGGAGTCTCATTCTGTCACCCAGGCTGGAGTGCAGTGGCACCATCTTGGCTCACAGCAACCTCCGCCTCCCAGGTTCAAGTGATTCTCCTGCCTCAGCTTCCCAAGTAGTCGGGATTACAGGCACCCGCCAATACACCTAATTTTTTTGTATTTTTAGTAGAGACAGGTTTCACACCATGTTGGCCAGACTGGTCTTGAACTCCTGACCTTAAATGATCTGCCTGCCTCAGCTTCCCAAAGTGCTGGGATTACAGGTGTGAGCCACCGTGCCCAGTTCTGAAATACACCTTTTAAATCAACCTTTACAAATGCATTATTCAAATAGGCCACATTTGATCCAGTTCCTGAATTTATCAAAACTAAGGATGATGTGTTGAATTTTCCCACTACAATTCTTTTTGTCAATGTCTCCTTTTATTTCCAAGGGTATTTGACTTCTAGATTTCTTGACTCTTCGAATTTGAAGTTTCTCGGTTAACTTTTCCTGAGTGGCCTGCATGTCCTGTGACTGCTGTTTGTCTTCCTCTTGGCCTCTGCTTTTTTGGTGTTTGTGGTTTCAGCCTTCATTTCATCAGCCTGGCTCTGGTTTCAATCTCACCTTAGAGTCTCTGCCTCTTCTGGGGGAATTTGTCCCATGTAGAAGTTTTGTGGTAACCCATGCTCTGTTTTTCCTTAGGTTGTTCATAGGACACTTTCTCCTTTCCGTGTGTCTTTCCTGCCTGTCCTGTCTTGCATGGCAGGGATGATTTATTCATCCTCTTTTCCCTTAGCATTTGCATCCAGGGCATCTTATGGCTGGGCCAGGACAGCGCCCTGCCCCCTCCAGGGGCCGAGGGTCTTGTCCCTTCCCTTCCCAGCTGCACTGCTTCCACCTGCGCCCTAGGAGCTAAGACTTTTGCTCCTTAGAATTTCCTGCTCTGGACAATCCCCTCTTCCAAACCTGCTCCCCAGGGGGGCTCTGGGCTCTCCTGCCTGTAGGTTGAACTTCTCTTGGTGTCTGTGGACCCCAGGGCTCTCTACCCACAGCAGCCCACACCTGGTGCACTACTTTTTGCAACAAATTACTGATGACTTAACCCCACTTTTGAGCCCCCAGTCCCATAGGTGAGAAGCCTGGCATGGTGTGACTGGCGTCTCCCCTCTGGGTCTCACAGTCATGGGGTAGGCTGGGCCACCCGAGGCCACGGGGAAGAGTCCTCCTCTGGGTTCATCCAGGTGCTTCTGGGGGCATCCGGGCTCATCCCAGCGTGGCGAGTCCAGCTCTTTGCGTTGTCGGGCTGAGCCTCATTTCTGTGCGGTCGGCCAAGGGCTCCCCACTCCTAGCCAGGGGCTTCCTTGGCTGTGCCACAGTGTGGCAGCAGCACCTGCACCCCACGCCCCCCATCTCCACGTGCCTCACACCTCATGGCTCCCTTCTGCCGACACCCGAGGGTGTGCGTGAGTGGGTGAGACCCACCTGGGTGGTCACCCTTTGCTTAACTCAGAGTCAACTCTTCACATCCACAAAGTCCCCTGGCCATGAATCCAACGTAATCACAGGATAACGTCAGGGCCAGAGCTCACAGGGCCCTCTGAGGGCTCTGCCTGCCACGTGGGTCCGAGCAACATGTTACCAGCTTTGGTGAACTCCATGCCGCTGGTTTGATGGGTGGGGCCGCTCATGGCATCTCTCCTGGAGGGGCCTGGCTTTCATTCGATTCCAGGCTCCTTGTTTGCCTCTGACCTTGAGTTCAGATGGGTTCAAGAAATGTGCGGATTCCCTGGGTTCTTTGTGTTTTTCTTGTCAGTGCTCTTTCCAGAGTGGCAGCCAGAGGCCTCCTTGTTTTTGAAATTCAAAAATGTCACCAAAATGTGGGCGTGTCGGCCCCTTTCATTATTTTTACCTACCCCGGCAAACCCTCCCTACTTGCAGAATCAAATCTACCTTCTGTTTACAGAGGTTCCTTCCACTGTAAAAAAAACATCTCTTCTCCTTCTCCCTCTTCTCTGTTCTTTTGTCCTGGAATTCTCAGCATCCCAATACTGATCCCCTGGACCTGTCCTCCTGGCTTCAATCTTGAATTTCTCCTTGTCATCTCGGTTTTCCCCAAGGTCCCAGGAGAATTTCAGGTCTTACTCCTACTCAGCTAATCTCAGGATCTGCCGCATCTCGTCTGCTGCTCCTGTCCCCACGGTGGCCTCGTTCGGCCTGAGTTTTCATTTTGGATTGTCCACCTCAAGACCCCTGCCCTGTCCTCACCTTGAGAACACTAGTTACCATCTTCTGGTGTGTGTCAGTAGCTCACTTCTCTGTTTAATTAGAGACTCTCAGATCTGATTCCTCAGATCGACTTTATTTTCTCAAACCCCAGTGGATACTAGTTTTGTGATTTTTTTCCTTTGCGTGTCTTTAAAGAAAGGAGTTCTGGCCTCGTTTGAAGTTGGGAGTGGAGAGGAACCCATCAGGGACTTTATGTGTCCCCATCCAAATATTTCAGGCTCAAAAGAAAGGCAGAGAGAAGGGTTCCAAGATCCTGCAGCCACAGGGAGCCATGGGGAATATGGGGAGCCAGCAGTGGAGTTCTGGCCCTCCCGGAGCTGTTCTGTTCCTGAAGTGGGCGGGGTGGGAGCGGCGCTCTCCGGTGCACGGTCACGGTGCGGTCCTCCACCTCCCCAGCTGCTTGCCTCACAGGGATGGAGGGCTCCCCGGGTCCCCCAGCCACAGCAACCCTCTTCCCTGAGGTCCTGGTAGTACAGAGTTGCCTCCCCAACACCCCTGCAGCTCCCTCCAGCCCTCGCCCTTCTGAGTCAGGGTATGGGGACATGGGGGTCCAACTTTGGGTCTCCACAATGAGTGCAGAGGACGTCTCTGACATTGACCAGACCTTTGTCTGTATGCATTTTTCTGCTTGGTCTAGAATTTGCTCAACTTTTTTAGTGAAATGTGCTAAAATCTATCATTATGGTGTCAACGTTTTCTTACAATTCTGGCAATTATTATTTCACCCATTTTTAGGCCAAGTTGGTCTCATCTGCCCTCGGGAGTCCTCCAAGTCCCTGGTCTCCAGCTCTGAGGAAAGTTTTTCCCAACTTTTTGTAATCTATGAGTCATTGTGATAGGTTTCTGGATTCAGACACACCTAAGTCACCAGAGGCCCCCGCTTTTGACACACAGCAAACCCAGGCAGAGAGCTCAGGGTTGAAATTTTCTAGCCAGCCAGGGGGCTGGGAACATAGCCATGCTCCCTGCTGCCCCATGCCCCTTGCTGAGCAGGGGGGTGCTAGGGTCCAGTAGGGCAGGCCTGGTGCCTCTCCTGGCTCTGCCAAGCTCCCGGCACAGTCTAGAGCCAGCTCTGCCTTTGACACAACTTCTTTTGCTTTCATGGGTTGGTTTTTCCCCTGTTTCACATAAGCCGATGTGTTTGTCAAGAGAAAGTTAATTAAAAACATATTTTTCTAATTAAATGGTAGGCTGTGCTATGCAAACAGTAAGATTCTTGTTTGAGAGCAAATCCCTCCCCGTTTCCAAGGCTACCCTGGGAATTCAATAGAACAGCCGTGCAGGACCAGCCCGTGGTGTCAGGACACGCACGGAACGCAGCAGCAGTGCCCAAGTAGCTGGCCAGGTCTCTGAGCAGGCGGGAGGCCTGGCACTCACTCAGCATCACCCACAGCCTCATGCCCGCTCAGAAAGGCCCCCCATGCCACCCTTGGACTGGCGCCCAGTCACAGCCTCCGTGGCTCAGGGAAGCTCACGGCGTTCTTGGACTCTTGCCCAGGCCTCCTTCCCCCACTGTGCCCACGTGCCACACCCACCCCCCCAGCTCCCCACATCCCCAGTGCCAGCCTTGCAGGTCACCCGCCTGTGGGGGCTCAACTCAGCGTCAGTCACAGGTTCTAAAAGTTTCCGGGGTCCACATATGCCCACAGCTAGCAGAGCAGCTTAGGGCCAGCGGGGCCCACAAGGTGGACACTGAGCCACAGTCAGACTTGATTACTCTCAGTGTTTTGTCAAGAATTTTTGCATCTGTAATTCCTTTATGGTGACATAGTTTTCAGATTTATTTGTGTTAAGAAAATTGTATTATTTTATAAAATGAGTTGGTGGGCTTTCCACTTTTTCCATCACCTGGAACACTCAAAATAACTTTTCTTGAGAGGTTCATTGAACTCCCCTGTACATATTCCGCAGCTGTCATCATAAAGAATACACTTTAATTCCCTTTCCAATCTCTTTTCTGTCAAGGGTCTGCTTTCGTTTTCCATTTCTTCTCGGGTCAGTTTTGCCCTGTGGGAGTGTAACTTATCTTACACATTCAATACGTTGCCAAAGACCTGCACATACGTCTGCTTAGCATCATCTTCGTTATATACATGGTCTTGTCAGCAGTTACACCTGCTTTATATGCGTAGTTGTACCTTATTTACATGTGGAGTTATATCTGTTTCTCTCCTTCGTGTTGGAGATTTGTTTCTTTCCCTTAATCTGATTTGCCAACGGTTCATGTTTTATTCCTCTTTTCAAAGAATCAATGTATCTCTTCTTTTATTTTTGTTTAGTTTATTGATTTCAGCTTTTATTTCTAGGAACACTCTATTTTTATTTTTAGTTTACTTTTTTTTTTTTTTTTGAGGGTCTTGCTCTGTCACCCAGGCTAGAGTGCAGTGGCATGATTTCGGCTCACTGCAGTCTCTACCTCCTGGGCTCAAGCGATCCTCCCACTTCAGCCTCTTGAGTAGCTGGGACTACAGGCACATGCCACTACACCTGGCTAACTTTTGTATTTTCTTTCTTTTTTTTCTTTTTTTTTTTTTTTTGTAGAGATGGTGTTAAACCATGTTGCCTAGGCTAGTCTCAAACTCCTGAGCTCAAGTGATCCACCCACCTCAGCCTCCCAAAGTGCTGGGATTACAGGCATGAGCCACCACACCCAGCCAACACCCTCTTTTTGTTGTAATTTTTCTTATTTCTTGAAAGGAATAAGTAATTTGTTTATGCTTGGGCTTTCTCTTTAATAGTAAGAGCATTTAATGTGATCCCATTTTCCCTAATTGTGGTTTGGTACGTGTCCCATCAGTTTTTGATGTGAGTTCTTTTCCTTTTTACCAGTTTTCTAGAAGTTTCCATTTTTATTTCTTCTTAAATTTGGGGGTTATTTGAAAGCATGAGTGTGTGTTTGTGCCACTTTTTATTGCTTACGTCATCTTCCTGGAGAGGCTGTGGCTTTGGGCAGGGATGACGGTTTTCTTTTGATCAGTGTCTGGGTGGATCTTTGTTTATGCTCCTGCTTTGTCAGTTGTTTATTGGTCGTTTGCTTTTTTGGTTTGGTTTTGTCTATTTGTTTGTGATGTGTTTAGAGAATACTGGACAAACTGATTGCAAAGTTTACAGGAAAGAATAGATGTTTGAGATTTTCCAAGAAAATTTTGAAAGTGAATAGTACAACAGGCTATAATGCTAGTATGGTCAAAGCAGGAGAGGCTGGTAGAATAGATGCAGAGGCAGCAGGGCAGGCCAGAGTCCAGAGGAGGCCCTGCCACCATGAACTGGCACCAGACCCTGCCCTCTGTCTGGCCCCAGAGTCCCACTGTGTGGAGTGAAGGGCTCCAATCCCCTTGTATCTGAGGACTGTCCAGAGCTAACTCTGTCCTGTGACTGGCCTGAGGGCAGGACGGGGCAGCTCGCCAGTGCAGGGAGACCAGGGGATACCTGCCAGTGGGCAATCAAATTGGCCCATCGTCGCCCAGTGGATAAATGGGTATGAGGCTGAGGACCCCAATTCCAGAGCCCAAAGGATGGATTTGGCGAGTGTTTATGACGTGTCCTGTCCTTCTCTGTGCAGCCGGCAGGACGCTTAACGAGGCCTTTGTCCCTTCTGCTCCTGTTCAGATATTTCCCAGCCTTCGCTCCCAGCCTTCCATGCAAGCCCTTCATTTGTAACAGCTTCCCTGGGGGCATCTCAGAATCCAGCATCCAACCAGCCTGCTTTTTTTTTTTTTTTTTTTTTTTTTTTGAGACAGAGTTTTGCTCTCGTTGCCCAGGCTGGAGTGCAGTGGCACGGTCTTGGTTCACTGCAACCTCTGCCTCCCAGGTTCAAGTGATTCTCCTGCCTCAGCCTCCCAAGTAGCTGAGATTACAGGCGCCCGCCACCACGCCCGGCTAATTTTTTGTATTTTTAGTAGGACTGGGGCTTCATTGTGTTGTCCAGGCTGGTCTCGAACTCCTGACCTCAGAAAATCTGCCCATCTCAGCCTCCCAAAGTGCTGGGATTACAGGAATGAGCCACAGCGCCCAGCCCAGCCTTCTTTTGGTCTCAACGAGACCCCTGTGAGACTGCATCATACCCATGCCCCAGATGGGGAGACTGACACTGCAGCCCCACATGCTGGCTCCAAGACCGGGCTCATCCCTGCTCAGTCTCTGGGGTAGGAGCCTCAGAAGCCCAGGCTCATCCCTGCTCAGTCTCTGGGGTAGGAGCCTCTGGAGCCCAGGCTCATCCCTGCTCAGTCTCTGGGGTAGGAGCCTCAGGATCCCAGGCTCATCCCTGCTCAGTCTCTGGGGTAGGAGCCTCTGGAGCCCAGGCTCATCCCTGCTCAGTCTCTGGGGTAGGAGCCTCAGGAGCCCAGGCTCATCCCTGCTCAGTCTCTGGGGTAGGAGCCTCTGGAGCCCAGGCTCATCCCTGCTCAGTCTCTGGGGTAGGAGCCTCAGGATCCCAGGCTCATCCCTGCTCAGTCTCTGGGGTAGGAGCCTCAGGATCCCAGGCTCATCCCTGCTCAGTCTCTGGGGTAGGAGCCTCAGGAGCCCAGGCTCATCCCTGCTCAAGCTCTGGGGTAGGAGCCTCAGGATCCCAGGCTTATCCCTGCTCAGTCTCTGGGGTAGGAGCCTCAGGAGCCCAGGCTCATCCCTGCTCAAGCTCTGGGGTAGGAGCCTCAGGAGCCCAGGCTCATCCCTGCTCAGTCTCTGGGGTAGGAGCCTCAGGAGCCCAGGCTCATCCCTGCTCAGGCTCTGGGGTAGGAGCCTCAGGAGCCCAGGCTCATCCCTGCTCAGGCTCTGGGGTAGGAGCCTCAGGAGCCCAGGCTCATCCCTGCTCAGTCTCTGGGGTAGGAGCCTCTGGAGCCCAGGCTCATCCCTGCTCAGTCTCTGGGGTAGGAGCCTCAGGAGCCCAGACTCATCCCTGCTCAGTCTCTGGGGTAGGAGCCTCTGGAGCCCAGGCTCATCCCTGCTCAGTCTCTGGGGTAGGAGCCTCAGGATCCCAGGCTCATCCCTGCTCAGTCTCTGGGGTAGGAGCCTCAGGATCCCAGGCTCATCCCTGCTCAAGCTCTGGGGTAGGAGCCTCAGGAGCCCAGGCTCATCCCTGCTCAGGCTCTGGGGTAGGAGCCTCAGGAGCCCAGGCTCATCCCTGCTCAGGCTCTGGGGTAGGAGCCTCAGGAGCCCAGGCTCATCCCTGCTCAGTCTCTGGGGTAGGAGCCTCAGGAGCCCAGGCTCATCCCTGCTCAGTCTCTGGGGTAGGAGCCTCAGGAGCCCAGGCTCATCCCTGCTCAGTCTCTGGGGTAGGAGCCTCTGGAGCCCAGGCTCATCCCTGCTCAGTCTCTGGGGTAGGAGCCTCAGGAGCCCAGACTCATCCCTGCTCAGTCTCTGGGGTAGGAGCCTCTGGAGCCCAGGCTCATCCCTGCTCAGTCTCTGGGGTAGGAGCCTCAGGATCCCAGGCTCATCCCTGCTCAAGCTCTGGGGTAGGAGCCTCAGGATCCCAGGCTCATCCCTGCTCAAGCTCTGGGGTAGGAGCCTCAGGATCCCAGGCTCATCCCTGCTCAGTCTCTGGGGTAGGAGCCTCAGGAGCCCAGGCTCATCCCTGCTCAAGCTCTGGGGTAGGAGCCTCAGGATCCCAGGCTCATCCCTGCTCAAGCTCTGGGGTAGGAGCCTCAGGAGCCCAGGCTCATCCCTGCTCAAGCTCTGGGGTAGGAGCCTCAGGAGCCCAGGCTCATCCCTGCTCAGGCTCTGGGGTAGGAGCCTCAGGAGCCCAGACTCATCCCTGCTCAGGCTCTGGGGTAGGAGCCTCAGGATCCCAGGCTCATCCCTGCTCAGTCTCTGGGGTAGGAGCCTCAGGATCCCAGGCTCATCCCTGCTCAGTCTCTGGGGTAGGAGCCTCAGGAGCCCAGGCTCATCCCTGCTCAAGCTCTGGGGTAGGAGCCTCAGGATCCCAGGCTCATCCCTGCTCAGTCTCTGGGGTAGGAGCCTCAGGATCCCAGGCTCATCCCTGCTCAAGCTCTGGGGTAGGAGCCTCAGGATCCCAGGCTCATCCCTGCTCAGTCTCTGGGGTAGGAGCCTCAGGAGCCCAGGCTCATCCCTGCTCAGGCTCTGGGGTAGGAGCCTCAGGAGCCCAGGCTCATCCCTGCTCAGGCTCTGGGGTAGGAGCCTCAGGATCCCAGGCTCATCCCTGCTCAGTCTCTGGGGTAGGAGCCTCAGGAGCCCAGGCTCATCCCTGCTCAGTCTCTGGGGTAGGAGCCTCAGGATCCCAGGCTCATCCCTGCTCAGTCTCTGGGGTAGGAGCCTCAGGATCCCAGGCTCACCCCTCCTCAGTCTCTGGGGTAGGAGCCTCTGGAGCCCAGGCTCATCCCTGCTCAGTCTCTGGGGTAGGAGCCTCAGGAGCCCAGACTCATCCCTGCTCAGTCTCTGGGGTAGGAGCCTCAGGAGCCCAGGCTCATCCCTGCTCAGTCTCTGGGGTACGAGCCTCAGGAGCCCAGGCTCATCCCTGCTCAGTCTCTGGGGTAGGAGCCTCAGGAGCCCAGGCTCATCCCTGCTCAGTCTCTGGGGTAGGAGCCTCAGGATCCCAGGCTCATCCCTGCTCAGGCTCTGGGGTAGGAGCCTCAGGATCCCAGGCTCATCCCTGCTCAAGCTCTGGGGTAGGAGCCTCAGGATCCCAGGCTCATCCCTGCTCAGTCTCTGGGGTAGGAGCCTCAGGAGCCCAGGCTCATCCCTGCTCAAGCTCTGGGGTAGGAGCCTCAGGATCCCAGGCTCATCCCTGCTCCGTCTCTGTGGTAGGAGCCTCAGGATCCCAGGCTCATCCCTGCTCAAGCTCTGGGGTAGGAGCCTCAGGATCCCAGGCTCATCCCTGCTCAGTCTCTGGGGTAGGAGCCTCAGGAGCCCAGGCTCATCCCTGCTCAAGCTCTGGGGTAGGAGCCTCAGGATCCCAGGCTCATCCCTGCTCAGTCTCTGGGGTAGGAGCCTCAGGAGCCCAGGCTCATCCCTGCTCAGGCTCTGGGGTAGGAGCCTCAGGAGCCCAGGCTCATCCCTGCTCAGTCTCTGGGGTAGGAGCCTCAGGAGCCCAGGCTCATCCCTGCTCAGTCTCTGGGGTAGGAGCCTCAGGAGCCCAGGCTCATCCCTGCTCAGTCTCTGGGGTAGGAGCCTCTGGAGCCCAGGCTCATCCCTGCTCAGTCTCTGGGGTAGGAGCCTCAGGAGCCCAGACTCATCCCTGCTCAGTCTCTGGGGTAGGAGCCTCTGGAGCCCAGGCTCATCCCTGCTCAGTCTCTGGGGTAGGAGCCTCAGGATCCCAGGCTCATCCCTGCTCAAGCTCTGGGGTAGGAGCCTCAGGATCCCAGGCTCATCCCTGCTCAAGCTCTGGGGTAGGAGCCTCAGGATCCCAGGCTCATCCCTGCTCAGTCTCTGGGGTAGGAGCCTCAGGAGCCCAGGCTCATCCCTGCTCAAGCTCTGGGGTAGGAGCCTCAGGATCCCAGGCTCATCCCTGCTCAGTCTCTGGGGTAGGAGCCTCAGGAGCCCAGGCTCATCCCTGCTCAGGCTCTGGGGTAGGAGCCTCAGGAGCCCAGGCTCATCCCTGCTCAAGCTCTGGGGTAGGAGCCTCAGGAGCCCAGGCTCATCCCTGCTCAGGCTCTGGGGTAGGAGCCTCAGGAGCCCAGGCTCATCCCTGCTCAGTCTCTGGGGTAGGAGCCTCAGGAGCCCAGGCTCATCCCTGCTCAGTCTCTGGGGTAGGAGCCTCAGGAGCCCAGGCTCATCCCTGCTCAGTCTCTGGGGTAGGAGCCTCTGGAGCCCAGGCTCATCCCTGCTCAGTCTCTGGGGTAGGAGCCTCAGGAGCCCAGACTCATCCCTGCTCAGTCTCTGGGGTAGGAGCCTCTGGAGCCCAGGCTCATCCCTGCTCAGTCTCTGGGGTAGGAGCCTCAGGATCCCAGGCTCATCCCTGCTCCGTCTCTGGGGTAGGAGCCTCAGGATCCCAGGCTCATCCCTGCTCAGGCTCTGGGGTAGGAGCCTCAGGATCCCAGGCTCATCCCTGCTCAAGCTCTGGGGTAGGAGCCTCAGGATCCCAGGCTCATCCCTGCTCAGTCTCTGGGGTAGGAGCCTCAGGATCCCAGGCTCATCCCTGCTCAGTCTCTGGGGTAGGAGCCTCAGGAGCCCAGGCTCATCCCTGCTCAGTCTCTGGGGTAGGAGCCTCAGGAGCCCAGACTCATCCCTGCTCAAGCTCTGGGGTAGGAGCCTCAGGAGCCCAGGCTCATCCCTGCTCAGTCTCTGGGGTAGGAGCCTCAGGAGCCCAGGCTCATCCCTGCTCAGTCTCTGGGGTAGGAGCCTCTGGAGCCCAGGCTCATCCCTGCTCAGGCTCTGGGGTAGGAGCCTCAGGATCCCAGGCTCATCCCTGCTCAGTCTCTGGGGTAGGAGCCTCAGGAGCCCAGGCTCATCCCTGCTCAGTCTCTGGGGTAGGAGCCTCAGGAGCCCAGGCTCATCCCTGCTCAGTCTCTGGGGTAGGAGCCTCAGGATCCCAGGCTCATCCCTGCTCAGGCTCTGGGGTAGGAGCCTCAGGATCCCAGGCTCATCCCTGCTCAAGCTCTGGGGTAGGAGCCTCAGGATCCCAGGCTCATCCCTGCTCAGTCTCTGGGGTAGGAGCCTCAGGAGCCCAGGCTCATCCCTGCTCAAGCTCTGGGGTAGGAGCCTCAGGATCCCAGGCTCATCCCTGCTCCGTCTCTGTGGTAGGAGCCTCAGGATCCCAGGCTCATCCCTGCTCAAGCTCTGGGGTAGGAGCCTCAGGATCCCAGGCTCATCCCTGCTCAGTCTCTGGGGTAGGAGCCTCAGGAGCCCAGGCTCATCCCTGCTCAAGCTCTGGGGTAGGAGCCTCAGGATCCCAGGCTCATCCCTGCTCAGTCTCTGGGGTAGGAGCCTCAGGAGCCCAGGCTCATCCCTGCTCAAGCTCTGGGGTAGGAGCCTCAGGAGCCCAGGCTCATCCCTGCTCAGGCTCTGGGGTAGGAGCCTCAGGATCCCAGACTCATCCCTGCTCAGTCTCTGGGGTAGGAGCCTCAGGAGCCCAGGCTCATCCCTGCTCAGTCTCTGGGTCAGGAGCCTCAGGATCCCAGGCTCATCCCTGCTCAGTCTCTGGGGTAGGAGCCTCAGGATCCCAGGCTCATCCCTGCTCAGTCTCTGGGGTAGGAGCCTCTGGAGCCCAGGCTCATCCCTGCTCAGTCTCTGGGGTAGGAGCCTCAGGAGCCCAGGCTCATCCCTGCTCAGTCTCTGGGGTAGGAGCCTCTGGAGCCCAGGCTCATCCCTGCTCAGGCTCTGGGGTAGGAGCCTCCGGAGCCCAGGCTCATCCCTGAGCACTCAGCTCTGGGGGAGAAGGGCTGGGGTTCTTTCCTGTAGCTACTTAAGCCCTCAGACTGAATCCACGTTTTCAAGGTTTGTTTTGCCAGCCTGCCTCTCACACAGCATCAGGATTTAGAGCCAAAGGGACACAAGAGATGAGAGCAACTCACTGGGGCCAGTGGGGCTGTGCATTAAGGGAGTACCACTCAATTATTACGGTTCATTCAAATTCCATAAAAGCTGAGTCATTACAAGAGGTTTGGGACCTCTTAAAACTGCCATGAAATATTTAAGCCATATTTGCAGAAAACTTCTGCTTTTCTACTGGAAAATTATATAGAAAATTATAATTTTCAAAATTGCACGAAGGGTGAAGCATCACAGTCTTAGGTACAAGCATTGTCTTCCTTCTTTTCCTTTTTTAAAGTAACAAAGTGTCGGACCAAAAAAAAAAGTGTTTTCAGAATCCGGCCACCCCAGAAGGAGCTGGCCATTTCTCCCACAAAACCCTCAGGAAGGTGCAAGGGCTCGGGGCTCATCAAGACCTGACCAGGCCAACTTGCAGTCAACAAGCTTCCAATGACGGACGCCTTGCAATCTCCTTCACACGTCTGGGGTCCTCTCAAGGCCCAACAGCTGCCAGCTCTGGGGCTCAGGGGACACGTCGGGTGCCATCCTCCCTCCTGGGATGACAGGGAGGCAGGATTCCTGCAAGCAGGAGGAGAAGGCAGCAGCGTAGGGTGGGGGCGCCAGCGGGGAGGCTGTGCACAGAGGGCAGCAGGTGCACGTGATCGAAGGGATGGCGAGTTCCCCGGGCAGTGTCCTGGGGGCAGCTGGGAGCACCACAGGCCCAGAGCAAGGCAGTGGCATGGCCGATGATAGTCAAGTGAAATGCACCCTCAGCCATCATGGGGTAGCACCTGGGGACAGTGAGGAAACTGAAGGGCTGTCACTGGTCCCAAGTGGATGATGGCGGTTTGGACAAGCTGAAGGCAGAGGGGCTGAGAAGAGGGCGCAGGGGTGAGGGACACAGCGGGGATCATGGGCCATCCCAGCTTCACGGACTCTGGAGCTCCTGAGCTTAGTTTGGGACTAGCCATGTCCCCAGGTGGGAGCTGAAGCAGGAGAACATGCAGTGTGATGGCAGAAGGGGCAAGCAGGGCCTGAGCCGAACAGGCTCCAGGAGCCTTGGGGAGGGTCACCTCAGGCTTTATCCCAAGGGCAGTAGGAGCCACCAAGGCTGGAGGCAGGGCAGGGATGCCACTGATGTGCCCTCTGAGACCACTGGCTGCAGCAGAGAACCTGCCAAGCCCAAGTCTTTGCCCACGCTAGACCAGACCCCCAGGACTTTCGTCTCAGGCTTCCTGGGGGTCCACACCTTTGAGGTTACATTGCAAACACAATCACCTGATCAACGCACTTCAGGTTGTCCTTAACCACGTTCTTGCTGTTTTCATCCCAGCGATACGGTCCTGCCAGACGGTCTAGGCAGATGCCCTGAGGCCAGGGTTTCCCTGCAGGGCCTCCCACCCCCAGTGTCTCCAGGTGGACCCTGTGTCTCCTTCCCCCCAGGAGCAACTGGAAACGCTGCGCCAGGCTCTTGAAGAGAGCAGGAGGCACAGCCAAGGTCTGGCCAAGCAGGGGAAGCTGCTGGAAGAACAGCTCACCAACTTGGAGCACAGGTGCCAGAAGGCTGAGGTATCGCTGGAGCCCCTGCGACAGGTGAGGGTGACCAGGAGGGCAGGGTACGCTGTCACCAGGAGGCGGTGAACAGGCCTACAGGGAAGAGGCCCTGTGGTCCTTTGCAGAATCAGTCCCTCAACATGAAGGGAGGCCTAGAGAGATGCTGGAGGCAGGTGAGCAGGCCTGCAGAGACCCAGGCACCATCCAGTCCCCCGCTGACAGATGGGGAAACTGAGCCTGGAGGGGCCCACAGGGAGTCAGGGGGCTGGATTTCTTGCCGTACAGTAAGCACCCCTACAACAGAGGAGTCAGCTGTGGACACGCCGTTTAGGAGAAAATAAGTTGAGGCCAGAGCCAGCCTTAGATGGAACGACCCCGCTCTCAGAAACTCGGGCCCTCCCAATCCCTGGCCCACGCCCAGCGTCTTCGGCCCAGGTGCTCTGCAGGCCGCAGAGGCTCAGCGGCGGGCAGGAGGCGGCCGAGGCGCAGGCGGAGAGGCGCGTCCTGCAGGAGCAGACGGCGGCGCTGCGCACCGAGCGGGCGCGTCTGCAGGGGGAGCTCGCGGCGCTGCGCGCTCAGCTCGCACAGGTAGGCGGCAGCGGTGGTCCTTAGAGAGGAAGGAGGAGCTCCTGGCTGGGGTCCGCAGGGGCGCGGCTGGGAGAGGCGCTGGCCCACGCATGCTTCTGTGTCCTCACCTGCCGGCGGGGTGGCACTAAGCTCAGGGTCAGGACGCCCGCAGGTGGCCACAGCCCTGCCAGTGGTGTCGTGTGCGCCCTGCCTTGGCTCTCCCTGGGGAGGCACCATGGGTGGGGGCAAATCCCCGGCTTTGTCTCCAGTGTCTGAGCCCAGCTTTGCTGGAAACCGAGTGGCCTGACACATCACACACCCCAGAGCCCCAGAGGCCCCTGCTCATGGTGGAGATAGCCCCTCCCCAGGGGTGTGCCCTGCGGCTGGAGCAACAGGTGGGCCAGCCTGTGCAGGTGCCCCACAACCTCCCCTCTCAACGCTCACAAGGATAGTGGCCCCTGAGCTCCCGGTAGGGCCTGGGCAGACAGGGTGAGAGACCAGGAAGAGCTCAGTGGTCAAGGGGTGAAGTGACGGTCATCACCCAGTCCTGTCATCCCCCGGCCTCCCCGGTGCAAGACAGGGTTTCCAAGCCCAAAGGTCAGACAAACGTAGACCACTGTGTCCAGGGGTGGGCCGCAGAGGTGAGGCCAGGTGGAGGCACCCTGCTGGCGGGTGGGTGATCCAGTGGTCCTGGCCACTGAGCTCGGACCCTGGACGCAGGTGGACCTGGCTTCCACGCATGAAACCAGACGGAGCAGAACCATTCGCGGGGAGATGAGGGGCGCACAGCCGCCAGGTCGACTGATAGGGAAACAGCCCAATAAAGAGGAAATGGCATTCCAGGAAGCAGGCAGAGCTTCTGGGAGCCTGCACCCCAGCCGTCACTCTGGGCCCACCGAGGAGGAGCCTGCTATGTACAACACCCCCTCCCCATCACCTGAGAGGCAGCTCTCTTGTCCTCTGTGAGCATTCCACACACACCCAGGCACTCACTCCACACACACCCAGGCACTCACTCCACACACACCCAGGCACTCACTCCACACACACCCAGGCACTCACTCCACACACACACCCAGGCACTCACTCCACACACACACACCCAGGCACTCACTCCACCACACACACACACCCAGGCACTCACTCCACACACACACCCAGGCACTCAATCCACACACACACCCAGGCACTCCACACACACACACCCAGGCACTCACTCCACACACACCCAGGCACTCACTCCACACACACACCCAGGCACTCAATCCACACACACACCCAGGCACTCCACACACACACACCCAGGCACTCACTCCACACACACCCAGGCACTCACTCCACACACACACACCCAGGCACTCACTCCACACACACACCCAGGCACTCACTCCACACACACACACCCAGGCACTCACTCCACACACACACCCAGGCACTCACTCCACACACACACACCCAGGCACTCACTCCACACACACACCCAGGCACTCACTCCACACACACACACCCAGGCACTCACTCCACACACACACACCCAGGCACTCACTCCACACACACACCCAGGCACTCACTCCACACACACCCAGGCACTCACTCCACACACACACCCAGGCTCTCACTCCACACACACACCCAGGCACTCACTCCACCACACACACACACCCAGGCACTCACTCCACACACACACCCAGGCACTCACTCCACACACACACCCAGGCACTCCACACACACACACCCAGGCACTCACTCCACACACACACCCAGGCACTCACTCCACCACACACACACACCCAGGCACTCACTCCACACACAAACCCAGGCACTCACTCCACACACACACCCAGGCACTCCACACACACACACCCAGGCACTCACTCCACACACACACCCAGGCACTCACTCCACCACACACACACACCCAGGCACTCACTCCACACACACACCCAGGCACTCACTCTACACACACACCCAGGCACTCACTCCACACACACACACCCAGGCACTCACTGCACACACCCAGCACACACACCCAGGCACTCACTCCACACACACCCAGACACTCACTCCACACACACCCAGGCACTCACTCCACACACACCCAGCACACACACCCAGGCACTCACTCCACACACACCCAGGCACTCACTCCACACACACACACCCAGGCACTCACTCCACACACACACCCAGGCACTCACTCCACACACACCCAGGCACTCAGCACACACCCAGGCACCCACTCCACACACACCCAGGCACTCACTCCACACACACCCAGGCACTCACACTGGGGGTCTCACTGCCCCCCACAGCAGGGTCTGGGTGCATGCAGGGCCCCCACCTGGCAGGTGAGGGCAGAGTGGGCACATGGCCCCAGCCCACGGGGTGGCCTCACACCGATCCCTCTTTCTGTTCATCCTCCTCTCCTTGATGCCGGCCTCTCAAGCTGTCTGCACAGTTGGGCTCCTCCCTGATGGGGACATGGTGGCTCTCCAGGGCTTCAGGGCTGGACACTGCCCTTTCTACAGCATGCGTTGTTTAAATGACTCCAGGGCACCATCAGTGTCCTGCACCGCGACTGGCTCACAAACGGGGCTGAGTGGAGAGGGTGGTGCATCACATGGGCACATGGGCACAGCTCCCACCCACCCTGTGGGTCCAAGGTGCAGGGTGGGGTAGTCCTGGTGGCCTGAGGCCAGAGTCCCCGCGGAAGCTGTGCCCACCTCCCTCTGGACCGGATGCTTTTGGAGGGGCTGCCTCCAGCTCGGCATCCATGGGCCCTGTTGCCCACTACCCAGGCCTCCTCATGGCCCCTTGACCCCAGAGCCCCACACCCACCCCCTCCCAGCTACTCTCCTGCCACCCTTGCTCATGCAGCCTCAGAGTGGCCGCCAAGATCAAGGAGAGCCAGAGGTCAAGGTAACCTGTGGGTCACCCAGCTGTAGGGACAGGCCTGGAAAGCCGAGCCGGTGTTGCCGGCTCCACGACCCATCCACAAGCTCCCACCTCCAGCGTCCTGGGGGACTCGAGCTTGTTCTCCTTGGGAAGTTTGTTCACCATCCCAGGCTGGATGGCGCAGGGGGAGGGGTGGGAAGGGCAGGTGTCTTTGGACTTCCATCCGTGGAGCCTGGGGGACAGCCCCTTGTCCCTCTGCTGTGTGCTGCTGAGGCCCTGCAGGAACAGGGAAGGTGCCCACACAGCCACCCAGGCTGGCCCTGCAGAGTGGGCTGCACCAGCTGTGGGCCCAGGGTTCTGATGCCCTCACAGCCCCCTTCTGGGAGTAGGCAGGGGGCCCCCATCTGTGAAGTGGGGAAGGCAGGTGCTGAGGCCTCAGGGGTGAACCCCAGAGCAGGGTGGCCCTTCCCAAGGACTCACTGCCACCTGCAGAAGGCCCCGCAGCCCAGCCTGCCCAGGGAACAGGGGCCAGCAGGTCAGGACAGTCACGAAAGCCACCAGCCAGCTTGTCCACAAAGGACCACCTGCCCTCCAGAGTAGGGCCAGCCAATGGGGTCCAGTCACCAGCCCCTGCTGCTATTACTGAAGGGGGCCCAGCGCCATGGAGCCAGGGTGTTGGGGCCTCCCGTGGACGCTGCTGGGGGTGGAGGAGCAGGGGGCTTGCATCAGCCCTGGTTGCGACAGCACTGCCCGGGGACGCAGAGCCAGCTGTGGGCACAGTGCCCACCGTGAGTCCCTGGAGCCTGAGGAGGGGGAGGGAAGGAACAGCTAATGAGTTCCAGGAGGTCAGCTGTGAGGGGCCCACAAACCCATAAACCCTTTATTGGTGTCTCAGGAGGGGAAACCCGGATGTGGCCGTTTATTTATTTTGGATTTCACTTTTCTCTTCTCTTTATAACATGCACTTCCAGGAGTGTAACTGGATTTTTAAAGAAACAGGACTTCCTTTTTCAGTGCAGGGGACTCTCTGTTTTTCTCAGTCCTGAAGAAGAAAGGAACCCTTATTTTTTGTAAAGTTCCAACCACTGACCCTGTAACAAACTTTACCCATGCAAATTATCCCCTCTGTCTTAGGGCCCGAAACCAGGCCTGCTCCAGCCCTGAAGCTAAGAGGGCAGGTTTGTGGTGTGCCAAGTGTGTGCACTGAGCCCCAGGTCTGCTGCCCAATCCTGGGCCAGGGCCAGCACCCGACAGAGGGCATTGGGGCCAACAGAGGACTGACCTGGCACTCCAGCCCAAGGCTGTCACCCCTGTGGACACAGCCCCAGCAGGCATGACCCTCGGGGCTGGGCACGGCAGAGCCTGGAGGCAGCCTGGTTGGGAGAGCAGGGCCTGGGTTCCAGGCCTGCCTCAGCGCCTGCCTGGCCCAATGAGCCTGTGACATCATGGGATCCCTTCCACACCAACTCCCCATGAGGCATGCCCCAGGCCATCTGGGGGTGCTGGAAGCAGGCTGTCTGGGGCTGGTGGACGGTGTTCCTCTCCCAGTGCTGCTCTCTGTAAGAGAGAACTCTTAGATTCAATCCTTTCCTCCAGAGGGCCCATTCGCAAGGGAACAAAAGGTCCCTGCCAACTTTCCCATAGAAAATGTCTGTTTCCTGGGTAACCTTCCCTGATTTTTAACCTGGAGCTTATCCCTCCTGACCTGTACCCATGGGGTAGGGAGTGGGTGACTAAGGAGGGAGCACATTGGGGCAGCCTACAGCCTACAAGGAGGACAGACGGTGGGGATAGTGATGCCAATGCCACAGGCTTGTTGGGATTGAGACAGCAAGTGTACCCAGCTCTCAGGGCCTGTGCCTGTACGAGCTCAGCAGATCCTGAGTGCCAACAGCAGAAGGCAGGTGCCAGAGAGTGCAGGGGATCATGGCTCATGAGACCTGGAGGAACACTGAGAAGGGGTTTGCGGGGTAGCTCCTGGGATGTCACCTTAAAAGATGTAGGGAGTCCCCCATTGAGGATGTTGATGGGGCCATCTGCTGCTCTGTAGCTGGATGGGGACTTGGCCCTATGCTCCTCCTTAAGCTGTCACTCTGGCTGCAGATATTGGATAGACCTGGGTGAGGCCAGGGGTCCTGGCCCAGGGCAGTGCCCTTCCTGACGCTGCCAGCTCTTAGGGGAATTCAGAGTCCTTCCCAGAGGCAACCCTGTGCTCCCAGAGGAGGGCTGGCCTGACCTCACTCCCTGCCAGGAGGCCACAGGTTCTGCCTCCTGGGATCTCTGCAGATGGAGCAAGAGACACTGAAGAGGGAGGAGGATGTGGCGAGGCTGGGGGCTGAGAAGGAGCAGCTGGACCAGTCTCTGAACAGCCTGCACCAGGAGGTGGACGGAGCCCTGAGGCAAAATCAGCAGCTGCAGGTCAACTGGGCCAGTGGAGCTCTGCATACCCCAGGCCTGGGGGCAGACCTGGGGTGGGATCCAGGAGGGTGTCAGTTCCAGAGGGGTGGCTGGTGTACCTCCATCTCACACGTGCACACATGGGGAGGGTGGCTGGACCAGCTTCTGCATGTGATGGATACAGACTCAGACCAAGGCCCCAGGCAGAGCTGGAACCAGGACCCAAGGCTCCTGCCCTTCTTGAGACATTGAAGTCCCCATGGGAGCCAGGCCCGGGCTCTGTAGAGCAGCACAAGGGCCAGGTGAGGGAGGTCAGAGAGGCCTGTGGGGCATGGCCAGAGGCTGCTACCTGCTTGTGTTAGGGCGAGGAAATCCCCTGAGGCCTAGGGGCCTGACACCCACAGAAGGGGCCTCAGAGGCTTCATTCATCCTGTCCACATTGGACATACCCCCATCCTCAGAAACCAGCAGGGGATGGGGGCAGGATGGGCAAGAATCAAACTTCGATGCCCTCCGGACACCCAGCCCAGCCAAAAGGAACCTGGGGTGCCATGAAAACAGATTTTAGGCCCACCCTGGAGGCTGTGGCTTAGTCTCCAGCCCAGCCAAAGCCAAACCCAAGGCCCACGGGCTGAACATGTGCACCTAACCCCAGGTCTGCTGGGCAGTCCTGGCCAGGTCAACACCGGCAGAGGGCAGTGGGGCCCACAAGGACAGGTGAAACACCCTGTGGCACTCCTGCCCTGGGATTCTGTGCGGCCCTCAGTGAGAGACAGCAGTGAGATGCCCAAGTTCTCACTCCAGGCCCAGATGACAGAGATGGAGCAGGCCCACACCCAGCGGCTCCAGGACCTGACAGCTCAGCACCAGCGGGACCTGGCCACAGAGGCAGAGCGTCTCCATGGGGCCCGGCCGCAGGCCACGCAGGCCCTGGAGTCCCAAGAATGGACCCACCAGCAGCAGGTAAAGGTGCTGGAAGAGCAGGTAAGGTCGGGACCCCAGCCCCCTGGGTGAGGGAAGAGGCAGGGACAGAGGACTGGCATCCCCGCAGTCACCCAGTAGGGGTGACTTCTTGAAGTCCTCTAGCAACAGGGGCTCTCCACTGCCACCCAGTGGGCTCCAGACCTGCTCCGGGCACTGCCTGCACTTCTTTGCTCTCGACGGCACGAGGTTTATCCCACTGGGAGGTGAAGTGTGGATTCTGGGGCAGGTCACCACCCTCTCTGAGCCTCCATTGCCCTGTCTCTAAAGTGGGGTAGTGAGGACAGCTCCTGTCAGGGGTCACTGGGCGACTGAGCTGTCATTATGTGTGAGGTGCTTAGACAGCACCCAGCATGCACAGTTGTAGCAGAGGTGGCCTCTGCACCTGTCCTTCAGAGTCACAAAGGGAAAACAATGGCACACGTGGCATCTGTGGGGATGAGGTGGGCACAGTGAGGTGGATAAGGAAGCATAGCCAAGCCTTGGGCGTGTGTGTGCACTGCACACCCACACATGCATATGTACACGTGACAGACCTGCTGGGCTGAACCACTGAGCCTTAGAGCTCAGAGCTATCAGGACCTTAGAGCTGTCTGTTCATTTTACAGATGAGGAAACTGAGGCCCAGGAGGTGACCTGACTGCCCAGTGTCATCCCCAAGTTAGGGTCCCCAACCACCAAGGCACTTTTGCTAAATTTATTAGCAAAAGGACATTTATTTATTTCCTTATCATTCTGAGTGTTTTGTTTTGTTTTGTTTTGTTTTGTTTGAAATGGATTCTCACTCTGTCACCTGGGTTGGTGTGCAGTGGCGCGATCTCGGCTCACTGCAACCTCCACCTGCTGGGTTCAAGCGATTCTCCTGCCTCAGCCTCCAGAGTAGCGGGGATTGCAGGCACCCACCACCATGCCTGGCTAATTTTTTGTATTGTTAGTAGAGACGGGGTTTCACCATGTTGGCCAGCCTGGTCTCAAACTCCTGACCTCAGGTGATCCTGATGCCCAAGGCCCACCTCGGCCACCCAAAGTGCTGGGATTACAGGCGTGAGCCACTGCACCCAGCCTCATTCTGAGTGCCTGAACAGAAGCGGGCCCATCCACCAAGGGTGCGCGGTGGCCATACTCCTGAGGCCTCCACAGGTGGGGGATCCGTGGTGAGAGGTGGAACTGCGCATCCCTCTCTGGCAGCAAAGGAGTCAGTCTGACGTCTGCCTGATGTTTCTGTCCCATGCATGCCACCTCTCCTTGGGAGCTGTGGACCATGGCCTCCAGCCCTTCCTGTCACAGAGCCCTCCATGCCTCTATGCCCTGGGGCCCTGGCCGTGCAGCCTGCCCACCTGACCTGAGCCACTGTCCTGTCCCCAGGTGGCCAGCCTGAAGGAGCAACTGGACCAGGAAGTGCAGTGGCGGCAACAGGCCCACCTCGGCCAGGCCTTCCAGACAGGACAGTGAGCCCTGCTGCATACCACCCAGCAGCCTAGCTGCCTTCAGCCCTGACTGGCCAGGGGCAGGCGGCCCTGGGGAAGGTGCTGGAGGCCCTAGGCTGCTGGGGGAACCACTGTTGGGAAAACCAATGCCTTGTGCTCTGCACAAGAGGGACAAAGCTCAAATGGGGTGGGCACGATGACAGCAGAAAGCACAGGGTGCAGGCAGCCACCGCCCGGGCCACCACTCACTCTTCAGGGTCCTCAGGCAGTGGCACACTCTGAGCCCGCTGACCGCAGAGCTCCTCCCACCCCTGGAGACTCAGCCTGCAGCTGGTGCTGGACCATGCTGCGGGTCGCTCATCTCTGACAGCCCCTTCCCCTCCGGCAGAGAGCAGGGGCTTGGGCATCCTCCCAGCCTGCCCCCGCCTGGCACCCTCCCAGCCTGCCCCCGCCTGGCACTCCGTTTCTGCTTTGGAGGAGCTGCTCTGACCAGACCCCCGGGGCCAGGCCCTGTCAGGCTGGCTTCCCCGGCTTCATTCCGTGCCCTCAGCTCTGTAAACACGGGAAAACACGTGGGAAACATTTCCACCAACCGGAGCCAAAAACATAATGTCCTGCAAGGCCAGCCACCACATCCCCACGCCCAGCGGCTGTGAGCCTCCGCATCCAGGAACTGCGGCCGTCACGGTGGCAGGTGGCTGGAAGTGACTCAGATTCAAGTCCCCGTGACTCACTGGCCGCCAGAAGAAGGGGAGTGTAACACTTAAAGCTGTTACAGAGCCTCCCATGTTCCCGGCCTGGAAATGCTGGGAACGGTCCTGTGGGACTCCGGCTGGGTTGCTATGGAGACCCAGGCGGCCATCTTGGGCCTGTGGCGTGGGCCACCTGTGTCCATCTGCACCCCTCGTCTCCATCACCGTTGCTCAGAGTGACTTGTTCTCCTCTCCAAAGGGCCGCATGCTTTATAGGTGGTCATTTGTGATATCTGTGGGGCACCAGCCAGCCCAGTGAATCCCTGCATGTGCCACAGGGGCCTCCCGTCCCAGTCGCAAGGACTCTGGCCTAAGGGTGCAAGGCCAGAGGCTCCCGGCCCCCACCCCATCACAGTTACTGTGAGCCTTGGCTGAATGTGCAACAGTGTCTATTTCAAGATCACTCTGGGACTTAAAATAGTCTGTCCTGGCACACCTGGTTTTCTGGTGGATTTAGTAATGGAGTTACCATATGCTGTAAATCATGCAAAATCAATAACTCAAGAGAGGTGGGCATATAGGCTCCTTCCTGTCTGTTACCTCTGCCTGATTGTTGGTGGCTGTGTTGAGAAGGATTCTGAGGCTCAGCCTGGGCTCTGAGGGGAAGAGCTTGGTGACCCATGAGTGGATGTTACTCTGGGCAAAGGAGGAGTCAGTGGTGGCACAGGTGCCCCGATAGGCACCCCCTGCCATGGCCAGTCAGGGGTGGAGGACAGCAGGCAGGCCTGCCCCCACTGCTGGAGAGTGCTCTGCCAGATGGTGGGTGGAGGGGGTCACTGAGAGGCAGCGTGTGGTGCTCAGGGCCTGGCACTTAGTAGGCATGTCCCTTCCCTGCCTTCCTTCCCCATTCGCAGTCTCCTCATAGAGGGGGCCTCCCGCTCTGCAGCCCAGCAGAAGGGCCTGAGGGATGGCCAGGGCGGGAGGGAGGAACAGAAGTTCAAGGTTCCCAGTTGTGGGCAGGAGACTCAGCATCGGTCCCTCCAGCCCCCGGCAGCAGGAGCCCCCATGTGTCCCCGGGAATGCGGTGTCCACGCCTCCCTCTTTGCATCCCTGCAGCGCCCAAAGGGACTGAAGCTCCCAGCACAGGGGAGGCGCCCAGCGTGGCTGCAGAGGAAGGGAACGCACCGCAGGTGGGAGGGGCCCAGCTGATTTCTCAGCGTCACAGTGAAAGGCACCCGTGATGAGACAGCTCGCTCTCGGCAGTTTCAGGACCCTCCTTGCCCTGGCTGCTCATGGGGAACATTTGAAATGCATGTGGGGGCCTCCGAATTTTGAATTTTAATAAATAGTTGAATCAGCGTAGGAGATGCTATTTTAACTTATTCAACATAGAGACATGTATTTAGGAAAAGAGGATTTTTCTAGTGGAAATACATTGGCATTTTCTTAAACATGTCCAGCGGTCGTGTGTGGGCCTCTGTGTTCCGGTCTCATGATGACTGAGAACCGTGCTGGGGTTTGGAGAGCTCTCCCTCTGTTCTCGCAGCAGCCCTTTGAGCACCTGGTTTGCAGATGAGGAGGAAGCCTTGCTTTGGGACAAGTCTGCACCAGGTCGACAGGAGGGGTCAGGCCCAGGGACCCGACAGCCCAGGCCAGGGCTCCCCCTCCACCGGCCTCGCCCCAGACCCATCTGCCCAGTGAGGGGGCAGGCAGAGCCGTGTTAACCAGAGGATATGCCCCAGATGCTGGGGTCCCCCTGCCCCTTCATGGAGGCAAGGCCAAGGGAAGAAAGGGCTGGACCCCTTCCCACGCACTCCCCAGAGTCAAGGGGAAAAGACCATGCGTGGCCTCCAGCCCAGGCCTGCCTGCACGGGGGTCCCAGCTGTGCCCCCACCAGCTGTGCAACCCAACCCTGGACAGATTCTTTAGGTTTTGGTTTCCCTGTCTATAAAGTGGGGTGACCCCAGCCCCAGAGGGCCATGGTGTGTCCTACGTGAAGTATCGCCCAGGCTGAGGCCAGAAGCACTCAGCTAACGGTGGAGGCACTGTCACCTGCAGCAGCCACGGCTCTGGGAGTGCCATGTCCATCTCCTTGCTGCCATCCCCAGCCACGGTCCAGCAGGGCCAGGGTACTCGAGGGAGCAGCCCCTGAGGCCAGCCTGGTGGAGGCGGCGCAGATCCGTGATGTTCCCAAGGGGAGGGTACTCTCAGGGTCTACCTCTAGAACCCACAGAGAGTCTGGGTGTCAGTGAAAACTCAGAGGTGGCTCTCAGGCCTGTCCCTGCAGGGGATGGACCCCCAGAACCACCTCATGGAGCTGGAGCCACACATACGCTTGCGACCTTGGAGGCCTCCATGGTCTGGCTCTTCCTCTGCCTGCCCTCTCCGGTGGGCAGAGGTGATAAATGTGCCTGAGGTTTCCGAAAGCCAGGAGACCCTCCCCCACACAAGGCAGGGATGCAGGCAGGGGCCCAGCTCCTGTCTGAGACAGAACACAAAATCCCTTCGGATTCCTGCCACCCTTGAGGCTCGCCGAGGAATGTGGGGCACGCAGGGGCTGTTGGAGGGTCCCATCCAGCCTCTGGCCAGGAAGCTCCGACGCTCTGACAGGCCCTCAGGTGCCTGGGTCCGGGGGCAGCACCCTTTGCAGGCATCCAGGGGTTGCAGACCAACACAGGGAGGGGACAAATGGGAGAGGAAGGCCCCCTGGGGAGGGGGCACTGGAGGAGGGGCCATGTTGAACGCAGACGGCGGCACCCAAGGACAGGCCAGCCCTCTGAAGCACCCCAGGTTGAGGGAAGCACAAGCTTTGGTTGGCTGAAGCCGGGGCAGGAAGCCGGCCAGCTGGAACCAAGGGCATTGTTTATCTGGGCTTCCAAAACATTCATACTTTTCAAATTAATTGCAAAAAATGTTAGCAGGGAAACATAGAAAGGAGAATGTAACCACCACCATAATCTGTGACCTGCAGAGCCCCGAGGTGACACCCAACTCTCCCTTTTTCTAGCACACGTGTGCTTAGGACGGTTGAGGCCATAGCGTGGATGCTACTCAGAGTACTATTTTTTAAAACTTTTGCTTGACACAATACCGTTAGAGTTTTCCCGAATCACTAAAAACGTCTCAGAGCATGGTTTTTTTGCTGCGGAAGCTCCGGGGCATCGGAGGACCCTGGGCCTGAGTGTCCCTCCACTGCTGGCTGTCCCTGCCATCCTGGAGCCCACAGAGAATGGGGCTCTGTCCTGTCTTGGGCACTCAGGAGATGGACAAGGCTCTCAACGGGAGGCAGGGTCTCGTCATCCCCAGGACAGGGAGAGCCGATGCCTGAGCCCACGCAGCAGTGAACATCCTGGGAAGGAAGTGTTGAACCCCAGTCCCATCGTTTCCCTAAGAGCAACCACAGAAGTCCCGTCATGGGAGTCAATGTGTGTGCGGCTCCGTGTGCATGAGAAGAGGAGGTACAGGGCAGGCTGCATGGCCCCCACACTCCCTCAGGGCCAACTGCACCAAGACCCCAACCAGCCACACAGGACAGTGACCAGGTGAGCAGGTGGAGCGGCCCTTGGTCCCTGTGACCTCCTGGCCTCATTCCGGAGCATGTGGAGGTTTACTTGGGATCAGCGCTTCTGGGGCAGGGGACCTGCACTCCACCTGCCACTTCTGGGAGAGAAGGAGAGAAAGTTAGGGTGGGCTACAGCCAGCCAGCCCCTGCCCCTGGCAGCTCAGGCCTGAACCCCCAGGATCTTCCACCCTGTGAAGACCAAACAGGCCCAGCCAACCAGGTGCAGGTTGGGGAGGGCACCCCCACCTTGGCCTGCGTGGAGCCCCGAGTCCTGGGGCATCCTGAGGGCAGCTCCCGGGGCACCCCATCTAAATTGCACACACGCTCAGGCCCTAAATTAAAATGTCACAGGCCGGTTGGGGAGGCTCGGGTTTCCTGGCCACAGAACATGAGCCTGCTTGATAAAACAATTTTGGTTTTGATAAATGTGGATTTTCTGTGGCAGAGACAAAGGCGCCCTTGAGTCCAGAGGGGAGCCTAAAACAGCACATTGCTGAAAAGTATTTCCTGATAATATTTTTAGCACCTGAGAAAAACATTTTTTTTTCTCTTTTTTGCCTGCAGAGTTGTGTTGTTTTTTTTTTGTTTTTTTTTTTTTTAATGAAATGTAATGCCCAGCAGCAGCGGGGCCTTTTGTTAACCCCCAGCTCCCCGGGCCCGGCTGAAAATCTGCACAGGGTGCAGGCCGAGGCTGGTCAGCAGGGTACAGGCCCGAGGAAGTGTGGCCTCTCTGGGCCATGAGCAGGGTCTGGCCCACTGCCAGCCACGCCCCAGGCCCATGAGCTCTGACTCTCTGGGACGAGGACGGGCCTGAGCGTTTCCAGCACTGCTCAGCGACCCCCGTGAGGCCCACCAGCCCACCCGCCTGAAGAAACAGGCCTCCACTCGGTGCAGCCACTGAGTGCCACTGTGTGCCCCAAGGTGCCCTGGGCGGCCCTGCCCCCAAGTTGACCCAAACCCAGCCCAGAAATGGGTTGTTACCCAGGTCCCTGTCTTGTGTGCTCAAGAGAAGGTCAGCAGTGGGGAGAAGGGCGCCTGGCCTGGGCAGCTGGCTGGGAGGCAGCACCCCAGGCTGGGCTCTGAGAGCAGAGCAGGAGCATGTGGTGGGAAGTGGATGGGTAGTAGGGACAGGGCAGGAGGTGGGCCAGCCCTAGTGGGGGTCAAAGCCTCACGTCCCCATGACAACACCTCTTCAGCGGAGAAATCCTGCCCTGGGGTTGGCACTGCCGCCTCCCACCTTCGCAAACTCACCGGAGGGGCCTTCCAGCCAGGCCCCAAATGCACTGAAAAGAGGGTAGAGGGCTGCCAGGTTTTTCTAGAAAAAAGACAAATAGAAAAGCGTTCTCCCTGATTCCCGCCACGGTGACGCCTGGCAGCTCTGTTCCCAACGCTGCTACATGGGGCCTTGTCCTGACTCCACGGCCTGTGCCAGCCAGAGGTGGGAGCAGCCCTCCCTGACCAGGGAGGCCAGGGCTGGGCTGAGGAAGGGGTTAAAGCATGTTCTTGAGGCCCCACGTATGGGCATATGCTGCCTCCGTGCATGTGAATAAGTATGCATGTGTGCGTGGACGTGTGTGCATGTGCGTGGAGACATGTCTCTCCTTGCCAGGCTCTCACCGAGAGCCGGCCTCAAGTAGGGATTCTACAGTTCCACGCCCTCTCTGGTGCCTCCCTCCAAAGACAGGAGGCCTTGACCTTTCTGGCCCTGGAACCATGGCTGTGCTGCTGTCCTGGAGCTCTGAAAGCTGGGACGGTGACCTAAGGGCTAACTGCGGGACAGAGCCCTTCCCCTCCCAGGCCCAGTTTGCCTCTCTGCAAACAGAATTGCCACCCCATGCAGGGTGGGAGAGGCGCCAGGGGCAAGCTTTCAGGAGGTGCCAGTGCAGGGTCAGCTCCTCCTTAACAATTCTGCACCCGGCCCTGACACCAAGTCTAAAGGGTCATGAACCTCTGAGTGAAAACACCAAGTGCAGGATCTGTGAGAACCGGCAACACCCAGTCACACGCAGAGAACCCTCCGCTGCTTCTTAAAAATAACATTGACTGTGCCTGGCTCTCACTGAAAAACAACACGTGCTCACTTGAGATATTTCAGAAGATACAAACGCAAAGACAAACAAAAAACCACCCAGCACCTCAGTGGTAGATGCAGTTACCATCAGCCCGGCCTTTCCTGCTTGTCTTCGAGGGGTGCACTCTTATCTTTGGGGGCCCCAGTGTGGCACGCAGCCAACACCACCCAACACCAGGATCTAAGAGAAGAGACCACGGTGGGCCGGGTGAGTTCCAGGAATCAGACCCTGCCATGGGCCTGGGGACATAGAGGTGGTCCCGGCTGAGGCCCTGAGGAAGGACAGACAGGCAGCCCAGGCCAGCAGCCCAAGAGACAGGGGGCAGGGCTGGCAGGCCACAGGGTGGGGACCCTGAATTCAAATACTGGGACTCAGAGTCCTGCCCCCACCTGCCAAGGCCGGTGTCATGCACGCACTTGCCCCCAGGGCCTGAGTGGGTCAGTCTTCCCCACGGAGGGTTTGCTTTACCCAGGGGTCGCCCCGAGGTCCCGAGCCTCCCAGGAATTTCTCCTGATGCGGCCACGCAGATGCAAACACTTTGTTCCATGCCTCCTAGTCTCCGGCCCGGGCTCTTCCTCACACAGACCCAGGCAGGGAGTGGGCTCCGGGGTTAGTCTGCCCCTGTGGCTGGAAGCCTGGCGTCCCCATGCTCAGGGCTGGGAAGGGGGCAGCACGGAACGGGTTCATTCAGGCACTGCCTGGCCAGGGTCCCCTCCCGCCCCCCGCGTGATGACACGCCTTCAGGGCGGGCCCAGCGTCTCAGGCCTTAGGGACACAGGTCTGTCCCAGGACGGCACTGAGGGCCCAGGCGCCTCCACCAGGGTAGGGACCCAGGGCGGAGCATGGCCCCACCACAGGGCGCGCGCCCGCAGAGCCCTCACCTTGCCTGTGCCCACGCCAGGGGACTGAGCTCCCCGCGCGCCCGCGCCCTCCCACGGGGCCTGGCGCTTTAAGAGACGCCCGATTTGCATGGCCCCGCCCCCCCGAGTGACCGCCGGGCTGGATATTTAAATCGTGGCCCCAGGGGCGGGGCTGGCCCCGAACGCGGTCCCGCCCGGCGCTTTCCTCTGCGGAGCTGCGGCGAGAGCGCGGCCCGGCCGAACGGGCGCGGGACGCGGAGCCCCCGACGGCGCGGCCAGCGGGCGCGCCCGCGCTCCCCGCACCCCGCCTGGCCCTGCCGGCCACCCCCGCGCGCAGCCTAGTCCCCCAGCGCCCTGCTCCGCCAGCGCCCCGTCCCGCCCGCACACCTCCGCGATGCGGCACGGCGTCGCCTGGGCGCTGCTGGTGGCCGCGGCCCTGGGGCTTGGGGCGCGCGGGGTGCGCGGCGCGGTGGCCCTTGCCGACTTCTACCCGTTCGGCGCCGAGCGCGGCGACGCCGTCACCCCCAAGCAGGACGACGGCGGCTCGGGGCTGCGGCCGCTCTCGGTGCCCTTCCCGTTCTTCGGTGCCGAGCACTCCGGACTCTACGTGAGTAACCCCCGGGCTCGCGGGGCGCCCGGGAGGGGAGGGAGCTGCGCCCCGGCCGCTGCCCGCCGGGCCCGGACTCCCGCCGCCGCCGCCAGCCACTTGGCACCGGGGCGGCCCGAGGTGGAATGAGGACAGCGCTTCCTCCTCGGCGGCCAAGGCCGGACAGCGGCCCGCGGGAGAGGCGCGCGGGCGGGGCGGGGGCGGCAGCCGCCGGGCACCGAGGCGGGGGCGAGTGGAGCGCGGCGCCCCGGCCCCTGCCAGACCTGCCGAGCGCGTCTTCCCGGCGCCTGATTCCCAGGGGAGAGCAGGGGTCCTGGTACTGCCCTGGTTTTCACACATGGCAATGTGGCCGTGGGCACGGGCTTCCCGGGCCTCAGTTTCCCAAGTGGGGCGCCGGGCCTGCGAAGGTTGCAGCCCCTCCTTGGGCCATTTCAGCCCCGCCCCCCGTGGACGCCAGTGCGGCCCAGAGCCAGGAGGCTGGACCCCTTGCCCAGGCGCTCAGGGCAGGGCCTGCTTCTTCGCTGACCCTCCTAGGCGGGCTAGCAACAGGCTTGCCCCTCCCTGCCGTCCTCTCCGCAGTCTGGGGGCTGGCCGCTCAGGCTCAGACTCTCCAAACAGGACTCCCAGTGGGACTCCTGGGGCCAGGGACTCATGACAGCAGGCTCAGCTCAGCTGAAGGAACAGGCCCGAGTGCCGGTTCTGTCTCCATGGCTCCCAGAGTGTGACCCCAGGCCAAGCCCTTATGGCAGCCCAGGGAATGAAATGCACCTGGTAACTGCATGGAGCACTCGCCCTGAGTAGGCCACGGTGCACTGGTACCTGGTGGTTCCCTGAAACACCCCAGATCATATCTAGAAAACTGCTGGGCCAGCCTCAAGTAGAGTCCCCTCCAGCTCCGTCACCACGGCCACCTCCACCATCAGCCCTCTCATACCCTCGCCCACCTCCAGCCTCAACCCACTGCCAGCCACATCGCCTCTGCCATCTGTGCTGCCCGGAGTAACACCACCTGTACTGCCAACTCCTCCGTCAACACCACCTCCTTCAACCCCACCACCAGCAGCACTGCCTCCACCACCACCTTCCCCATGGTCCCCAGCTTCCCGTCGTCACCATCCACATCCTCTGCATGGTTGTCATCATCCCTCCCCACCTCCATCCACAGGGCCTCCTCCACCACATGCCCTCTAGTGCGCCTCCCACCCCACAACTGCCAACACCATCCACAGCGCCCACTGCGTTTTCCACACCTGCTCAGGAAGGCCTCCCCACCTCGGTGGCAGCACTGGGTGACCTGACTGGTGGGAGGGGCAGCCATGCTGTCGGTGCTACCCCCTGAAAGTCCCTCTGGACCGGGACTTGGACAGAGGAACGGGACTGACTCCTGGAAGTACGAAGTGGGTAGGACAGAATGGTGCTCAGCGTTGGCCCGAGCTGGAGGAGGCCTGTCCACTTGAGGTATGGGACACTCACATTGGCACCATCCGAACAGAACTCAAGAGGCTCCTTAAGCATTTGGGCCAGGCTCAGCTTTCCCACTCACAGTCACAGGTGAAAATATTATTAAAATGGTTAACCCACTTAACAGCCTCACCAAAAACATCTGCCCTTGCCAGAGCAACTAGGGGAAACAGCTCTAACGTGGGAAGATCTGCTAGGAGAACTAGGGTTTCGTCAGAAATGAACCTTCTGGCTGCTAACAAAACATTTATCTCCATCGGAGCTTTTTCCTGAAACAAAGATATTATTTGAAAACCATTTGCCGATGTGGACACAGTGCCTGCAGTGCACTTCACCTTTCTGTTTGCTCAGCAGGAGGCTTGAGGCTGCGTTGCCCAGGACACCTTGCCTGAAGTAACTGTGCGGACTCTGTGGTCAAGCAGGGAGAGAGAAAGGGGTGCTTGGCAGCAGGTTAGGGCTGAAGCCAGGTGGAAAGAAGGGAGGCATTTGTTCTGAAGGAAGTGGACCTGCCTGGGGCCTCCCACGCCCACCCAGGCCGAGCGGACCCTCTTCTGAGGCCCCTGGCTCTGGCCCTTGTCCAGCTCCAGTCTATAGGGGCCTCGTGTCTGCTGGCCCTGGACTCAGACTCCCATGTCAGGCCCAGCCAGGACCCTCCAGCCCCCATCCCACTGCAGTGACCTCTGCGCTCCTCCGCCCCCAGCCTGTCGCTTGACCAAGAGTAGGCTTGTTGTCTGAATGAATGAATGTGCCTCCCTCTGACACTGCCTGCAAGTCACAGGTAGAAATTAGAAGTGCTCTTGCATGAGATGGGTGCTTCTTCTGTCTTCATCAGAAATAGCACATGGATTACTGCCCTAGCAAGACAGCTCTGCCACACATGGAGTGGCCCCCTTTCCAGAAGGGACCCATTGTTTTGCTTCTTTCTCATGTCATAGTAGCTGTATGTGTGTGGTAAGTCGTAAGGCTCTGAAAAGTGTTGAAAGTGCATTTTATTGCTAAGGTTCTACACACAGACAAAGATAATGCAGCCGAGGAGCGTGGCGCGCCGAGGAGTGTGGCGTGCTGAGGAGTGTGGCATGCTGCCGCTATCCTGCCATGCAGGAACTGCCAGTGTCTGCATTAAGACGGAGCTTGCCGCGGTCTGTGGGGCTTATGCAGGTGGAGTGGTTTCCTAGGGGCAGGTGCAGGGAATGAGAGACGAAATCTTCCTGGTGCCCCCTACACTGAAGCTCCTGGCTCCAAGCACTGCCCCCATCCACAGCATGGTCTCTGGGCCATGGGAGGATCTCAGTTTCTTTGGCATCAGGACCCCCGACAGAGCCCTGAGCAGAGGCAGGGAGGATTTGAGGGTCAAGAGTGGGTGGTGCCCTGCAGAGCCCGCAGGCAAGAAGGAGGAATGTGGACAGTCAGACTGACCCTCGCTGGTGCTGGCTAAACCCCCACTCTGTGCCCTGAGGCTTCGTGCCACACCGCAAGTCTGCTGGCTCTGGCTCTGCACAACATTACCATCCAGGCACAGTCCCGGCCCTACCCCTCCCAGAACACGGAGCCCAGGGCAGCTGCTCTGGTGTGGGAGTTCACATGCAGCCTGTGACCTTTGCCTGGTCATTTCCTCCCTGAGCCTCTGTCTCCCCATCTGTGTGGTGAAGCTCCCCCATCAGGTCATACCTGTGACACACCCCATCACTGTCACGGTTGTGTGGTCGCCAGCTCCAAGCCATCTGGAAAATCCACCCTGACCCACAGGGACTGTCTCAGTGGGACCGAGGCCTGCGCATGAGTGGATCTGGGAGCAGACATGTGGGGAGAAATCACTGCCATCTCTGCTCTCTTCTGAGCTCATGGAACACCCCAGCAAATGCAGGAGCCCCTTGGCTGGGAGGAGGGTCCTGGGCTTCCCCTTGGCTGCCCTATTCACTGAGGTTCCCGGGCTGGCCCACCCCCTGCTATGGGCTTGGCCAAGGTGGTCCTGCCCCTCATCAGCATGCCCTTCTTGCTGCTGCCTGGGTGTGACGGAAGCAGATGGAAGGGGATCCTGGGGAAGTGGAATGGGGCTGGAGTCGAGGAGGATGCTGGAGTGAGAGAGCCTGATGACTCCAGGTCAAGGCCATGAGCCCAGGACAGCTGTGATCTGCCTGGACCTCACAGGCAGCCCCTGAGAGGATGGAGCAGGACGTCATGCCCAGTGCAGATGAGGAAACCGAGGCTCAGAATGCAGATTCAGGGGCCTTCAGACTCCTGCGTCCAGCTGCCTCTTACTGTGCCACCCCAAACTCAGTGGGACCCAAACAGAAGTCCTGCTTCCTCCCTGGCGCCCACCCATCTCCATGAATAAACCCCTGAGAGCCTCCCCAATGCCTCCCTCCTCTCCCTCACCCTCCACGTCAGCAGCAGCTCCGCCTGCCTCTCTACTTGGACCACTTCCCAGCTGTCCATCCCCACTTGCCTGGACACCTGCAGCACCCCCTTGCTGACCTCCAGCTCTTGGCCTTTCCCTCCAGCCTGCCCTCCTCTGTGCAGAGTGACCAAGGGAGCCATACAAAACACCAGTGGGATCCTGTCTCTCCTCGCCAGAATCCCCGCTACGCTTCCCTGCCCCCCTCCGCCCTCCCCCGGGCCCCCCGCTCAGGCACTCCCCCAGCCCCACCCTCTGTGCTCACTGCAGCTTGTTGGTTCTGACCTCAGCTGGGTTGCTCCTTAGTTTTCTTGTTTGGGAGGTGTTGGGATGTGCACCCCATGAAGGCAGGGACCACATCCATCCTCATGCCACCATTCTGGTGTTGGGCTCAGAATAGGCCTCAGACGACAGCCTGGGGCTGCAGTGGTGGTGGTGCCCTGGTGAAGGACTCTCTCTTCCACCCCTGCTGAGGCCAGAGGATGCATGCAGCAAGATGCCTGCACCCTGAGCAGTAAGTCCTCCTGTGCCACATCCACATGGTGGGCTCATGGTCTTGGCCACCAGCACATTTCTGCACCGTGTGTTCCCCAAAGCAGAAGCAGTCCCACCTTCCCTGACAGGGTGAGCCTTAGCCTGGGAGTCAGCTTTTCCACACAGAGATGCAGGACCTGCACACTTCAGCCTCAGCCCACAGCCGACTCCCTCCCAGGACTGGCCTGACCCATGGCACAGGCACAGCTGTTGGAACATGGTAGTGTGGTAGGGGGTCCTGGCTGCATGCTGGGCCCCATAAGGAAAGTCTCTGTCTGCACTGCCCCACCTCTGCAGGTGACCTGCTTAGAGAAGAGACTCACAGGGAAGACAGGTCAGTTTGTGTGATACTGACATGAAGTGTTATCTGTGACACTTCTGTGTGTGATGGGCCACGAGAAGCCATAAGGCTGCACACAGGAGCAGCAATTTGTAAAGGTGACCAAAAAAATGTTGGTTATCATTTATACTGCCCTCTGCCTTCTAACATCTCTGGTTTCTGATGAGCCCTTTCTTGGCTGAGTGAGCTGGAATAGGGCTGGAAGCCCCTGGGCTGGACAGGGCCAGGCTGTCCTATGTGAGGAAGGAGAGAAGCTGATGCATGTATGGAGGGGAAGATCCTGGAGTGGGGATGAGCCTGGGGGTGAGGCTGGCCTCTGCTTGAGGCACAAAATGATCCCCACATCCCACCAGGGGAGCCATGAAGAAAGGAGATGTATATAGGTAGTGGGCACAACACTGATAAAACTGCAGTCTGAGCATTTGTTGTGGCTTCTTGTTCTGGCTTCCTGTGAAATCTTCAGCAAAACCCTTACCACACCTTAATGACTGTGGCCTTGATTGTCTTTCTTGTAAATGCTAAAAAAAAGAAGTGTAGTACTGATTTTTTTTAATCCAGCCTGACAAATCTCTTCCTTTTAATTAGAGTGTTTTAGACCATTTACATTTAATGTAATTATCAATATGGTTGAATTTTAACCTATCATCTTCCTATTTGTTACATCTGTTCTCTATAGTTTCTTCTTTTGGATTTTTAAAAATAATTTCATATTATCTATACTATTGGCTTATTACCTACACCTCTGATTTTATTTTTTTGTGATTATTCTAGATTTAAAACACATTTTTAACATAGTTTACCTTCAAATAATATTATACTCTTTCAAGTATGATATAATAATCTTATAACAGCATACATCCATTTTCCTTCTGGCCCTCATGCTATTGTTGTCATATATATTACTTTACACATGTTATAAACCCAATAATGCACTGTTAACTTTTTGTTTGTTTGTTTTTTTGAGATGGAGTCTCACTCTGTCGCCAGGTTGGAGTGCAGTGGCGTGATCTCGGCTCACTGCAACCTCTGCCTCCCAGGTTCAAGCAATTCTGTGCCTCAGCCCCCTGAATAGCTGGGATTATAGGCGCCCACGACCACACCTAGCTAGTTTTTTTTATTTTTAGTAGAGACGGGGTTTCACCATCTTGGCCAGGCTGGTCTTGAACTCCTGATCTCGTGATCCACCCACCTCAGCCTCACAAAGTGCTGGGATTACAGATGTAGGCCACCATGCCTGGCCAATGTTTTTTTTCTTTAAAACAGTCAATTATCATTTAAAGAGATTAAAATTAGAAAGTCTTTTATATTTACCCACATATTTACTATTTCCAGTCTTCTTCATTTCTTTGTGTAGGTCCAGATTTCTTTTTTTAAAAAATTTTTATTTTTTAAATTTTAGTTTAGTTTAGTTTCTGTTTTTGTTTTTGTTTTTGTTTTGAGATGGATTCTTACTTACTCTGTCATCCAGGCTACAGTGCAGTGGCATGATCTCAGCTCACTGCAACCTCTGCCTCCCGGGTTCAAATGATTCTCCTGCCTCAGCCTCCTGAGTACCTGGGACTACAGGTGCCCACCATCACCCCCAGCTAATTTTTGTATTTTTAGTAGAGATGAGGTTTCACCATGTTGGTTAGGCTGATCTGGAATTCCTGGCCTCAAGTGACCTGCCTGCCTCAGCCTCCCAAAGTGCTAGGATTACAGACCTTAGCCACCATGCCTGGCCCAGATTTCCATTTTTATATCATTTTCCTTCTGCTTGAAGGACTTCCTCTAATATTTCTTATAGTGTAGACCTGCTGGCATAAATTATCACTGTTTTTTTAAAATCTGAAAATCTCTTTATCTTCATTTTTTGAAAGATAGCTCTGCTGGGTGGGTGTAGAATTCCAAACTGACTTTGGATTTTGTTTGTGTTTTAAATTTTTTGAAGATGCTGCTCTGTTGTCTTCTGATTGGCATAGTTTGTAATGAGAAGTCTGCTGTCATTCCCATCTTTGTCCCTCCGCATATGCATCTTTTTTCTCTGATTCCTTTTAAGATATTCTTTTTATCACTGCTTTTCAGCAATTTGGTTATTAGGTGTATTGTTGTAGGGCTTTAAAAATATTTCTTCTGCTTGGTTTCATTAAGACTCATGATTTGTGAGCGTATAGTTTCCATGAAATTTGAAAAAAATCTCAGCCATCTTCACATATTTTTTCTGTCCTTTCTCTCCTCTCTTTTGAAGACTCAAATTGTATGTACATTAAACTTCTTACTATTGTCCTAGAGCTCATTGAGAATGAGAATGAGGCTTTGTTATTTTAAAGTCTTTTTTGCCTGTCCTTCATTTTGAATATTTCTATTGTTATGTTTTCAAATTCACTGATTTTTTTTTCTACACGGTCTAACCTATTCATCCCATTCAGAGTATGTTTGTTTCATCTATTTCACTTTTTACTCCTATAAGTTGTATTTGGATCTTTTCTGCATTTTTCATTTCTTCCCTCATTATGTTGACATTTCCTTTTCTATCCTAGCATATTTTTCATCTTTATAATAATTGCTTTAAAATTACTGTCTACTAATTTCAGCATATACTTTTTAATGCAATACTTTGACTATGTATCTGTGAACAAAAGTGAAAAGAATGGTGAACAATGATGAAACTCCAAGTGTAGCATTGTTTTCCACAGTGGTATGGGTTGGAAATGTTGAGGCTGTTGAGCCAGTGAGTAAATAGATTGAGAATGGTATGCGCTTCTCTTGAAGATACGAGTTGCAGATATGGAAAGGAGGAAACATCAAATGAAACCTGTGGCTTTGTGTTAGATTTGACTTCAGCATATCAGTATAACTTCATAGCACATATTTCCGTGTGTGTATTATGACAGATGGGTGTAGACATGGGTATATACATCTGTGTGTCTACCTACATCCACAGTTCCTAGCTCTGTCCACTGAGAGAAATGGAAGCAATAATACCTCAATAGCAGAGGGCACTTCCATGCTCAGATCTTGGCTGCTAAACACTAGTCTCCACTAAAAAGAACCAGGGTGCCTTGGAGATCCTAGGGTCGTGGCAAGAGAAGTGCAAGATGAGCCTGGAACATCTTGTTGTGCCATAAAGTAAGGAAACACTAGGAGAAGGATGGAGATGGATCAAAAGGACACAGAGGCCCTCCAGAAGGGGCTCCCACTGGCAGTGTTTGGGACAATTGGAGCATTAAAACAAATAATGATAGGTACAGATTCTAATCTATTAAAGGAGAAATCCGTGGCTTCACACTGATGTAAGTAAATAAATGATGAAACATATAAATGAGGGGGAAAACAGTATTGATAGCTTTGCATCAGTGTTAAATTTCCTGCTGTGGGTGACTGTATATGCTTACATGAGAGAATATCCTTGTTGATGGGAAATACTAAAATGTTTAGGGTGCAGAGGGTCATGAGGTCTACAGCTTATTCTCATATCCTCCTGAGTTTTTGGTGATAAGGTGAAGCTAGAGCTTCTTGTCAGAGAAGTGGCCAGCCGGCCAAACCGCGTTCTCCCAGGCAGCTCCCCACAGAAACTTGGTGCATTCATTCACTGTTGACTTACTCACTACTTCATTTGTTCGTTCCTTCAGTCCAAAACCTTGATTGCACCCTTGCTCTGATTTAAGGAGACGGAAGAGCAGCAATGCGTCTTTTTTTAGTATTAAATGTATTTATTTTTGTCTGTTTTGTTCGCTGTGCTGTCAGGCTTCCGGAACAGTGCTACTCCTAGAAGCCGCTCAGTAAATAACTATTGTTCATCTTGTGATCATTGGGATGATATATCCGTAATTCCATCACCCAAAAATAAGTGCTTTTAACATTTTGGTGAAGTTCTTCCTTATCTGTTTTCAAGGGTAGGGTTTTACAAAACAGACTTCGGGTTACCATCTCATATGGGTCTCTGTGTTGCCTATTTCTTTCAATGTTACGCCACGAGCATTTACCCATGCCCTAACTTTTCTGTGAAAACATGCTTTTTCATGACAATACAAGATTCCATTCTATGGCTACACTGTGATTGGTTTAACCGGCCGCTAGTTATTGGCTCTGTGGTGTTTCAGTCTCCTGAATCGATGTGTGTCTGTCCTACACGGGCCTTCGTGCAGGCCTCCCTCTCTTTCCCTCCCTTGCAATAAACTGCCCCACGTGGGCTCACTGGATCCAAGGCAGGGAGCTTTTCAGGGCACCTTCCTTCTGTCTGCCACTGCCCAGAAGGGCATTCGCAGTTACACCCTGCCGTGGGTGAAGGCGGCCGTACCACCTGACTCACTGAGCACAGCCCGGAGGTGGCAGCTCCCCAGCTCTGACAGGTCCGGACCACGTGTGTCTCCAAAGCAGGCTTCTGTGCTGCTCCAGGGCCACCTGGGGGCGTGGCAGGAATGCAGACCACCCAGGGCAGATCCCAAGTGGGGGAACAGAGTCAGTGCCGTGACCAGGGGCTCCTGGGGCTGGCTCAGAGCCCCACCTGGGAAGCACAGCCCCTCCCTCCGAGGGCTGCTCGTGGTGACCCGGGGCACTCCTAACTAACCTACTCTGCAGGCTCCAGTCTCCTCCTGCCTCCTATTCACCACGAAGGGGTGGCCAGGACAAGCTGCCCCCACAGGGTCCCACCTGATAGCACTCCTTGCACTCCTTCTGTCCATGGGCTTCTAGGCCAGACAGGGTGTCCTGGTGTTCTGACTGGTGGTGGGGGTGGAAGCTCTGGGCAGATCCAAGGGCAAGACAGGCTGGAAGGGTCGGGGCCTGGTCACACTGCCGTCTGTCTGCGACCAGGCAGGTGGGACACCCCATACATCATCTACGGGGACCAGCCTCAACACCTAGGTGCCTTGGCATCCATTCTCTTGTTCTTTGCAAAGCAGGGCAAGTCATTCATTCAGCCAGCAGGTGTCAGTTATTAGACACCACTGTGTGCAGCCCCTGCCCTGCTCCCGTGGTGCCCGGGGCTCAGCACATGCTGAAGTCGCCTCTGGGCTCTGCGGGCCAGTCAGGGAGCACCAAGTGGGAGCAGGACTGTGGCCAGCCCAGGCCCCTGACCCCAATGCCTCCACACAGGAGGGCAGCCCAGGATCACACTGTCCTCTGAGCTTGTCCAGGAGCTTGTCAAGGGTCAGGCACGGCCTCTTGGGCCCTCAAACCCATCTTTCAGCAAACATTTCCTGCCATCAGCTCTGGGGTGGGTTGGAGGCGGCAAAGTGGAGCAGGCAAGGCAGCCTTGGAGGCTCACTGGGGGCAGGACATGGGGATGGAGCTTGGGTCCTGAAGGAGTGACGGGGGTGCCCATGAGTAAGACTCTCAGGTATGTGGGGAGTGGGGGACAGACCAGGTTTGCATCTCAAGATTGCATCTCTGATGGTGGTGGCTGGAGGTGACAGTGGCCCAGTGGCCACTGCAGAGATGCAGGGTGACTGTGAGGAGGCCCCTCCCTCTGAGGTGTGGACAGGCTGAAGGCAGCAAGATCTCAAGAGCCCAGGAGGCAGCAGCCCAGGCTGGAGATGGATGGAAAGGGCAGGTGTGGACACCCAGACAGTGTGGGGCCACTGCCTCCAGGCCAGGCACACCCTGGGGCCTCTAGGGGATTGGGCTGTGGCCCTGCTGACCATAGGGACTGGTGGAGCACCTGGCCAAAGTGGGAAGCAAGTGAGGCAAGGAGCAGGCGGCAGGAGCTGCTGTCAACACAAGGAAGCAGAGGGGCTGGTGGAGAGGGAGAGGCTGTGAGGGCAGCAAGAGGGACAGGGCATGAGAAAGGGCACGGGGGCTGGGGGCATGGCCCCATGGGGACAGGGAAGCCACAGGGAGACCCAGCACCTCAGTCTGCAGGAGAGAGAGGACATGGCATCAACACTCTCCTGGGAGCCCCTCCCTTACCCCTCCCCTGTCCGGGGGCGCTGAATGCAGCTCAGATGTCCCCTCCTCCAGGAAGTCACCCTGGCTCTCCCTGGTGGTAGCTCTCTTCCCTCCCACTGGAACAACCCCTTGGGTGACTGCTTCTGTCCCATGTGTGTTTCCCCGGAGGCGTCCCATGTGTGTTTCCCCGGAGGCCTAGCCCAGTATTGCCGTCGGTGGCTGGGCCAGGGGCCAGCCTCCTTCCCTTCAGGGCTGGCGTGAGGCCGCTCAGCAGGAGACCATCCCCTTCAGCCCCGGAGGCCCTGCCCATCCCCCGGCCCAGGACGCCAGCCCCCGCTGTGCCTGTGGGAGGAATCCTAATTGCCCAGAAAGCTGCCAGGAAATAAAAGACATGCCTGCATTTTTCAAAACAAGCTTCTAAAACACCTCGAGGCTGTGCTGTTTCACTCTTGGCAGAGGAGTCAAAGCAGGGAACCGCAGAGCCGCCCTTTGTGATCTAACGTTTGCGGAGCCAGGGTGCTGCTTCCTGGCTCCTGGGGCCCTCGGAAGTCTCTTGGGTCCCTGGCTCCCCTCCAGGCCCACCCTGCCCTGCTCAGAGCAGCCCCTTGGCTCAGGTCCGGGGGAGCAGGCTGTTGCATATCGGCACTTTCAGCCCGAGGTCACCTCCTGGAGGCTCCCCAGACGCTTCAGCTCTTTCCTGCTTTCATCCAAGTCGGAAATGCCACTGGAGCACGTCTCTGTGCTTCCTCCTGAGCCAGCAGAGGGTCAGCCCCGTCCTGCAGGAAAGGCAGGAGAGCCCTGAGTGCCCCTGGCCAGCCCCGCCCCCAATGGAGGAGGGCGAGGAGCCTCCTCCAAGTCCCCAAGTCACTGCAGCTCCAGGTTCCATGTGGCCTGGGGCCTCCCCAGTTAGCAGCTGACCAGCAGCCCAAGAATCTCAGCCTGCTCAGAGGGGTCAGAGCATCCCCTCCATGGCAAGGCCACCGTGAGGCTGGCTGGCCTTGACCACAGCCTGAGAGAGGAGGGTGAGGGCGGGGCGTGGGGCACTCACCGGGGTGCCTAAGGTGCTCAGCTGTGTCCAACGCAGAGCTTTTTCCAGGCGGCCTGTGTGTGAGCCCCTCCCAGGACCTTTGTCACCTACCTGGGACTGTAACATCCAGGTGGCAATCTTGTTTTTCTCAGCAGCTGGTGCTTGGCTGGGAGGAGAGCGATGCCAGCACTGATCCAGGGCCTGGGCTTCAGGCTGCAGGCAGAGCCGGGACCCCAAAGGAGACCAGACGGTGGCCACGGGGAGGCCCTGGACGATGGGATCCACAGGGAGAGACTGGAGTTCTGGGGGATGCAGCCAGGGCCTGCCGCAGCATCTCTACCCTGCAGACCCAGAACAAGCACACTGCCCTCCCTCCCTGCCTGGGGGTGGCAGGTCTCCTGGGTCTCCTGGGTCTCCTGGGGGTGGCAGGTCTCCTGGGTCTCCTGGGGGTGGCAGGTCTCCTGGTTCTCCTGGGTCTCCTGGGGGTGGCAGGTCTCCTGGGTCTCCTGGGTCTCCTGGGGGTGGCAGGTCTCCTGGGTCTCCTGGGTCTCCTGGGGGTTGCAGGTCTCCTGGGTCTCCTGGGGGTGGCAGGTCTCCTGGGTCTCCTGGGTTTCCTGGGGGTGGCAGGTCTCCTGGGTCTCCTGGCACATGGAGTGGTTACATTTCTACAAGTGTCCCAGTGGCGCTGGGCAGGACTGCCAGGCTGGCCTCAGGCCCCAGACCCCAGCAGACAAACACTGGCCCTCAGCAGGTGTCTGAGGTGCCAGCGCTGGGCAGCCTGCTGGCATTCCCGCCCCCGAAGTCAGGACGAGGGACTAAACCCGCACTGTTCCTCTACGAGTGCTCAGGTCCACACCTAGCCATGAACAGGGGCGTCGGCTGGGAGACAGGCTAATCCTTTCCCCTTGTTTTCCACATCTCTATGACATGTTTTACAAGGTGCTATAGCAAGTAGGCAAATAACAATAATAGAATTGTCACTTTTTGGGAAGTAGCGTTTTCCCAGCCCTGAAGAAGGAGAGGGACCCCAGTGCTGGGGAGAGAGGGGTTGCCACATGGCTCCCTGCCCTGCTTCTAGCTCCTGGGCCCTCTGGCCTGGGCCTTGCCCACTAGCCCCCTTCCACCAGACGTTGGGACGTCCACATCTGGAGAAAGGAAGTCCCGCGGGCCTCTGCCCTGCACTGCGGTGCTGGCGCTGCCCTGTCCTGGCTGCCCTGTCCTGGCAGGGGACAGGGCCGGCTTGTTCTGCCTCCTCCCTGGCTCAGCCCCCAGCGGGGAGGGCAGCAGCTCTCTGGGGTGGGGAGAGAGGAAAGCTGGAGCGGGGCAGGCGGCGGGTGGGCCCGAGGCCTCTGCACACCGCACACCTGCAAGCTAGGCTCCCACTTCAAAGGCCGACAGAAAACTCAGGGCAGCGGCTCAGGAGCCAAGCAGGGAGTGGGGCCAGCTAAGGAAGAGCATGGGGGGTGCGGCGAGGGGCAGAGCAGGGAGGTCCCCCACACCAGGCAGGTGGCCCAGCCCCAGGGACCTCGGCCACAGCGGCCTCCTGCCCCCAGATGCTTCTCCCCCAACCCAGAGGTACCACTTGTCACTTCTAACCCTTAGCTCTTTTTTCCAAAACACATGCCAAAAAGGGTACAAAACATAAACGTGCAAAAAAAGATCAAACGTAACGCAAACCCTGGTGGGCCCACTGCCAGGCCGAGAGCAGACGCTGCCACCGCCCCACCCTGCATCGCCACCCCAGGGCAGCCCCTCCGGCCTGTGAAAGCGCCTTCTCACACTCGCCTTTTTCCCTCCCTGGTGTTTTTAGGGTGGCTCATCCACATCTCTGGTGGTGCTGTTACTTCATCATCACCTCTGTATCGTTGTATGAATAGACCACAGGCTATTTGTTTTACAGTGGTACACATTTGGGTCTGCTATTGTTGTTGTTTTAATTGAATTTTTCCAGCCTTATTGAGACAAAATTGACAGACAAAATTGTGTGATTTAATATACCTACACATTGTGAAATGACGACCAGAATCGCATGAATCTATACATCCATCACCACCCAGTTACCGTGTGTGTGCACGTGTGTGACAAGAACACTTAAGATTACTCTCTTAGCAAATTTCAATTAAACGAGGCAGTACTGTGTTTTTTTTTTCTTTTTTTTTTTTTTTTGTTGTTGTTTTTGAGATGGAGTCTCGCTCTTTCGCCCAGGCTGGAGTGCAGTGACGTGATCTCAGCTCACTGCAAGCTCCGCCTCCTGGGTTCACGCCATCCTCCTGCCTCAGCCTCCCGAGTAGCTGGGACTACAGGTGCCCGCCACCACGCCCGCTAATTTTTTGTATTTTCAGTAGAGACAGGGTTTCACCATGTTAGCCAGGATGGTCTCGATCTCCTGACCTCGTGATCCGCCTGTCTCAGCCTCCCAAAGTGATGGGATTACAGGCGTGAGCCACCGCGCCCGGCCACGAGCAGTACTGTTAACTACGGTTGCCATGCATTACATGGAGACCCCAGAACTTACTCATCCTGTCTGACTGAAGGTTTGCACCCTCCAATCAACATTTCCCCATTTCCCACCTCAGCCCCTGGTAACCATCCTTCTACTCTCTGCTTCTATGAACTCAACTTAATTTTCATTTTATTTATTTTATTTGAGAGACAGGGTCTCACTCTGTCACCAGGCTGGAGTGCAGTGGCCTGAGCCTAGCTCACTGTAACCTCGAACTCATGGGCTCCAGTGATCCTCCCACTTCAGCCACACCCCACTCCACCCCACCCCGCTGGCCCTAGTAGCTGGGATTATAGGCACGCACCACCACCTCCAGCTATATTTTTTTATTTTTCTTTTTTTGTAGAGACAGGGTCTTGCTATGTTGTCCAGGCTGGTCTTGAACTCCTGGCCTCAAGAGATCCTCCTGCCTCAGCCTCCCAAAGTGCTGGGGGTTATAGGCGTGAACCACCACACCTGGCTGAGTTCAGCTATTTTAGATTCCACATATAAGTGTCTTTCTGCGCCTGGCTTATTTCACTGAGCATAATGTCCTTCAGTTTCATCCATGTTGTTGCAAATGGCAGGATCCCTCTCTTTGTCATGGCTGAATAATATTCCCTTGTGTGTACATATGTCTGTATATATACACCACATTTTGTTTATCCATTCATCCGTCAGCAAACACTTAGGTTGAGTCTATATCTTGCTTATGGGAGTGCAGCTATTCTATGAGATACTGGTTTCATTTCATTGGGTATATACTCAGAAGTGGGATTGCTAGGCCATATGTCAGTTCTATTTTTAATTTTTTAGGTGGGGCTGTTCCTAGCTTTAGACTACTCTTTTTTCTTTTCTTTTTTTTTTTTAAGATGGAGTCTCGCTGTCTTGTCCAGGCTGGAGCGCAGTGGTGCGATCTCAGTTCACTGCAACCTCTGCCTCCCAGGTTCAAGTGATTCTTGTGCCTCAGCCTCCCAAGTAGCTAGGATTACAACTGCATGCCACCATGCCTGGCTAAGTTTTGTATTTTTAGGAGAGACAGGGTTTCACCATGTTGGCCAGGCTGGTCTCGAACTCCTGGCCTCAGGTGATCTGCCCACCTCAGCCTCTCAAAGGTGTGAGCCACCATGCCAGGCCTAGACTACTCTTAACAATGCTGTTTGTGAAAACTCTTGAAGGCATGTCCCAGTGCACACAAGTCCACATTTGTGTCAAGTCCACACCCAGGAGTGGGATTTCTGAGCCGTGGGATGTGCTGTGTGTGGATGCTGCCCAGGGCCACACCCCGGCCGACGCTTCTGCAAATGGAGCAGCTACATGGTGGGAGGTCACCATGGTCTCCTTTTCTTTTCTATGAATGAGGCTGAGCCAGTCTCATATGTTCACTTACCATTGGATTTCATCTTTTGTGGAGTGACTGTTCAAGTGTTTTCCCTCTTTTCTACAGAGTTATCTTCTTTCTCGCCGATTCGTGGGGGTTCTTGGTAACACCAGGTCATAGGTGCTGCAAATATCTTTTCTCATTCTGCACTCGTTTCATCCTCTTTAATGGCATCCTTGGGTGGATAGAAGGTGTTAATTTTACTGTAGTAAATTCTCCATATTGCTTTCCAACAGTCTTGCAGCTGTTTCATTTTGTCCTTCACACGCAGGTCTCTAATACACCTGGAGGTGATCTTCTCTTGGGGCCCGAGGTAGAGTCACGCAGGTTCCATTTTGGAGGAAATGAAAGCAGAGCCAGCACCCTTGTTGAAAAGCCGCCTCTCCCCACACACCCCCAGCGCCGTTGTGGCTGTTCCCGGGCTCTCCCTCCTGCTTCTCTGTCCCTGAGCCAGGAGCGTTGGGCTAACTGTGGCCTGACGAGAAAGGCTGGTGTCTCCTAGAACAAGCCCTTCCACCTTGCTTTTCACAAGACAGTCTTGGTTATTTTGGACTTTGCATTTTCACATAAAATGTAGAATTGGCTTATCAAGTTACACACACGTATACACACACCTGTTGTGATATTTATTGGGATTGCATTGACTATACAGATCAATGTGAGGAAAACTGATACCTTTACCATATTGAGTCGTGCAATCTAGGAACCTGGCATATTTCTGGATTTACTTAGTTGACTTTAACATTTTCAGTAAGGTTTCAGAATCGAGTGCAGAGAAGTTTTGCACATCTTTTGTTAGAGTTACTCTTAGGTACTTGGTTTTTTTCACACTATCGTAAATAGTGTCTTTAATCTCATTTTCTGGTTATTGCTGGCACATAGAACTATAATTGATTTTTTACATTTTCTAACTTTATATCCAACTGCCTGACAAAATCCCATATGAATCTTGATAAATCATCTATGTGCAGAGTCCATGGGGTTTCTACATCCACATTCAGTCACAGCAGCAGTGGGGCTCCTTTCTACTCATTTTACTTTGTGACACATTTTTGTGTCTTCCTGCGCTGGCTGAGGCCTCCCGTGAATCGTCTCATAGCGGTGGTGTTGGTGCCTGTGCTGGCCGAGGCCTCCCATGAATCGTCTCATAGCGGTGGTGTTGGTGCCTGTGCTGGCCGAGGCCTCCAATGAATCGTCTCATAGCGGTGGTGTTGGTGCCTGTGCTGGCCAAGGCCTCCCGTGAATCGTCTCATAGCGGTGGTGTTGGTGGAACCCTTGACTTGTTCCTAGTCTCAAAAAGCAAGTGTTCCGGGTTCAGCATTGAATACGATGTGTGCACTTGTGTGTCTGAAGCCTTCTTCAGATTGCCGGCAGCCTTCTCCTTGTATTCCCAGCGTTTTTAATCACAAATGGACGTTGACTTTTATTCCATGCCTTCTCTATACCTCTTCAGATGATAATATGATTTTCTCCTTTAATCTGTTAAATTGGTCATTTAAATTAATCAAATTAATGGCAAATTAAATTAATAAAGTTAATTTAATGGCAAATTAAATTAATAAAGTTAATTTAATGGCAAATTAAATTAATTGGTTTTCTGATGTAAAGCATAGCTGTGTTCCTAACAAAAGCCCACTCTGTCATGGTGGATTTTTTTTTTTTTTTTTTTTTTTTGAGATGGAGTCTTGCTCTGTCGCCCAGGCTGGAGTGCAGTGGCACGATCTTGGCTCACTGCAAGCTCCACCACCCGGGGTTCACGCTATTCTCCTGCCTTAGCCTCCCGAGTAGCTGGGACCACAGGCACCCACCACCTTGCCCGGCTAATTCTTTTTGTATTTTTTTAGTAGAGATGGGGTTTCACCATGTTAGCCAGGATGGTCTCGATCTGACCTCATGATCCTCCTGCCTCGGCCTCCCAAAGTGCTGGGATTACAGGCGTGAGCCACCACGCCCGGCCCATGGTGGATTATTTATCCTCTTTGTATATTGCTGAATCAGTTTGCTAATAATTCATTTAAGGTTTTAGCAACTTAATGTGAAATTGGCCTGGAGTTGTCCATTCATGTACTGTCTTTGTTAAATTTTAGTATCCAGGTTATGGTAGCCTCATAAAATGGATTTTTCTATCTAGAAGAGTCTATGTGTCTCTGGAATTATTTCTTGAATGTTTGGTGTAACTCACTGGTGATGCTATATGGACCTAGAGTTTCTTGCTGGGAAAATTTTGAATATTCATTCAATTTAATGATTATATAAAAAGTTGCATTTTCTATTTCCACTTACATTTGATAAGTTGCATTTTTCTTTCTTTCTTTTTTTTTTTTTTTTTTGAGACGGAGGTTTTGCTCTTGTCGCCCAGGCTGGAGTTCAATGGCACAATCTCGGCTCACTGCAACCTCTGCCTCCCGGGTTCAAGCAATTCTCCTGCCTCAGCCTCCCGAGTAGCTGGGATTACAGGCATGCACCTCCATGCCTGGCTAATTTGTATTTTTAGTAGAGACGGGGTTTCTCCATGTTGGTCAGGCTGGTCTCGAACTCCCGACCTCAGGTGATCCACCCACCTTGGCCTCCCAAAGTGCTGGGATTCCAGGCGTGAGCCACCACACCCAGCCAAGTTGCATTTTTCTAGAACATTTTTCATTTTATATAAAATGTCAGGATTGTACCCTTCTTACAAACTAACAAGTTGCCCTGTTACTGGTTGATGGGTGCCGGCAGAAAGCATGAGACTCTCATGTTAGAGCCTCATGGCACAGCAAGTAGCAAGAGTGGTTTGTGTTGGGTTCTGTTGCTGTCTAAGTCCTGCCAGCATGGCGTGGAGGGGACCAAGGAGACGCCGTACACAGTGGGTTTACATCACAGCCAAGAAACATGGAGCCTGGGGAGTGCAGCTGTTCCATAGCAAGCCTGCTTTTTGCCCCCAAGGCGACGGTTCATCCCTCAAGGTGGATCTCTGCAAACACAACCCTAAGAAATGACCCAGGCAAAGAGTGGACAGGGCCTTGTATTCTCTTGTAGTTGGCAAAAAAGTGCAGAGGCACAGCAGAGTGCCTCTCTTACCAAGCTACCTCCTCAGCCCCACACATTCTTGGCCAAACTCAAATGTTCATACCAGTATACGCCATGCCAGCAGCCAGAACCAAATCCTTCTGATCTCCTCCCACGGCAAGTGGGTGAAGGCTGCCGTCCACAGGAATCCCACAGCGGGACCTCAACCATGACCCTCAGGGGCCCAGGCACAGCCAGCTGTGAAGAATCCTGCAGAGCCCCGTAGGTCTAATTTGAGAGAGCCAGGATGCAGCCTAAGGCCTGGCTGTTATCCCTGTGGCCCATGCAAGGAGTTTGACTGCCCTGTTGACGCCACCGTCAATAATTACAGAGGCAATGAATGAGCCAAAAAAGCAGCTCCCGCTACGATGACCAACTCGTCCTGGTTTATCCGGAATTGAAAGTCTCATGTCCCGGGGACCCCCTCAGTTCCAGGCAAACCAAGGTGGTGGGTACCTTGATCCCTTTCCCGACTGGAGAGGCATTCCAAGGCTCACTCCCTCCCAGGTAACACGCAACCCGAGTAGCTCTGTCTGAGAACCGCCATTCGCCTTGCCGTGGTCCCTGCTGTGCTGATTTGGTTAAGTCTTTTTGCCATGTCACCGCGCATTTGCAGCTTTGGTCACCATACACGACGTAACCCACAGGCGCTCAGATGACGGGGAAGCTATGAATTCAAGTCAGCAAGATGGAAGCAAGGTTGTGCCCACACATGCACTTACATGGGGGCACGTTTGGGTGCAGATACCACCTGGATCCACAGGACAGAGATGGGGAACCCAGCGCAGGTCAGGTTGCCAGCTCAGCAGTAGCCTGACTCAGGCAGGCCATGAGGCACCTTGCCAGGTGCTGGATTTAAGGGGCAAAGAACATTCGTTGTTCACTCAGCCCCCTGCACGTCCCGGGGTCTAAGGTGGTCCCTGGTCAGGAGCCGGGACTGGCGTTCTCTCTCTTCAGCCAGGAAGCCAGAATGCACATCCCAGGAACTTTCACTCACCTTTCCCCAGTTTGTCCCCAACTCACACCCAGACCTGTCACAGGGCGGTGCAGGCACAAGGCCAGCAGGAGCACCCGTGTGAGAGCCACAGAGACGCCCTGCTCCCAGGCTGGCACCCACAGACCACCGCAGATGAACCCAGCTAGCAGTGCCGTCAACCAAGCCACCCACATGTTCATGACTCAGGACTGTGTCAGCCCCACAGGAGAACCCAGGTGGCCGAACCAGAGCTGAGTGAATTCCTGAGGCCCCTTTTTGGCCTGGCTGCCACCTGGAGAGCAAACCAACCAGGCGGGCTGGGGCAGCTGTCAGGGAAAGAGCCTTATCAGGCCCAGAAACGGTCAGGGCCAAACCTCAAGGCTTCCAGGTAGGTCTGTGTCACCCCGCAGAGGCCCCACATTTTGTCCTGTCATTACCCAAAGGGTGGCCAAGCGGAGAAGAACCCTTTTGGAGGATGGGATGACCATGTTCAGGACCAGGAGCACATGCCCATGGTGTGTGGACCAGGAGCACATGCCCATGGTGTGTGGACCAGGAGCACATGCCCATGGTGTGTGGACCAGGAGCACATGCCCATGGTGTGTGGACCAGGAGCACATGCCCATGGTGTGTGGACCAGGAGCAGGCAGGGAGGCAGAGGCTGGAGTCTTTCGGAGTTGATTCTTGAGGAGGCTGATCTAGAGCTTGAAAATGCCAGGAGCCTGTGGATGGGAGGGATCCTGGAATATCCATCAATACGTGATTAGTGACCCATGGCTGAGTGACCTGAGACAAAGGGAGCATCACTGTCAGATGCAAATCGTCCAGAAAGTCAAAAGCGCTCAGCGGTATAGCCAGGGCAGGCTAATTGGACTGGAACAGCAACACAATAACCTGGAGAGCGGAGACCCCACTGGTGGTCCTGGGGGCAGGGGCAGGCGTGCCCCACAGTGAGGCAGGGAGGCCAGCTTCTGTCAGGAGACTTTAGCCTGGTATGTGGAAGTTGTTTTTGCCAACTCATGCACGCCAGCTCACACAGGCGGCACAGGGTCCCTGTCATCGCCTCGTCCACAATGATGGCTGCATGGCCACTTCCGGCCCAAGAGGGATCCAAGAGGCAGCGCGGTCCGATCGGAGAGCACCCTTACCGTGGGCACCTGCACGAGCGGCCCAGGCTGTCAAATCAGTGACCAGGATTTGTTTGCAACACCAGCGGGCCCCAAATATGAGGGTGTTAGTGTCTCAGGCTGTGGTCTTCCAAGTGGCAGACCAGACCGCAGACTGGGGCAGCAGGCTTTTTCTGTAGAGGGCCAGGTAGTGACTATTTTCAGCTTTTCAGGCCACAGGGTCTCTGCTGTTGTCACGAAAAAGCAGCCGTAGACAGTAAGTACGTGAGTGTGCTCAGCCGTGCTCCCACAAACCCTGTTTCTGAAACCAGGCTGGGGTCCACAGAGGATGGATGGCCACATCTGACCCAAGGCCTGTTTGTGTATGACCTGTGAACTAAGAATGTTCTTAATACTTTTAAAGGGCTGCAAAAACAAAAAGAACAAAAAAGAATATGCAACAGAGACCACGTGTGGTCCACAGGGCCAGAAATATTTGCGATCTGGCCCTTCCCAGAAAGTCTGCTGGCCCTTGGGCAGACCACACCATTTGCAACAACCAAAATTCAGTAAAACTTCAATGTTTCTGGTCCTTAAGAGTCCTAAGGCCAGGGTGGCAGCTTCCAGCCCAGCCCCAATACTCACTGGTCTTCTGCTGTCTCCCAGAGTTGGCGCTGGGGCTGGACAGCCACTGCCCAGGGGACGCCATTGGGCTCCAGCTTAGCCGGACCATCCTTGAACCAGGCCCAGGCATCGGGGGCCCCGTGACTCGAGCACCCCGCAGAGCCAGTGGCTCACGTCAGGCACTGGACCGGAAGGTGAGCTTCCCCAAGGGGTAGCTGCCATTTTTCTTGTAAATCCAAGATGGCTCTTGGCTTTGGTACTCTTGAACATACCATTTCCTTTAGGCCACCAGGACCTGTTGGGCGCTGCCCTTATGTGATCAAGTTTAAAACCCCCAAAATGGGGGTGTCAGGTCAGTGAGTCACAGAGCCCTCAAGGGTCACACTCTACTTCTACAAGTGCTCGCTGCAGGCCAGTAGCCACCCCACCTTAAAGGGGGTGCAGTGGAGTACTGCCCTGGGTAGGGGCTGCTGCTGGACTGGGAAATGGCCTCTCGACTCCAGCAGGCTTCCCTTCTCTTGGACTCCACACTGTTTCTGCAGAAGGGACAAAGAAGCAGGAAGAGGCCATCTACGGGCCCCCTCTTACCTCTGCATGCCACAGTCCCTGAAAGTCCCCTGACACCACAGGACGGGAACATGCAGGCAGGAAACACCACGTCAACAGCAATTCCACCTTCAGATGTGACAGCTGCACACACCCAGGTTCCATCCTCAAGCTCACTTAAGCATCCCCACTGCAACCCCCTCGCTTTAATTCTAGTGCCTTCTTCCCTATGGGAACACCTCTGAGGGGTTTAGTATGCATAGGAATTGGGGGCTCAGCACAGCTGTCCGGGACCACAAGAGTAGAGAGTGTCGCAGAACTGCTGGGCCACTTGCCCCCTCCAGCTGTTAGCTCCTTGTCAGTGCCCATTGCTCTTCCCCACCACTGCGCTTCCCACATCCAGAGAGGGTCCAGGCTCAGAGGCCCCTCCCTTCCTTTGTCCTTCCCTCCCTGTTTATTCACACACCATGCAGTTCACTCTTTTAAAGTATACGAATTAGTAGCTTTTCATATATTTACAGCGTTGTATATCCATCACCACAATCCATTGTGGAACATTTTTCCTTACCCTGAATAGAAACTCCATGCCCTTTAGCCCTCACACCCCAGCCCCCCATCCACTGCAGCTCCAGACAGTCACAATCTATGTTCTGTCTCCCCTGGATTTGTCTGTTCTGGACATTTCATACAAATAGAGTCATAGTCTTTTGGGACTGGCTTCTTTCATTTAACATAGTGTTTTCAAAGTTTATTCATGTTGTAGCATGGATCAGAACTTCATTTCTTTTTATTGCCAAATAATATTTTATTTGTTTTTATGTATCCATTCATGAGTTGATAGACACTGGGATTGGTTCTACTTTTTTGGCTATTATGAATAAAGCTGCTTTGAATATTTACATAAACATTTTTGTGTGGACATGTTTCCATTTTCTTGAGTATATATGGTAGTATAAGTGGAATTGCTGGTGTGTATATTAATTCTTTGTTTAATTATTTGAGGAAATGCCAGACTATTTCCAAAGCAGCTGTACCATTTTATATTCCACTAGCAATGTATGAGGGTTCCAATTTCTCATCAACACGGGTTATTATCTACTTTTTTCATTACAGCCATCCTGCCAGGTGAAAAGTGGTATCTTGTGTTTTCAATCTGCATCTCCCTAATGGTTAATGCTGTCAAGCATCTTTTTGTATGTTATTGGCTCCTTCTAAATCTGCTCTAGAGTAATGCCTATTGAAGCTTTTATTATTGAGTTGTAATAGTACTTTATATCTTCTAGATATATATCCCTTATCTGATTATGATTTGCAGGTACATTCTCCCATCCTGTGGGTTGTCTTTTCATTTCCTAAAGGTGTCCTTTGAAGCACAAATGTTTTGAATTCTGATAATATTCAGTTCATCTATGTTTTCTTTTGTTGCCTATGCTTTTGGTGTCATATCCAAGAAACCATGGGATAATCCAAGGTCACAAAGATTTACACCTCTGTTTTATTCTAAGAGTTTTATAATTTTAGCTCTTACATTAGGTCTTTGATCCATCTTGAGTTAATTTTTGTATATGGTGTGAGGTAGGGGTCTAGCTTTATACTTTTCATAAGTATATCCAGTCTTACCAGCACCATTTGTTGAAGATACTGTTCTTTCCCCCACTGAATAACCTTGGCACCCTTGTCATGACAACACCCAAATCAGTTGGCCTTGTTTCCAGCCTACCTCTCACTACTCAGCTTCATCAACAGGTAGGATATAGAGGAACCTCACTCTCCCCACCCCACACCACTGCAAACACTTACCACTTGTGGAGAACATTCTCCACTGGGATCCTGGAAGACTTCTCATTTCTCCTAATATGAGCTATGGTGGCCTTTGTCCTTCCTCTTCCAGAAAGTCATTATTCTGTCATGCTAACATTCTTCCCTCCATTGTTTCTTCTTAAGCCAGTTTTGGTAAGTTGCATTTTTCAAGAAAATTTTCTATTTTACCTAAAATTTTTGAAAGTATTATTATAAAGCTGTTTATAAAATCCTCTGATTACCTTCTCTGATAACATCAGGGGCTGAAATGGTAGCCTCTTTTTCAGTCCTAAGCAATTTGTGCCTTCTCTTTCTTACTTGATCACTCTCACCAGAGGTTTATGTATTTTATTAGTTTAAACAAGTTTTGGCTTCATTGATGATTCACTTTATTCAGTATTTTTCTATTTTATTAACTTCTGCTCTTAATTTTTATTTTTTTCTTCTTTTACATAGGAGTTTATTATACATGATTTTATTTACTAAACTTTGTTTAGTATATTTACTTACTATATATGAGTTTGTTTACTAAATTTTGTGTTTATTTACTATATATAGATACTAAAATATGCATGCAATACTATAAATTTCCATTGAAGTTCTGCTTTCTTCACATCCTCACAAGTTTTTGCTAAATAGCATTTTTGTTACATTTCTTTATACAGTTATTTATATTTCTGTTTTCTTTTTGCCTCCATTTCCTGGTGATTAGAATTTATATTTCTTAACCTCTACTTTTTAAGTTGTTATTTCTAGTATAATTACATTGTGGATAAAGAACAAGCTCTGTAAGGTTTGCAGTCATTTGAAATTTGTTGGCAATTGCTTTATGGCCCAATATGTGGTAAAAAAAAAAATGTTCCATTTGTGATATCTATTAGGTCATTTATTATTTGCATTGTTCAGATTTTCTTTATTCTGACATATTATCTTTGTCTGTGCCTGGTCTTTTACTAGAGAAGATACATTGAGTATCCCACCATGATTGTGAGTTGAACTATTTCCTTTTGTCAATTTTTCATTTATGTATGCTGAGGCCTTGCTATAGGGTATACACAAATGCAGAGCTCTTATATCTTTATCATGATGAATTGATCCTCTTTACCACTAGCAATGCTTTTTGCCTTATGGCCTTTTTAATCTGATAATAATGTGATTATACCAGCTCTTGCTTTTGATTAGCATTTGGATAGTATATCTTTAAACTGGAACATTTAATTTATTTTCTCTCTTTTTTTCTTTTTTTTTCCTTTTTTTTTTTTTTTTTTTGAGACAGAGACTTGCTCTGTGGCCCAGGCTGGAGTGCAGTGACGGAATCTCTGCTGCAGCCTCCACCCCCCGGGTTCAGGCAATTCTCCTGCCTCAGCCTCCTAAGTAGCTGAGACTACAGGCATGTGCCACCACACCCAGCTAATTTTTGTATTTTTAGTAGAAACGAGGTTTCACCATGTTGGCCATGGCTGGTCTCAAACTCCTGACCTCAAGTGCCTGCCTGGGCCTCCCAAAGTCCTGGGATTACAGGCAGGAGCCACCATGCCCAACCTTATTCATTTTCATTCAATGCATGTCTGGTGTAGTTGTATTTCACTCTACTACCTTTTTTTTTTTTTTTTTTTTTTTTTTTTTAGACAGAGTCTTGCTGTGTCACCCAGGCTGGAGTGCAGTGGTGCTATCTTGGCTCACTGCAACCTCCACCTCCCAGGTTCAAGCAATTCTCCTGCCTCAGCCTCCCAAGTAGCTGGGACTACAGGTGCCCACCACTACACCCAGCTAATTTTTTTTGTATTTTTAGTAGAGACAGGGTTTCACTATGTTGGCCAGGCTGGTCTTGAACTCCTGACCTTGTGATCCACTCACCTCGGCCTCCAAAATGCTGGGATTACAGGTGTAAGCCACCGCACCCAGCCACCCTACTACCTTTTTTGTGCAAAATTTCCCACTGTTTTATATTTTTTCTCTCTCTCCTTTCTTGGCATGTTTTATGTTGAATATTTTAATCATGCCTTATTTTATCTTATTTTATTTTATTTTATTTTATTTTATTTATTTTTGAGACAGAGTCTCGCTCTGTTGCCCAGGCTGGAGTGCAATGGTGTGATCTTGGCTTACTGCAAACTCTGCCTCCCAGGTTCAAGCAATTCTCCTGCCTCAGCCTCCCAAGTAGCTGGGATTACTGGTGCTGCCACCACACCTGACTAAATTTTTTTGTATTTTTAGTAGAGACTGGGTTTCACCATGTTGGCCAGGCTGGTCTCAAACTCCTGACCTTAGGTGATCCATGTGCCTCAGCCTCCCAAAGTGTTGGGATTACAGGCATGAGCCACCATGCCTGGCCAATCATGCCATATTATCCCCTCTATCAGTATAGAATATGGACACTGTTTCTATTTTGGTGATTACCCTAGACCAGGGGTCCCCAGTCCCTGGGGCTGCAGACCAGTACTGGTCTGTGGCCTCACAGCAGGCAGCAAGCAGCAGGAGAGTGAGCATTACCACCTGAGCTCTGCCTCCTGTAAGATCAGTGGCGGCATTTGATTCTAATAGGAGCACAAACCCTATTGTGAACTATGCATGCGAGGGATCTAGGTTGTGTGCTCCTTATGAGACTAATACCTGATGATCTGAGATGGAACAGTTTCATCTGCAAACCATCCCCACACCCCCACCCCAGTCCATGGAAAAATTGTCTTCTATGAAACTGGTCCCTGCTACCAAAAAGGTTGGGGACCACTGCCCTAGACAACACGATATACACTTTTAACTTATTAATATTCACTACCAAGTTCATTTATACGTTTACTCTCCTCCTGGGAAATGCAATGACCTTGGAACACTTCAACATGATTTGTCATCTTTCAATGTATATTATTGTAATGAGTTTTAATTCTATAGATTTTTTACACCATTTCATAAGGCAATATATATTATTTCTTTATATTTCATTTGCCCTTCTTTCCTTCTTGCATCTCTGATCTTACATTTCCCTCTGACTTGAAGTTGATCTGTTAGCATCTCTTTTAGTGTGGGTCTGCTGTTTATTATTTATTTACCTGAATTATCTTTATTTTGCCTTCCATAGTAAAGGGTATTTTATCTGGATATAAGACTTTATGTTGGCAGTTGTTTTCTTTTAGCACGTTGAAAATATGATTCCACTGTTTTCTGGCTTTCATTGTTGTATATGAGAAGTCAGCTGTCAGTCTACTTGCAATGCCCCTAATGGTAACCTGTTTTTTTCTTTTTAAGATTGTCTCCTTGTGAATAATTTGTGCAGCAGCAATAGAAAAAGAAAAAAAAAATGAAGATTGTCTCCTTGTCATTGATCTTGTGCATTTCTGACATTTGTTGATGTGGCTTTGTTTTTCTTTTCCTTTTTTTTTTTTTTTTTTTTTTTTGAGACAGAGTCTTGCTCTGTCACCCAGGCTGGAGTGCAGTGGCACGATCTTGGCTCACTGCAACCTCCGCCTCCCGGGTTCAAGCAATTCTCCTGCCTCAGCCTCCTGAGTAGCTGGGATTACAGGCACCCAACACCACGACCAGCTAAGTTTTTTGTATTTTTAGTAGAGATGGGGTTTCACCATGTTGGTCAGGCTTGTCTCGAACCCCTGACCTCATGATCCACCCACCTCAGCCTCCCAAAGTGCTGGGATTATAGGCGTGAGCCACTGCGCCCAGCCTGTTTTTATTTTTCTAGCTAGTGAATCAGTGGGATTGTTGAGCATATGGCTTGATGTCTTTCATCAGTTCTGGAAAATTCTCACCATTGTCTTTGTGTCTCCTTTCCTTCTGGTGCTCCAAGTTGTGCATTTGTTTGGTCATCTTACTGTTTTCCATTATGTCTCATCCTTTCTTCTGTATTCTCCATCTTTTTGTCTCCTTTAAAATTCTGGATAGTTTCTTCTGACCTTTTAGTTCCAGTTCATAATTCTTTCTTAATGCATCAAGTCCACTCTTCAATCTATCCAGTTAGTTCTTAATTTCTGTTATTTAGTTACTTATATCGTATTCATTTGGTTCTTTAAAATGTCTTTTGATTAAATAATTTACATTCCTGATTAATTTTTTTAATCTAGTGCTTTTCTGTCAAGTTTTTCATTGTGGTAAAACACATAACATAAAATTTAATATCATAGCCATTTTTAAATGTGTGGTTCAATGATTAAAGTACATTCACATTATTGTGTAATCATTACCACCATCCACCCACAGAATTCTTTTCATCTTTCAAAATTGAAACTCTAATCCCATTAAATAATAAGTCCCTATTCCCCTCTTCCTTCAACACCTGGAAACCATCTTTCTACTTTCTGTCTCTATGAATTTGACTCTGCTAGGTACCTCATATAGGTGGAATCATATAGTATTTGTCTTTCTGACTGGCTTATTTTACTTAGCATAGTGTCTTTAAGGTTCAACTATGTTGTAACCTATGACAGATTTCCCTACTTTTTTTTTTTTTAAAGACAGGGTCTCACTCTGTCACGCAGTCTGGAGTGCAGTGGCATGATCTTGGCTCACTGCAACCTCCACCTCCCAGGTTCAAGTGATCCTTGTGCTTCAGCCTCCTGAGTAGCTGGGATTACAGGTATGTGCCACCATGCCCAGCTAATGTTTGTATTTTTAGTAGAAATAGAGTTTTGCCATGTTGGCTGGGCTGGTCTTGAACTCCTGACCTCAGGTGATCCACCTGCCTCAGCCACCAAAAGTGTTGGGATTACAGGCATGAGCCACTGTGCCTGGCCAAGATTTCCTTACTTTTTAAGGCTAAATAATATTCCATTGTATGGATGTGCTACATTTTGTTTACCCATTCATCCTCAGTGGACACTCAGGTTCCTGCCAGCTGTTAGCTATTGTGAATAATAATGCTATGAACATGTGTGTACAAATACAAATCTCTTCAAGACCCTGCTTTTGATTCTTTTCGTTATAGACCCAGAAGTGAAATTGCTGGGTCATATGGTAATTCTGTTTTTAATTTTGAGGAACCACCATATTGTTTTTCACAGCAGTTGTACCATTTTCCATTCTCACGAACAGTGCACAAGGGTTCCAATTTCTCCACATCTTCACCAACCCTTGTTATTTTCTTCTGTTTTTTTTTTTTTTTTTTAAGGTGGAGTCTCGCACTGTGACCCAGGCTGGAGTGCAGTGGCACGATCTCGGCTCACTGCAAGCTCCGCCTCCCGGGTTCACGCCATTCTCCTGCCTCAGCCTCCTGAGTAGCTGGGACTACAGGCACCCACCACCATGCCTGGCTAATTTTTTGTATTTCTAGTAGAGACAGGGTTTCACCATGTTAGCCAGGATGGTCTTGATCTCCTGACCTCGTGATCCACCCACCTCGGCCTCCCAGAGTGATGGGATTACAGGCGTGAGCCACCGCGCCGGGCCAGGTTTGTTTTTTTAATAGCAGTGATGTTGAACATGTTTCCAGGTGCTCATTGGTTCTTTGGAGAAATGTCTGTTCAAGTCCTTTCTCATTTTTGAAACAAGGGTTTTTTGTTGTTGAGTTTTAGGAGCTCTCTCTATATTCAGGATATTAATCCTTTATCAGATATATGATTTGCAAATATTTTCTGTTATTTTGTTTTCAGGCTGCCTTTTTACTCTGTTAATAGTGTATTTTGATGCAGGAAAATTTTTAATTTTCATGAAGTCCGATTTGTCTGTTTTTTCTTTTGTTGCCTGTGCCTTTAGTGTAATATCCAAGAAATCATTTCCAAATCCAGCGTCATGAAGCTTTTGCCCTATTGTTTCTTCTAAGAGTTTTACAGTCTTAGCTCTTATGTTTAGGTTTTGGCTCTATATTGAGTTAATTTTTGTATATGGTGTTAGGTAAGGGCCCAACTTCATCCTTTTGTATGTGGATGTCCAGTTTTGCTGGCACCATTTGTTAAAAAGACTGTCCTTTCCTCACTGAATGCTCTTGACACCCTTGTGAAAATCGTTTGATTATATATCGAAGGCTTATTTCTGGGTTCTGTTTCATTCCATCAGTCTGTATATCTGTCTTTATGCCAGTACCACACTGATTACTGGAGATTTGTAGTAAGTTTTGAAATCTGGAAGTGTAAGTCCTCCAATATTGTACTTCCTTTCCAAGATTGTTTTGACTACTCTGATAAAATTCTAAAGTTTGCATTGATCTCTTTGAACCTAGTTATTTTATGTTCTGAGTCTGATAATTCCAGTATCTGCTGTTTCTCTCATTTCTGTCTATTCCTCTTGGTGGTATCATGCTTCCTTGGGTGCCCGATTATTTTTGGCTGTGTCCTGGACTGCGTATTTGTAAAATTATTTGCAGGAATAACTTGAGGCCTAAGATGATGCCATCTTCCTCCAGAGAGGGTTTTCCTTTGCCTCTGTGTAGAAGGCAGGGGTGCTGCCAGTCTGGGACCCCCTTAGTGCCCGTTCCAGGCTTCACCCAAAGGGGAAGTCCAGAGGGTCTTTTCTAAAAGCATGGTTCTGGTCACATTCTTCCCAGTAGCAAATAATGACAGCGCAGAGCTGACCACTGTGACCAGCAACTCATTCACCTGGGCCCAGCACCCTGTCAGGTCAGAGCCAGTGCCCTGGTCAGCTCGAGCTGCTGCAGTAAAATGCCTTAGATTGAGTGGCTCATAAGCAACAGAAATATATTTTGTATAGCTCTTGAGGCTGGGAAGTCCAAGATCAAGGCACTGTCAGTCAGCCTCAGTGACTGGTGAGGGCCCACTTCCTGGGCCATAGATGGCATCTTCTTGTGTATCCTCCCATGGCAGAAGGCAGCTCTCTGGGGCTTCTTTTCTTAGGGCACTAATCCCATTCACCAGGGCTCTACCTTTATTGCCTAATCACCTTCCAAAGGCCCCACCTGCTAACACTATCTCTGTGGGAGTTCGGATCTCAACATAGGAATTTGGGGGGACACAAACATTCCAACCATAGCCCCCTGTTATAAGTAAGAAAACCAGAGCACAGAGAGGTCGGCAGCTGAACTGTGTCACTGATGGATGCGCAGCCAGTGGCATGGAGTGTGGGGCCAGGATGGAAGCATGTGTATCTCACTGCAGAGGTGCTGCTCAGAAACGTTATGGGGCTCCCCGCTGCCTGGAGGCCGAGCACAGGCTCCCCTACTTGGCCCCTGCAGCCTCCCCGGCCATGCTGGCCCCTGGCCATCCCCCTCCGCTCTAGTGGGGGCACCCCTCCCCGAAGCCCACCTTGTGTGACCCCTGCCCACCCTTTCAGGCTTAGCTCAGATACTGGGGCTCCGCCTCGCCTCCTGCGGCCCCAGCCGGAGCAGAGCTGAGGAGCAGTAGCTGCTGGGCAGGCCCAAGTGCCCCACTGACTGAGGCCAGGGCCCAAAGGGGGACTTTCCTACCCCCTATAGCAGCCAACCAGGACTGGGCACTCCACAGGGCATCGGGTACTGCACACAGGTCAGAGCCTGTGCCCTGAGCACACAGCATGACAGGAGGGGGTGGAGCAGGCCATGCTGGGCCCATCTCAGGGACGGGGGGCTGTCAGGCCACCCTGGGGATACCCTGCCCAGGACTGGCTTCCCCTCAGAGGGTGCCTGGTGGCAGGGGCTGGGGAGGCTGCTGGGCCCACCCGCCTGCCCACAGCCCCCAGTCAATCCCCGCTCTGGCTTTCTGCCTCCCAGGTGAACAACAACGGGATCATCTCCTTCCTGAAGGAGGTTTCTCAGTTCACCCCAGTGGCCTTCCCCATTGCCAAGGACCGCTGCGTGGTGGCAGCCTTCTGGGCAGATGTGGACAACCGGCGTGCAGGCGACGTGTACTACCGGGAGGCCACCGACCCAGCCATGCTGCGCCGAGCCACGGAGGACGTCAGGCACTACTTCCCCGAGCTCCTGGACTTCAATGCCACCTGGGTTTTTGTTGCCACCTGGTACCGAGTGACCTTCTTTGGAGGCAGTTCCTCATCCCCTGTGAGTCCAGGCACTTGTCCTGGGGAGGGTGGGTGTGTGGCTAGGGCCCAGGGTCTCCCCGCACCAGGGCTCCCTCTTGCTGATGTGGGTGTGGTGCAGTCACTGGTCCATACCCAAGAGGGGAACACGTGGTCAAAACCACAGAGCCAGAGCAGAAGAGGACACGTCCCCAACCTTCCCCAATGCTCCTGGAAGCCACTTGCCTCCAGGAAACACCAAATTCCCCAAAGCAGCAGCTCACATGTCAGAGAGAGGTGTTAGGAGGATTTCCATTTGGAATGGCCCAGTACTCAAAAGGTTAGACTGGAAGGTTATTCTGTTTTATACCCTTCCTTGATAATGCCAAACATGACAGAAACATTGACTCAAGAATAATCAGCCACTTTGCAGGCTTGATGAGTTATGGTGGGCTGACACTCCCTAACGAGGACACCTGCCCACTCCGGTGGCAGATGTATTTACTCAGCACCTACTGTGGCCAGGCCTGCACTGGGCACTGGGTCATGACTGTGCAAGACAGACAGTGACTCCCTAGAAAAGAGGCGCTGGGTGCAGAACCGCCATTTTCAGAGCTGTTTGTTCATGCATTTAATAAACACTTTTTTTTTTTTGAGATGGCGTCTTGCTCTGTCGCCCAGGCTGGAGTGCAATAGCACGATCTCAGCTCACTGCAACCTCCACCTCCCAGGTTCAAGCCATTCTCCTGCCTCAGCCTCCTGAGCAGCTAGGATTACAGGCATGCATCACCACACCCAGCTTATTTTTGTATTTTCAGTAGAGAGGGGGTTTCCCCATATTGGCCAGGCTGGTCTCGAACTCCTGACCTCAGGTGATCCGCCCACCTCGGCCTCCTAATAAACACTTTTTAAGAGCACCTTCCAAGTGACAGGCAAGTGTTCTAGGCACTGGGCAGACAGCCCTGGACGAAGCAGACAAGACGCATCTGCCCCGTGGGGTCACTCTAGCAAGGCATCAGGAAGTGCTCAGAAGCATAACCCAGCCAGGGGCACTTCCAGGAGCAGGTTCATTGACAGAAAGTGGACAGTTCAGCTTCATGCATCTCCTCATTGCGCCTCTCGGCTCCCAGAGCCCCACCATGGGCCCTTACTGGCTCTAGTCCGCCCTGTCCCCTAGACGGTGCCACCACCCCAATTCTACGGCCCTCGCGTCTTTGTTTGTTTTCCGAGTGTTAGCACTTACGTTCGCCTTCCTGAAGCAGAGCACGTAGTTTCTCTAATGTTGACTTTTACATAAGTGGAATGTACACTGTATGATCACCCATCTTTCTCAGTGACTACAAACTAGCCCAGCACCAAGCGGCACGTGAATTTGTTTCACCTGCACCCCATGACTGGACAGCTGCAATACCAGGGGCCTGAGGCGGGCACGGCATAGCCCAAGTCGCCTTATGCATGATCCTGTCCTGGTACACATGTTTAGAAGGGAGATTGCCACCTGCAGAATTCCAGTTTTCCTCTCAAAAATCTACATATTCAGGCAGGGTGCGATGGCTCACCCCTGTAATTCCAGCACTTTGGGAGGCCAAGTCAGAGGGATCACCTGAGGTCAGGAGTTTGAGATCAGCCTGGCCAACATGACGAACTCCCCTCTCTACTAAAAATACCGAAGTCAGCCGGGTGTGATGGCGGGTGCCTGTAATCCCAGCTACTCGGGAGGCTGAGGCAGGAGAATTGCTTGAACCCGGGAGGCAGAGGTTGCAGTGAGCCGAGATCATGCCACTGCACTCCGGCCTGGGTGACAGAGGGAGATTCCATCTCAAATAAAAAAAAAAAATCTACACGTTCATACTCGGAGCCACATTTAGAAGTGCCAGTTTCCATTGTTCAGTTCCCACCTATGAGTGAGAACGCTTGGACACAGGAAGGGGAACATCACACACCAGGGCCTGTCGTGGGGTGGGGGGGTCGGGGGAGGGATAGCATTAGGAGACACACCTAATGTAAATGACTAGGTAATGGGTGCAGCACACCAACATGGCACATGTATACATATGTAACAAACCTGCACGTTGTGCACATGTACCCTAGAACTTAAAGTATAATAAAAAATAAAAAATAATAAAAAAAGTGCTGGTTTCCTTGCACCCCAGCTGTCATTTTCCAACTTTGCCAACTCAATAGACAAAACAATGAGTGCTACTTTTTAACTTACATATCTTTAATTTCTAGGGGTGCTGAATTTGTTCTAATATTATTGGTTACTTGTATTCTACTGTGATGTGTCTCTTCATACCCTCTGACATTTTTTCTGTAATACTTTTGGTCTTTTTCTTATTGATCTGTAGTTCTTGAATTAAGGGTCTCGATAATTTTATCTGCTGTATGCGTTATAAATAGGTTTTTCACATTGCTGTTTGCCATTCAATTTGATCTTATGGATTTTTTTAAGTATTCGGAAGCCCTTTGCAGTCAAATGTTTAATTCTCCCTTTTGGTTTTTGCTGTGAACAAACATCACACTTAAAAGTCCTTTCCCTTTCCTGAGTTATACATATATGCCTGTATTTTCTTCTAGGACTTTTCTTTCACTTTAAAACCTTATTTGATTTGGGATTACTTTTTGTGTGTGGTGAAAGGCAGGACCCTGATCTGATTCTTTTTCAGGGGGTTTCCTGTTTGTCCCAAGATCATTTCTTAAACAGTCCCGATCCTTTGCTTGATTCTCATCTGGCGTACCTCATCTGTACGCTGCCTGCCAATATTTCCTTGCAGTAGAATTCTGTGAAAACCATAAGGCCTGACTGTTAAACGCTGCAGCACGGCTCTTCCTTGCTTCTTTTTACCTTTCCTCTTTTCCTTTTTGCAATTTTGCTCATTTCACACAGGAGATTTTGTGGATCTGGCTAAGGGCAGGGGACAGTGTCTGCTCCCATCTGTGGGCCCCGCACCCACCCCAGGTGTTTCACTCACCCCAGCAATAGTTGTGGGTTGCAGACGGCCTCTGCTGAGTGGCAGGCGCTGGGAGACAGCAGAGGATGAGGCCACCAAGGTCCTGCCTCGGCTGCCCGTCCAGCTGGAAGACACAGACATTGAGCAAGCCAGGGGCCCAGTGGACAATGACAGTGCACCAGGATGGTGGACAGGGCAGGGCTTCCCTGGGCCAAGGGGAGTGCAGGGCCCTGTTCAGCCCCCTCTCCCCGGCAGGTCAACACATTCCAGACTGTGCTCATCACAGACGGCAAGCTCTCCTTCACCATCTTCAACTATGAGTCCATCGTGTGGACCACAGGCACACACGCCAGCAGCGGGGGCAACGCCACTGGCCTCGGGGGCATCGCAGCCCAGGTAGGCGAGTGCAGTCGGTGCTCTGTGTTCAGAACCCCTGCTCCCCACAGCCAGGACTGTCATGAGCTGATGAGGTAGGCAGGGGCTCACCATAGGCAGATCCCCCAGTACCGTGCAGAGGCCAACGAGAGACATCCACAACCATCCCTGAGGCCTCTCACTGCCCAAAAACAGAAACATCCTCAGGCCCAAAGGCACCTTTGTCCCCCTGACCTGCCCCGCCCTGCCCCTGCAGTCCCCTTTAACAGCTGCAACAGCAACAGAAATGTCCTCTGCTCCTTGTGCCCTGCAGTCTGGCCTAGCCAGTGACACAAGGGACCACAGCCGGCAGGAAACCCCGGGTGTGGAGGGAATGAAACAGGACAATGGCCACAGGGTCAGTGCTCCCCAGGCCCGAGAGTGCCTTTGGGCTGTGCGCACCCCCACTCACCTCCTGGCCACCTGCTTTCTCTTGGGTTCATACTTGCCCCTGGCCCCAGGGGAGGCCCAAGAGCCCAGAGGTGAGCTGCCGGAGGACTGGGCTGGGGAGCCAGGGCCAGCCCTCTCCTTGGCTCCCAGGAACGGTTGGCTGAGGTCAGGACCTGGCTGGGAGGTTGCCGACCCTGGCAGGAACATGGTGGGGGCAGGGTAACCCCCACCTCTGTAGACCTGGGGAACTGGCCTCCCTCACTCTGCCCCCACCCCACCCCCAGGCTGGCTTCAACGCAGGCGATGGGCAGCGTTACTTCAGTATCCCCGGCTCGCGCACAGCAGACATGGCCGAGGTGGAGACCACCACCAACGTGGGTGTGCCCGGGCGCTGGGCGTTCAGAATCGATGATGCCCAGGTGCGCGTGGGGGGCTGCGGCCATACAAGTAAGAGGACAGAGGAGCAGCTTGGGGTGGGAGCGGGCTGAGGAAGGGGGTTGATGGCAGAGGAGAGGTGGAGACGAAGGGGGCTGGATGCTGACGGGGAGAGCAGGAGCACTTGGGTGTCCAGCCCAGCCCACCTCAGGCGTGTGAAACTAAGGAAAGCCTGGCTGGTCCTGCAGCCTCAGCTTCCCCTAGAGAAGACCCCACACACACACTGCTCTGGGTTGGAGGGAACCCTCTGGAGACTGTGCCCTAGAGAAGATCCCGCACACACACTGCTGTGGGTTGGAGGGAACCCTCTGGAGACTGCGGGTTTCGGGGGTAAAGAGTTCTGGGTCCTCAGGGGAGGAGGAGCCCAGGGACACCTCTCCCTGGGACCATGTGGTCCCTACTCTCCCCTTATTCCCACCCAGCCTCCTGCCTGGGCTGGGGGAGGAGCAGCATGTGGTCTCTGACCCTCAGGGCCACCCATGAGGCAGGTCCTCTTACCACCCAGGTCCTCATTTTTGCCAGCGGGCTTGCTGCTTGGTGGGATTTGGTGACTGCTTGACAAACCCAAGCATCACGTCTACAGGGGAGTTCCAGGGGTCCTTCCAGCCCACAGTGCACAAACGGACGGGGTGGGTGTCCCTCCCAGGGGTGGGCACGTGGTTTGTGGGAACAGCCAGGGCGGCAGCAGAGCCATAGATGGTAGCCTTAGCCCTGCTGCTGTGCGGCCTTGGGAGCCAAGGAGCCTTCAGAAATCACTGCTTACACTTGGGGCGAGGGCAAGCGACTGATCCGCTCCACTGAGGGCGGCGCATCACAAGCCCTGCCAAGCCTGGGGCCGCAGTGAGGCTCGCACCGGGACCTGCCCCAGACTCGCCTCCCAGCCGCGAGCATCTAGGCTACGAGAGGGGAGAGGGGCCGCATCTCCGCAACACTGAGTCCCCAGAGAACACGACAGGGGTAGCAGATGCGCGCGCACCACTGTCGGGGCGGAGGCGGGGTGCAGGCGCGCCATGGGGTGGGGGATGAGGGGTAGAGAGTGTGGGGGTGGGGGATGGGGTATGCAGGTGCGCCACAGGGTTGGGGATGAGGGGTAGATGGTGTGGGGATGGGGGGTGCAGGCGCGCCACAGGGTTGGGAGTGAGGGGTAGAGGGTGTGGGAGGTGGGGGCGTGCCATGGGGTGGGGGGTGCAGGCGTGCCACGGGGTGGAGGGGTGGGGGGTGCAGGTGTGCCACGGGGTTGGAGGTGGGGCGTAGTAGGGGTGGGGGGCGGAGGCGCGTCACGGGGAGGGGAGTGGGGGGTGGAGGTGCGTCACGGGGTGGGTGGGGGGTGGAGGTGCGTCACAGGGTGGGGGGTGGGGGGTGGAGGCGCATCACGGGGTGGGGGTTGGGGAGTAGAGGCGCGCCACGGGGTGGGGAGAGCACCGCGCGCTCATGGGAAGAGGAAAGATGCAGTCGCAGGGCGGGAAGACCCATCTGAGGGCTGCAGGTGGTGCCGCGACGAAGGAGGCCCGAGGAGCCCGAGCTACCCACACACTGGGGCACGAACAGGCCCCCGCTTGCATCTGAGCTTAGGGAGTCCGGGCTCACGGGGCGGGGAGCCCAGAGCGGCCGCCCAGCATCCGAGGGACACAGCCCTCCTGCAGCCCCCAGCCACACCCCCTGCGTGGCCCGCCTTGTCCCAGAAACGCTGACATGACGGCTGAGTGCCAGCCTCGGGTTTTCCACGCCAGGAACCCTGGAGGGGAGGCGGAGTGTGCCAGTTTTTAGACCTGTCCACGGCAGCGCTGAGAGGGATGGAGGGGACGGGGTGCTGGTGTGAGTCGCTTCAGGGAGTCCGCCCCACACGAAGCCACCTCCCCAGAGGCCACGCCAACAGCACCGCCCCTGCTCCCCTGCTCCCCTGCTCCGACCTAAAGTGAAACCTGAAACCTGGCTGCTTTGCTGCGGTCACCCGGGCACCCAGAGGCCGACCTTTTGGGTCAGGGGAGGGAAGGGAGATGCGGATGGGAGTGGCTCTCCTGCCGAGTCCGGAGGCAGCGGCTGAGGCTCCAGCCCCTCCCTATGTCTGCAGCGTCCGTGTGCCTGGCCCTGCGCCCCTGCCTCAACGGCGGCAAGTGCATCGACGACTGCGTCACGGGCAACCCCTCCTACACCTGCTCCTGCCTCTCGGGCTTCACGGGGCGGAGGTGCCACCTGGGTGAGTGACTGGCCCAGGGCGGGACCACCCGCTGGCTGCGCTGGGCTCAGGAGGAGCACTGTAGGCTCCGCCAGTGGCCCTGGGCGCCCAGGGTCCCAGGTCAGGAGTCTCTGTCCCCAGGGTGTGGGTGACTTGCTTAGGGGACCACTGGGGACCAAAGGCCATGGCCCCCTGGAGTGAGCACCATGGGCGGGTGCAGTTGCTGCCCTCTCTGAGCCAATCTCGGGCTTGCTCCTCCTCCGTCCCCGGCCCAACCCGAGCCCTTAGAGAAAACTCCTCATCCGGGTTCCCGCCGCTGAGGCCTCAGCCTGCCCCATGTTTCAGACGTGAACGAATGTGCCTCCCAGCCCTGTCAGAATGGTGGGACCTGTACTCACGGCATCAACAGTTTCCGCTGCCAGTGCCCGGCTGGCTTTGGGGGACCCACCTGTGAGACAGGTAAGAGGAACCCACCGGGGCCCACGGGGCCCTGCTGGGGGCAGGATAGCGGGAGACACAGCTGGACAAGGCTGAGGTCTTGGAAGGTCCAGCAGCTGTGCATGCTGCAAGGTAGACAGCCCAGAGAAGCCACCCTCGAGGAGTGGAGGAGCCCAGATGCCCAGGGAAAGGCCCATATCTGGGTAGGGGGCAGGAGCCATGACCAGTCACACAGGCTTCCTAGACCATGGCATTCGGACCAGGGATGGGGCCTCAGAACAGGCCAGTGCCCAGGTCCCAAACCAGGCCAGGATCAGGGTCAGACAGGCACCAGAGCCCGGATGGGAGCCCGCTGGGGATGTGGTGGGGCCGTCAGACCCCCTCTCAGCCCAGGACCAGCTTGAGGGGAACGTGAAGTGCTTCTGGGGTCAGATGGGCTGGCTGTGGGGCAGGAAGGGCACAGCCACACGGTCCCTGCCGCTCCCTGCGGCTGCTCCTGGACGCTGTTTCTCTCCTGCCCCTGCCTTCAGGGAAAGGGGGTCTCACAGCCTAGGTGGGGCCTGGAGTCCCTCTCCATCCTCACTGCTGCTACCAAACCTCAGCTTGCCCTCCCAGTTCAGAGCCCAGCTCTTTCGAAGCAGTTGTCATCAGAGTCAGCCTCTACTTACTGCCCTTCCCCCGGCACCTCTTTAGGCCCCTCACCCATGCCCTTCACCCACCTGGTAAAGAAAGGTGGACCCCCCCCCAATTCCTGCTCTCCATCTCACCATAGGGCTCTGCTCAGGGAGCTTTGCAAAGGGAGCCCCTAAAATCAAAGCACCGTGACCTGCTGCTCCCCACCCAGCTCAGCCAGGTGTGCGTGTCCTGTGTGACAGTCGCTTACAAAAACATGTAATAGATTGTTTAGATCAATGCATTCAAATAGTGACTATATCAATATCTCAATCTAGAAAAAAACAATTCTTATCAGATATTTATGGTCATGGGAGGTTTTTTAAAGTACTTCCTTCCTGTGTTTACACATATTGGTATTGGAGAGAGCTATAGTTGAATGGCAGTAAGGGACTTTTGCACCTGAAAGTACATTAGAATGAAGTTCTGCAGGAATGCAATGGAAATGTGACTTCAAGGTCCAAAGCAGTGAAGCACAATTCCCACCTGGCGAGATGGGCTTGCCAGTGTGTTTACAGATCACACATAGGTGACAGCACAGTGACCCCAGTTATCCCTTGCTCCCCGAGCCCTGCCACTGTCTTCCCACAGCCAGTGTCGGAGCAAGCTCCATTCATAGGAGCCTTTCTTCATCCAGAAACTCCTGCCCTGCTTGCCCACGTGCTCTCAACGTGAGACGGGTGGGAGTCGGGCTTCTGTGGCATTGGTGCCGTGGCAGACTCAGCCCTGCAGGCGTCTGTCCCTTGGTAAAGGCCAGGGAGGCTGGCAGGATCTCCTTCCTCTTGCTCAGTGCTCTCCCTGTGCGGTGCTGGCCAGGGGCCTGGCTGCGGGAGGACCCAGGCCTATGATGAGGGTCCCCAAGGGTGACTGGGCAGAGCTTCCCAGGAATGGGCTGCTCCTCGGCTATGCCCCAGGCTCCAGGAGCCCCTCTGTGATGTGCAGCCTGGTGAGGTCCCCTAAGAGGGCTTGAGGCTTGGCGCCAGGAGGCTGGTTCAGGTCTTGGGTCTGCAGCATGTCAGTTGTACGTGTGGCCTCGGACCGTGAGCCTTCACTTTCTCAGTGCAGCTGTGGCACAAGCCTTGGGTACAAGCCTTCCCGCCTCGACCCCCCACAGGGGCTCCCTGATCTTGGAAGCCACCTTGGCCCCCAGAACCCATAACAGCAGGGGCGCCCGCAACTAAAGGCTAGGGTGTGCATGCTCCTCCACCTAGCGGAGTTGGGGTCAGGGAGACAGGGATCACCATGTCCCATCAGCCACCAAAGGGCTTTCACACCTCCTGGGGGAGTAGTCAGGCCCTCCTGTCTCCTTCCTATGCCAAAGAGAGGGCCCCACCATTCCCCCATGACTCCAGGGAGGGACACACGCTTTGGCTATCACTCTTGTTTCTGAGTTTGTTCTGGGTATGAGCTGTCAGTAAGACAGGGGATGTGGTTCTCCTCTGCGTCTGGCTCTGCTGGCCAGGGCAAAGGAGAGACCTGGGATGTGTGGGCCAGGTGCTCTGGACTCAAGGAGGGCCAGCATCCGGTGAGGAGGGAGGGCAGAGGGTGGGCTCCCCTAGCTCACTCCCACTCAGTAACTGGGGGCCAGAGTCCCTTTGCCCTGGCCGTTCCTGCACAGGCCACTGCCTGCCCCACCCAGCCTCTCGCCCCAGGGGCCACTCCTACACCCTGGGTGCTGCACACCCTTCCAGGCTCAGTCACAGCCTGCATCCTTGACCACAGCTCTTCTCACAGTCCACTTGGAATAAGAGCCACCTAGGGAGGGACCATCCCCCAAGAGTGGGAGTGATTTCCATGCACCCCCATTTGCCCCTGCCCAGCATACACACCCATCCCTCCATCCCAGGTTTGCTGAATTAGACCCAGTTCAGACAGAGCTTCGGGTGGCCAGTCAGGACTGCCTGGCCAGGCCTCTTTCTTGCCTGTCGCCCGCTCAGAAACCTGCCTGCCAGGCCCCCCTGCAATGTAAGCCAGTTGGGGGTGGGGCTCAGTGTACGTCCCAGGGGTTTCTGTCCCCTCAGGTAACCATAACTGGGAGTCCATCGTCCTGTCTACACCTCCTCACTCTAGCCCAATCCCCCTGTGACACCAAAGAGTGTCAACATGGTGGCCAGTGCCAGGTGGAGAATGGCTCTGCGGTGTGTGTGTGCCAGGCCGGATACACCGGAGCAGCCTGCGAGATGGGTGAGTGGCCTGGCTTCGGATTGGAGAGGGGCTCCTGCCCGTGGCCAGGTGCTGGGCACAGGGTGGTTGTGGCCTGGCTCAAGCCAAGCCCGCACCTCTGCTGCCCCTCAGATGTGGACGACTGCAGCCCTGACCCCTGCCTGAATGGAGGCTCTTGTGTTGACCTAGTGGGGAATTACACCTGCTTGTGTGCCGAGCCCTTCAAGGGACTTCGCTGTGAGACAGGTAACTGGCCAAGTGCCTGCAGGCCACCATGGCTGATGGTGGCTTTGTGCCGTGAACACCCCCATAGCCACTTTCCCCTTCCTTCCTTGCCATCTGACTCACCTCACACCTGTCTCTGGGGTGGGAGGATGCCTCTGCCCCCTTCCCACTCCCCAGCGCTTCCCGCTCAGCCTGGATCCTAAGCCACCAACTGCAGGGAAAATAGGAAGCAAAAGATGGATGCTGCCTCCAGGGTGCTGTGTGAGGCTGAGCAACCCCTTCCCCTCTCTGGGCCTTGGTTTCCATCTGTGAAATGCCAGGAGGGATGACAAAGTTCACAAGTCTCCTCTTCCAGCCTGGGTGACTCTTGACTTTTTTAACATCTTCCTCTCCTACTCTAGAACCCTCAGCACACAAGGGAAAGTAACGGGAATCAGAAAGAAAACTGACCTTTCACTATTTTCTATTCTATTTTGTGTTGTTTAACTGCTAGTTGTGACTTGTTAGAGGAATTAAAAGGCCAACTGGAGATTGCAGCCTACAGTATAAAAATGGCTTTCGTGTCTGATTGTTGCACCTGCCTCCAGAGGCTCACCCACTGTGCCGACTTCTGTGGACGCACCAGGTGCTGCTTCTCTCCAGGGAGATGCTAAAGACAAACTATTCAGGTTATTTTTAGTTTAAAAAATTCAGGAGGAAATTCTGTTTTACCCGTAAGACACAGAGGGTCATGGGCCCTCCATCAGTCTTTGCCGAGTGCATGGGAGGCCAGGGTGTGTCCTGAGGGGAGGGTGGGGCAGGAGCGGGAGGAGGCAGCCTCACCTATTTGGCTGCTTTAAAGTCACTGTTCCGTGTCACAGCTCACTTTGCCCAGATTGTTATCTAAATATCAATGTATTTCACTAAATTCATGTCAGGAAACGGATAAGTGGTTTCAAAAATTTTTTGCAAATAAACCGTGTTTTCTACAGAATAATGATGCAAGTAGAGTGAATAATAAGAAACAGACTGGCCGGGTGTGGTGGCTTATGCCTGTAATCCCAGCACTTTGGGAGGCTGAGGCGGGCGGATCACTTGAGGTCAGGAGTTCAAGACCAGCCTGGCCAACGTGGTGAAACCCCATCTGTACCAAAAATACAAAAGTTAGCCAGACGTGGTGCTGCATGCCTGTAATCCCAGCTACTCGGGAGGTTGAGGCTGGAGCATTGCTTGAACCCGGGAGGCAGAGGTTGCAGTGAGCTGAGATCGCACCACTGCACTCCACCCTGGGTAACAGAATGAGTGAGACTCTGTCTAAAAAAAAACAAAAGAGGAAGAAGAAAGAAACAACAGACTGACGGTGGTGCTAACGTAATGACTGATTGACTGTATTACAAGGCGCAGATGCTGACAGTCTAATCAGGTCTGACAGGAAGTGGGCCACAAATTGGACACTACAAAAAAGAGTCTCTAGTCTTCTGCTTCTGGCCAACAAGAATTAACTGCTCTTGGAATTTCCCTCTCACCATCAACACCTAGAAAAACAGACAAAATCTGTGAAACCCTTTTCAGCCATTAGACAACAGACAGCACAAGCCTGTCACCCCTGAGAAAAGGGAATCAAATGAGGTGAGCCCTACAATTGCCCCAGATTCTGCCTGGGGCAGTTTCCACTCCACTGTGCTGGGAGGAGGAACTGAGAGTCCAGCAGTCCCTTTGAATTGAGGAGACAAAGATCCTAGTTCAGTGGCTACAGGATGGTGCTCCTGAGGCAGGAGGGAGCATGAGATCAAGAGGAGACCTCCCTGAATTTTGGCTTATTATTATCAGGCTCAGGATGAAATCTGCAAGGCTGGGGAAAGAACCACTAGAAAGCAGTAAGTCAAACACTTCCTGGAGCTCAAACAGGGCTGGGAGTCTATTGCATAGAGTCCTCAGTGGGGTGTCACTTTAGTAGTGCTGAACTAAAGACTAATGTCGACCTGCCCTAACAGATCTTAAAGAAAGCTTAAAAGGATCAAACTGATCCTAAGTCATTGAGCCATGTGCCAGAATAAAATCCTATACTCCTCAACAGGAGTATATCAATAATACAACAGAATCCAGAACTCCAAAATACCCAGTCAAAAATTATCAGGTCTACAAAGAAGTAACATATAACTCACAGTCAGGAGAAAAATAGATCAATAGAAACAGGCACCAGAAATGACAGAATTAGCAGATACAAATGTTTAATTATCTATTATGAATATGCTCCTATAATCAAGATTGTTGAGGGGAAAAAAACCTAATGAGAAGTAGAAGGTATTTTTAAAAACTTGTAGAAATGAAAAATATATCTGAGTTTTTAAAATACACTGAATAGTATTTACAGCAGGTTAGATATTGCAGAAGGAAAGATCAATGAACCTGAAGAGTGAAACAGAAACAATTCAATATGCATCACAGAGAGAATAAGACTAAAAGAAAAAGAAGAGATCTTCAGCAACCTGCAGAACGATATTAGGGTAATAGGATCCACGTATCTGGAGTCTGCGAAGGAGGATGGAGAACAGTATCAAGCAGCCTGGGATCCACGTATTTGGAGTCTGTGAAGGAGGATGAAGAACAGTATCAAGCAGCCTGGGATCCATGTATGTGCAGTCTGCAAAGGAGGATGGAGAACAATATTAAGCAGCCTGGGATCCACGTATTTGGAGTCTGCGAAGGAGGATGGAGATGGGTGTGGAAAGGAGTGTTATAGAAAAAGTATGTGAAGAAATAATACCCAAACATTTTCCACATTTGATGAAAACTAAAACCCACATTTCCAAGAAAAGCATGAAGAAAACCATGCAAAGCCATACCATAATCAAATTGCTGAAAACTAATGATAAAAAACCTCAAAAACAGCCAGAGGAAAAAGCCACATTACATACAGCGAAACAAGAATGAAACAGACTTCTCGTCAAAAACAATGCAAGCCAGGAGACACTGGAGTAACACCTTCAAAGCACTGAAAGAAAAAACCATCAACCTAGTGTACTGTATTACCAGCAAAACTACATTTCAAAAGTTAAGCTGAAATAAAGACTTTTTTACACAAACAAAAATGAAGAGCATTCATCACCAGCATACCTGCATTACAAAAAAATGTTAAAGGAAATTATTTAGTCAGAAGCAAAAAAAAACTGGTACCAAGGGAAAATCTGGATCTACACAAAAGAATGAAGAGTGTTAAAAATGATAAATATGTGGGTTGAAGACTTTTTAATCCCTTTAAAGAAAAATTTTAAAATAATAAAACTTACATGCAGAAATAAAATAGATGACTCCAATAACATAAACCAAGCTGTGCAAACTTTTTCTGTAAAGGGCCAGAAAGTAAATACTTTTGGCTTTGTGAGCCATATGGTCTCTATCACAACTCAACTCTACCATTGTAATGTGAAAGCAGCCAGCCATAGACAATATGTAAATGAATAGGTATGGCTGTGTTCCAATAAAACTGTACTTTTAAAAATTGATGGCAGGCAAGATTTGGTCTGTGGGTTATAGTTTACCAACTCCAATGTAAAAGATAAGAAGAAATGGAAGTATAATATTGTAAGGTCCCTATATTACATAAAGTGGTATATACTGTTTGAAGGTAGGCTGTGTAAGTAAAAGATATACATTGTAAACCCAAAACAAGTGAAAAATAATAATAAAGAATTACAGCTAATAAACCAATTGTGGAGATAGAAATTGAATCCTAAAAATACTCAATCCAGAAGGCAGGAAGAGAGGAAAAAAAGAAAGAAGTGGGACAAGTAAAAGCCGATAGCAAGATGATAGGTTCAGTCTAGTCATATTGGTAGTTACATTAAAATGTAAAATGATTAAACATACAAATAAAAGGCAAAGATTGTCAAATTGAATTGAAAAGCAATACCCAACTATATGCTGTCACAAGAACCCACTCTAAGTATAAAGACACAGGTAATTGTAAAGTAATAGAATGGGTTTCTGGTTCTGAAAAAGATAGAGTAAGCACAGTCTACCCCTGTCTCTCCCCCACTGAATACAGCTACAATCCTGGACAGAATGCATGGAGTAGCTGTCAGAGGACTCTGAAAAGTAAATAGTAGCAGGTGGATTGGGGAAGAAGACCAAGCTTCGAAGTACCACCAAACCAGTGGTGAGTTTACCATTTTTTGTTTTTTGCTTTGGTATCCCCCCAGCCAGGACTCAAAGCCACCTCAAAACCAGAAGTGGGCATCCACACGGACAGAAAGAGTGCTCCAGGAGAAGCCCTCTAGTCCAGCTTAAGAAGCAGGGCTGACAGTGCAGAAGTTGGGGAATCCTCAAGTGCCCTTAAACTGCGAAGGAAGAAACCTTCCTCTCCAGTTGGAGGTGCTGTGGTTTCAAAGGGGTTGGGTATTGTTTTTCCCTTTCCTGTTGTTTTTCCCTTTGTCTGTCATCCCATTACTTGGTCCCAGCCATGAATGCCATCATTATAAAAGTGGCAAGGTAGGGAAATAAAAGCCGCAGCGTTTTTGCCAGAGGACTGAAAAAGGTAGCCCCAGAAAACTGGAAAGTACTGGGGAAACTGGAGGGTGAATCTTGGGACAGCAACTCCATAAAGTTACTTATGAACTCCTGAGCTCCCCCAAGTTGAAGGAATCTGTGTAATCTGATCTAAATTGTATTGACAATACCATTTATAATAGCTCCTCTCAAATTGAAAGACTTTAGTATAAATCTACTAAAACATTAGAGAATTTGCATGCTGAAAAACTACAAAGTGCTGATGAAAGAAATCAAGATCAAGTAAATGGACAGACATACCATGTTCATGGATTAGAAGACTCAACGTAGTAAATATGGCAGTGCTCTCTAAATTGATTTATAGATTTAACATGATTCCAACAGAGGTCTCAGCAGAATCTTTTGTAAATGTAGACAAACTGCTTCTAAAATTTATATGGCAAGAAAAAGAATTTAGAAAACCAAAACAATTTTGATGAAGAATAAATTTTGAGGAATCACACTACTGAGTATTAAGATTTACTGTAAAGCCACAGTGATCAATTCAGTGTGATATTGGCAAAGGGACTGACACATGGATCAATGAAACAGGAGAGGAAATTCAGAATTAAGCCCAAACAAATATAGCCAATTAATTTTTGAAAAAGATTTAAATCCAATGGAGAAATGATAATCTTTTCAACAAATGGGGTTGAAACAATTAAATATCCTTATATGTATAAAAAAAAAACCTCAACTTCAACCTCACACCTTATACAAAGATTAACTCAAAATGGATCATAGACCTAAATGGAAAAACATAAACTATAAGATTTTTAGAAGAAAACATAGGCAAAAAAAAAAAAAATTTATGACCTGGTCTTAAGCAAAGTGTTCTTAGATAAGACAGCAAAAGCATGATTCATTAAAAAGAAAAAGATAAATTAGACTTCATCAAAATTTAAAACTTTTGCTTTGTGAAAGACATGGTTAAAAGAATAAAAAGACAAGCTACAGACCAGGAGAAAACGTTTGCAAAACTCATACCCAACAAAGGACTTGTGATCAGAATACACCAAGAATTCTCAAATCTCAACTGTGAGAAAACAAACAACCCAATTTTAAAAATGGACAAAAGACTTGAACGGATACTTGGCCACAAAAGATACATATATGGAGGTGAATAAACGGATGGAAAAATACTCTTGTCATTAATATCAGCCATTAGTGAAATGCAAATAAAAGCCACTACGAGGAATCACAACAAACTCATTAGAATGCCTAAAAAAAATAATACTGACCTGGTGTAGATACAGAGCAACTGGAACTCTCACACATTTTTAGTGGAAATGCAAAATGGTTCAGCCACTCTAAAAACAGTTTGGCAGGTTTTTTATAAGGTTAAGTATATGCTTATAATATGCCCCAGCAATCCCACTCCTTGTATTAACTCTAAAGAGATGAAAACTTATGTTTACACACAAATCCATATACAGATGTTTATATTATTTCTATTTATAATCACCAAACCCCAAAACTCAAATACCCTTCACTGGGTGAATGGATAGACAAATTGTGGAACCTCTGTATGGTGGAATACTACTCAGTCATAAAAAGGACCAATTATAGATACATACGACAACTTAGATGGATCTCAGGGGAATTATGCTGAGTGAAAGAAGCCAGTCTCAAAGATTATATCCTGTATGGTTCCACTAAATGGCATTCTTCGTAAAACAAAACTATAGTGATGAACAAATCAGTAGTTGCCAGGGACTGAGGGGTAACAGGAGCTCTGTGACTCTGAAGAGATAGACCAAAGAAGTCTTTCAGGGAGATGGAATGTTCTGTATCCTGACTGTGGTGGGGGTTAAACAAATCTATATATGTGTTAAAATTCATAGAGGTGTGGTGAACAAAAGTCAATTTTACTGTATACTGATTTACAAAGACACATTTTGAAAGCACGTGAAGAAACTGAACATCTTTTAAAAACCAAAAAGTAGCTGGCGTGGTGGCTCACCCCTGTAATCCCAGCACTTTGGGAGGCCAAGGCAGGCGGATCACGAGGTCAGGAGATCAAGACCATCCTGGCCAACAGAGTGAAACCCCATCTCTACTAAAAATACAAAAATTAGCTGGGTGTGGTAGCACGTGCTTATAATCCCAGCTACTCGGGAAGCTGAGGCAGGAGAATCACTTGAACCCCAGGGAGTTGGAGGTTGCAGTGAGCCGAGATCGCGCCACTGCACTGCACTCCAGCCTGGCAAGAGAGCGAGACTCTGTCAAAAAAAAAAAAAAAAAAAAAAAGTAAATTAGGTAAACTAATCAAGATAATGCTGCAGTGGCTATATTAATATCGAATAAATTAAACTTTAGAATGGGGAATACTGCTGGGAATTAGGAGGGACCTTTTATAACGATAGAGGGGTCAATTCATCCAGAAGACATAACTCTAGATATACTTGTACCTATTAACACCTATTCACATGAAGCAAAAGCTGACTGAACTGCAAGGAGAAATAGGTCCATAATTATTGGTGGAGATTTCGACACTCCCCTCTCAGTGGTTCATAGAACATGTACACAGGAAATCAGTAAAGCTAGAGGAGACTTGGGCTTGGCCTACTTGGCATTTATAGAGCACTCACGTTATTCTCAAGTGCTCTTGGCCATCATAGGCCATATTGTGAGCCATAAGTAAGGCCCAATACATTGAAAAGGATTGTGTTTTCTGACCATAGCAAAATTAAACTAGAGATCAGCAGAAAGATATCTGGAAAATCCCAAATACTTCACTGATAGGGATGCCTGACCAGAAACGTTTGGAGGCCCCTGGCCCCTGGGTGGTCTCTCTGGTCCTTCTTGTTCTGTCCATTCCTGGGTGGCTTCTCTGGTGCTTCTTGTTCTATCCAATCCTGGGTGGTCTCTCTGGTGTTTCTTGTTCTGTCCATTCCCAGGTGGTTTCTCTGGTGCTTCTTGTTCTGTCCAATCCCGGGTGGCTTCTCTGGTGCTTCTTGTTCTGTCCAATCCTGGGTGGTCTCTCCGGTGCTTCTTGTTCTGTCCAATCCTGGGTGGTCTCTCTGGTGCTTCTTGTTCTGTCCAATCCTGGGTGGTCTCTCTGGTGCTTCTTGTTCTGTCCAATCCTGGGTGGTCTCTCCGGTGCTTCTTGTTCTGTCCAATCCTGGGTGGTCTCTCCGGTGCTTCTTGTTCTGTCCAATCCTGGGTGGTTTCTCTGGTGCTTCTTGTTCTGTCGAGGAAGGAGCTGGGAGATGCTGAGCTCCATGGGGTGCAGCGCAGCTACAAATCCATTTCCAGAAATAAGCTTCTGGCTTAAATTCCACTTGGGAATGACAACAGAGGTGAAAACCCAAAGGTGCCATTGGAGCTGGGCGGGGAGACCACTCTCCCCACATTCCCTGCGTGGCCGCTGGTGACTGCCGTCTTTCTTGCAGGAGACCATCCAGTGCCAGACGCCTGCCTCTCGGCCCCTTGCCACAATGGGGGCACCTGTGTGGATGCGGACCAGGGCTACGTGTGCGAGTGCCCCGAAGGCTTCATGGGCCTGGACTGCAGGGAGAGTGCGTCTGGGCTGCAAGGGCTGCCGTTTTAGGGCTGGGGCAGGAGACCCAGGGAGGGCCTTCCTGTGGGTGCATGCAGGAAACGCCCCGAAAAGAAACGTGTGAGTGCGCGTCCACTGCAATTTGTATGGGAAGTTGGCCAGGAGCAGGGCAGGGTCTGGAGCGAGGGTGCCATCTTTCTGCGCCCCCACATGGGAGGCTCCTCCCTCTCTTCGTGGCAGGAGTCCCCGATGACTGTGAGTGCCGCAACGGAGGCAGATGCCTGGGCGCCAACACCACCCTCTGCCAGTGCCCCCTGGGATTCTTTGGGCTTCTCTGTGAATTTGGTAGGTGCCCAGGTCACCCTTCCTGCCCTGTCCCTGAGCATCCTCATAATCGGGAAATGAATGGTGGCTTCGGCCGGGGTCCGTAGGTCCAGACTGTCGACCATTGGTTCTACCCCCACCCAGGAGGGACTGGCCACAAGAGTGCCTGAACCTGTTGGGGCCACTGGGTCTTGGGAGGCCCCATCCTTGACAAGGACTCGAGGTCTGCTGGAAGACATGTGGAATATGGGATGGGGCTTCCTCCTTTCTCTCTAGAAATCACAGCCATGCCCTGCAACATGAACACACAGTGCCCAGATGGGGGCTACTGCATGGAGCACGGCGGGAGCTACCTCTGCGTCTGCCACACCGACCACAATGCCAGCCACTGTGAGTAGCTCGGGGACGAGCCTGCTGGGCCGGGGGCCCGGACAGAAGCCAGGGAGAAAGCGGTGGATGAGGCAGGCAGAGGCCAGAGTCCCTACTTCCCTTCTGACTCTCGGGAGAGCTGGCACCTGGGGAAGCCTCTCTCAATAGCCTTCCTGTAATATGGGGCTAGACATCTCCTCTTCCCCAGTGGAGTAAGCTCACAGGGGGAAAAGCACTTCTGCAAGTATACAAACACCATGTGGTATCTTACCTAAGCCCCAACACAAGCTATTAAAATATTTAATGCATACATAATTAGGCATGTGTAATGAAATGTATCACTACTATACGTTTGTTAGTGTATAGATGAGATGGTTAATCACTTGCATCACGTATAGTTATATAGAATAATGATGTGATGCTGGCAGTGATGACAGGAAGGCGTTTCTGTATCACAGCTCAGTCCTGCCTCGTAGAAGACGGAAGGGTGAATTCTGCTAAAATCGAGAAAAAGAGAAATTCCAGGGAGGGGCCCTAGAGCCCACTCTGAGGAATCAAGATGCCCACAGAGTGTATTTTCAGTGGCCTTGGTTCCAGACAGGATGTCAGGGTAACCCTGGCAGGCAAGGTGCCCGCCAGCCTCTTGCCGCCCGCACAGATGCGGCGTAAGCTCCAGGACCACCCTCTGTCCCCCGCCCCCAGCCCTGCCATCACCCTGCGACTCGGACCCCTGCTTCAACGGAGGCTCCTGCGATGCCCATGACGACTCCTACACCTGCGAGTGCCCGCGCGGGTTCCACGGCAAGCACTGCGAGAAAGGTATGGCGGGCAGGGGCGTCCGGGCCGGCGTCAGCACCCTGGAGAGCGCCCGCGGTCCGCCGTCCTGCTTCTCTGCTGTCTCTCTCCTTGTTTCGCGAATTGCTGACCTCGTCTAGAGCCTTGCCTGATGTGCTGCTCTGTTCTGTGTATTTAGAGGTGAGCACCTCACTGTTTGGATGGTTCTGATCTGCACCAGTGCCAGGCCTGCTGGTCATTACCTTGCTCTTCTGAAAATAGGCTTCATTGCCTGCTCAGCATTTTTCCAAATAGATTTTAGAATCATTATATCAAATTTTATTTTTAAAATTTCCATAGGATTTTGCTCAATCTAATTCAGCATGGAAAATGTCGAATTTTATTACATTTAGTCGCTTGAGAATAGAAGTGTCCTTCTGTAAGCACACTGCAGGCGTAGCTATCCCCGCCAGGCCCCACCCAGGACTGTCCCTTCTGTGCAGTTTGAAGCAACAGTCAGGACTCCCATCAGTCACCCCCAGACCTGTTCAGCATCTCAGTGGTCAGTGCCCAGAGGGGGCTGCCTGACCGCAGAGTGACCTGGCACCCTCTCCAGGGGCTCAGCCCCAGGCACCCCCGCAGCCTGGACTGGTGTGGAGCCTTCCACGGCCCCTCCCCTGCTCTGTTCCTTGTCCCTGAGGGAAAGACCCTGAAGTCTGAGCCCTGGACCCCGTGGCTCCCCCAACCACTGCAGCAGAGGTAGAACAGGTTTCCAAAGAGAAGACCCCAACTGCTTGGTTCTTTGCAAGCTCTGACGAGGTCTTTGTCTCTCAACACACTCCTAGGACCACCCTGAGGCCCTTCATGGGCCCTGCCCAGAGCTGACTCTGGCCCTACTCCAGCTCACACCTGCCAGTGGTATGAAGTCCACTGTACCCAAGGTGGGGGTCCTACCAGAGCCCACATCTCCTCACTAGACCAGACTGCTGGTACCCAGTGTCCCTGCCCCAAAGGTTCTGTGCCCGCCCCAGGAACTGCACAGCCCTCCCCCAGCATCCCAGCTTCCGTGAGCACACAGGCCACCAATGTGGACACCTCTGACCCCGGAGGGAGTACGGAAGGGACAAGGATGGCTGTCCTCAGGGGTGGGGCAGCCAGAGCTTGGACCTGCAGCGTGGGATGGCTGGCAGGAGAGGAGCGAGCACAGTGGGGCAGGCCCCTCCCGCCACTCAGAACACCCAGGGGTCCAAGGATTCGGCACTCCTCACTGGCCCTTTGACAGTGTGATTGTCAAGGTGGCAGGACAGATGTGCTTGGTTTCGCAGACACCTTTAAATATGTGCTTGCCTCAAGCACAGGCCCGGCCGTCTGAGCTCCTCGGGTTCCAGGAACTGTTAGGACCCAGGGAAAATGTGGCAATGCCAATGCAGGTACAGAACACACAGAAATCCAGATTGACTGCTGGGGACCCTGATGTCACGGCAGATGAGACTCAGCTGCTTCCTGTCAGATGGGGAATGCCCGTGTGCAGGAGGGAGGGAGTGCTGCGCCCGCTGCAGTGTTGGGGCCGGTTCTCCACAGGAAGGGCCCAGCCATTGCCAGAGCCTGGGCAGAAAAGAGGACAGGCAAGCAAAGGGCCCACCTGTGACTGAGTTGGGGTCTCCAGCCTGTGAGCCCCACCCCAGCCCCCACCATGTGTGCGGACCTGCTTGGCCCCTGCTGCAGCCAGGCCCCAGGGCTTCGTCGAGAAGGCCCCACCAGCACCAGAGGACTGAGGAGATGCCAGGAGGGTATAGTGGCTCTGTGGGGCCAGCAGCCTGGCCCCGTTCATCTGCCTCTCTGTCCTTCCACACAGCCCGGCCACACCTGTGCAGCTCAGGGCCCTGCCGGAACGGGGGCACGTGCAAGGAGGCGGGCGGCGAGTACCACTGCAGCTGCCCCTACCGCTTCACTGGGAGGCACTGTGAGATCGGTGCGGCCCCCAGGGGCAGGGGGGAGGGCAGGAACGACGGGCCAGCCCTGAGCTGGGGCCCCTGATGCACCCTCCCTGCCAGCTGTGGGTCTGCTTCTCATGAAGAGGCCCCAGCTCTGGGATGTTGGGGAACGTGGGAGGGGCAGTGGGCTGTGACCCTGACCTGGCTTCTGTTTCCAGGGAAGCCAGACTCGTGTGCCTCTGGCCCCTGTCACAACGGCGGCACCTGCTTCCACTACATTGGCAAATACAAGTGTGACTGTCCCCCAGGCTTCTCCGGGCGGCACTGCGAGATAGGTAAGGTGGGTGGGAGGCCAGGCCAGGGCGGCCAGGGGTGAACCCTCTCTGCAGATGTGAAAACAGGCCCATGGGCAGGGCTGGTCCAGGCCCTGGAGGCGCAGGAGGTGGAGCTGGGTGCAGGAGGCAGGATGCCCCACACAGTCCCGAGCCTTCAGGGAAGACACAGTGGCCAGGACCTTCCTGCATTCTGGCAGCCCCCTCCCCCTGCTTCCGGAGCCCGTGTGTGAATGGGGGCACCTGCGAGGACCGGGACACGGATTTCTTCTGCCACTGCCAAGCAGGGTACATGGGACGCCGGTGCCAGGCAGGTGAGAGGGTCAGGGGGATCAAGCAGGGTACATGGGATACCAGTGCCAGGCAGGTGAGATGGCCAGGGCCCAAGCAGGGTACATGGGATACCAGTGCCAGGCAGGTGAGAGGGCCAGGGGGCCAAGCAGGATATATGGGATACCAGTGCCAGGCAGGTGAGAGGGCCGGGGGGCCAAGCAGGGTACATGGGACACCGGTGCCAGGCAGGTGAGAGGGTCGGCGGGGGGGGGGGGGGTCAAGCAGGGTACATGGGATACCAGTGCCAGGCAGGTGAGAGGGCCGGGGGGCCAAGCAGGGTACATGGGATGCTGGTGTCAGGCAGGTAAGGCCTGGGGGGCCCAAGCAGGGTACATGGGATGCCGGTGTCAGGCAGGTGAGATGGCCGGGGGGCCGAGCAGGGTACATGGGATACCAGTGGCAGGCAGGTGAGAGGGCTAGAGGGGGGTCAAGTGGGGAGCGTGGGATTTCTTGCTAATCCCTGCAGAGCTGGGCAAGGCAGGAATGGGAAGAAGGAAACGTATCACGGCAACCAGGCCCCAGAAGTCGAGGCACCTTTCCCCGGTGAAGGGCAGTGTGGGAGCAGGACATCCCTGGGCCCTGCAGTCGGGTCGGGCAGAGGCAGGGCGGTGGGGAGGGGCCAGGAAGGCACAGGACCGTGCGAGACAGGCTGCCGTGCCTTGCAGAGGTGGACTGCGGCCCCCCGGAGGAGGTGAAGCACGCCACACTGCGCTTCAACGGCACGCGGCTGGGCGCGGTGGCCCTGTATGCATGTGACCGTGGCTACAGCCTGAGCGCCCCCAGCCGCATCCGGGTCTGCCAGCCACACGGTGTCTGGAGTGAGCCTCCCCAGTGCCTTGGTGATTCTGTGGGCCCTTGGGGTGGGGCAGGTGGGGCCCACACCCTCCTCATCCTGGCCATGTGGAGGAGCACAGGGGCTGCAGGCCCAAGCCTGGATGCCCAGCTCTGACCTGGTCCTGCCCCTGCTCCCCTCAGTCTCCTGTCTGTGAATGTGGACCTTGGGGTGACAGTGGTGATGATCACAGTCAACTTTGCTCTGGGGCATTCACTAAAGGCTTCCCCATCCTCAGAGCAGCCCGGAGCAGGAGGTCAAACACCCAAATACCCACTCTGCAGATGCAGCAGCTGAGGCCAAGAGGTAGCCCAGGGGCAGAGTCCTAAAGAGCCAGATACGGATTCAGGACCTACCTCTTACTCCTGGCCCCTTGAAGACTTGTGGAATCAGAACAAGATCCCCCTTCCCCCTGCAGGCATTTGAGGAGTGCTGCTCCAGAGAGCATTGCCACTGAGGTCCCACCCCTGTCTGGCTTGGGAGCTGGGAGTGCACAGCCTAGAGACAAGGCTCCCTCTGACCGAAGCCCCTGGAGAAGTAGGGCCATTAACACCCTGCAGGTGCATCGCATTATGCCAGAGGAGTCCAAACTGTCCATCAGAAAGTCTGTGTGATGTGAGCTAGTTTTTACGAAGCAAGGATTTTAAAACAAGCTTAGGAACAGTGGGTGACAGCACCCAGATTTGAGTGGGGCACATAAGCCCATCCCTGTCCCCCACATGCCCCGCAAAGCCAAGGCCAACCTGCGTGGTCTCAGGCGAAGGGTTCTGGGAACACCTGGCTTCAAGCATCCCTCCTTTCCTTCTGGGATTTCAAGCCCCAGGTGAGCTCCTGACTGTCTTGGAGATGACCCCCCCTCCCAATGCTACTTCCCCACCTATATGTTGCCAGAAGATGAGAAGCCGATATCCTCAGAGAATATGAGCAACCAGCCAGGATATCGAGACACCTGAAAAGTACGATTGCCTCAGAAAACAATAATAAAAGTCCAGAAAATATGTATGATCGGAAGCAGAAGTGTAGAAGACAGACTAACACAGGAGTTCAAGACCAGCAAGGGCAACATAGGGAGACCTCATCTCTACAAAAAAATTTAAAAACTAGCCCGGCGTGGTGGCACATGCCTGTAGTCCCAGCTACTTGGGAGACTGAGGCAGGAGATCACTTGAACCTGGGAGGTCAAGGCTGCAGTGAGCCATGAGCCTGCCACTGTACTCCAGCCTGGGTAGCAGAGCAAGACCCCACCTCATACAAAAAAAGAAAATGGATTAACGGTATAAAATAACCGTGACAAATTTACAAAGTAAACATGGCATTGGCCATCCAAAACAGGATCGATAAATTATTTTAAAAACAGTGGGAATAAGCAGATTAAAAACTATAATAGTTGAAATAACAGACATAATTTATAAATGGATGCAGATGAAGAGTAAGTTAGTGAGTTGAAAGATCAGCTTGAAGAACTCTTCCAGAAAGAAGCAGGGAAAGATAAATAAATAAAAAAGAAAATGTTGGGGCCAGGTGCTGTGGCTCACGCCTGTAATCCCAGCACTTTGGGAGGCCGAGGCAGGTGGATCACCTGAGGTCAGGAGTTCGAGACCAGCCTGGCCAACATAGTGAAACTCCGTCCCTACTTAAAATACAAAAACTAGCCGGGTGTGGTGGCACATGCCTGTAATCCCAGCTACTCAGGAGGCTGAGGCAGGAGAATCGCTTGAGCCTGGGAGGCGGAGGTTGCAGTGAGGTGAGATCGTGCCACTGAACTCCTACTTGGGTGATAGAGTAAGACTCTGTCTCAAAAAAAAAAAAGAAAAAATATTTGTGCTGTAGAGGGTAGAAGGTGTGCTAAAGCTGAGATAATCGGAGCCCAAGAAGAAGAGAAAATGAAAATGTAAAGGATAAGTGGCTAGGGAGTTAAATTCCCAGAGTTCCAGATGAACAGCAGATTAAAAGGGCCCACAGAACGTCAGACAGGAGCAAAGGGGAAACAAACACCAGACACATTATAGTAAAATACGAGAATATCCTAGACAAACAGAAAAAGTTTTAACTTCCAGAGGGAAAATCAGGTCATGTACAAAGGAACAAGAATCAGCTTGACATCAAACTTCTCAACAGCAATATCAGATATAAGACAGTGAATTTTTTTAAATACTGAAGAGATCCATTTGGTTAGGGTGTAGACAGTCACAGAATACCACCACTGTCACTGTAATGTTAAAGGAACATCATGAAGCCTATGAAATCCTATCTTTTCACCTATTAAAGAGTTGAGGAGGCAGAGAAGTTGAGGCTGTTGGCTGCTTTCATCCTCCAGCCAAATTTGTCATGCTGCAGGGGCAAGCACAATGGATTGAAATCAAGAGAAGCCACAGATGCAGAGAGTAAGTTCTCAGCACCTACCAGGTCTCACCCACAGGATCATTACAAATGCATGAGAAGCCAGGGACTGGTCTGTAAAGCAGAGATAGATTTCATAGTCTCACAAGGATTAGATTCCAAGTCCACCTGGAGGGAGAGGCCTGTCCAAATCCTTAAGCGTTTAAAACCAATCTTGAGCTGAAACTACTTAAAACTGCTCTAGCCCCAACCCAGCTCAACTCCTAATGATATCACAGGTCAGCTACTCAGCTTCGCTACCTAGTAGAGAATACAGTATGTTCATCCTAGTGTGAAATTTTCTACTTTGATTTCCACTGTTCTTATACGCACTATGTCTAAGAAGCAAGAAATGATGACACATAATCTAAAGAAGAAACAATCGATAGAAAAAGACCTTATGGATCACCCAAGTGTTGGAATTTAGACAAAGACTTTAAAATTCCATGAAAAATTTTCTTTATGTTAAAGAAAAACGAGAGGCAGAATGATTGAGAGAATAGAAAATTTGAGCAGAGAAAAAAAGTAACAAAATAGAAAATCTAGAACTGAAAATATATCCGAAATGAATAAATTGTTTTATTTGTTATTTATTTTTGTAGAAACAGGATCTCATGGTGTTGCCCAGGTTGGTCTTGAACTCCTGAGCTCAAGAGATCCTCCTGCCTCTGCCTCCCAAGCTGCTGGGATTACAGGCATGAACCACTGTGCCCAGCTGAAATGAATAAATTGGATAGGCTTAACAAAATGGATACAACAAAATGGATACAACAGAAGAAAAAAAACCATAGAACTCAAAGACAGGACAACAAAATTATCTAAACTGCAGATCAGAGAGAAAAAATAATTTAAAAATGAATTAGGAATTCTGAATAAGTGAAATTTTTTTTTTTTTTTTTTGAGACGGAGTCTCGCTCTGTCTTCCAGGCTGGAGTGCAGTGGCACGATCTCGGCTCACTGCAATCTCCGCCTCCTGGGTTCACGCCATTCTCCTGCCTCAGCCTCCCGAGTAGCTGGGACTACAGGCGCCCATCACCACGCCCGGCTAATTTTTTTTTATATTTAGTAGAGACAGGGTTTCACCGTGTTAGCCAGGATGGTCTCGATCTCCTGACCTCGTGATCCACCCGCCTCAGCCTCCCACAGTGCTGGGATTACAGGCATGAGCCACTGCGCCGGGCCAAATAAGTGAATGTTTTAAAAAACAGCATCAGAGATCTGTGGGACAATATCAAACAGGCAAACAAGCACATAATTGAAGTCCCAGAAATAGAGGACAGAATGGGCAAAAGAATATTTGAAGAGATAATAATTGGACATTTTCTAAAAATGAAGAAATACATCAACCCACAAATTCAAAAAGCTCAGCAAATCCCAAACAGTATAAATATTGAAATAGGTTGGGTGCAGTGGCTCACACCTGTAATTCCAGCACTTTGGGAGGCCAAGGTGGGAGGATCACCTGAGGTCAGGAGTTTGAGACCAGCCTGGCCAACATGGTGAAACCCCATCTCTACTAAAAATACAAAAATTAGCTGGGCATGGTGGTGGGCACCTGTAATCTCAGCTACTCAGGAGGCTGAAGCAGTAGAATTGCTTGAACCTCGGAGGCGGAGGTTGCAATGAGCCGAGATTGCGCCATTGCACTCCAGCCTGGGCGACGAGCAAAACTCCATCTCAAAATATATATATATATATATATATATATATATATGCCATACGCAGTGGCTCACACATATAATGGGAGGTCAAGGCAAGACGATCATTTGAGCCCAGCAGTTCAAGACCAGTCTGGGCCACATAGCAAGACCCCAACTCTACAAAAAACTTTAAAAATTAGCCAGGCATGGTGGCATGCTCCTGTAGTCCCAACTACTCAAGAGGCTGAGGTGAGAGGATCACTTGAGCCCAGGAATTCGAGGCTATAGTGAGCTATGATCATGCCACTGCCCTCCAGCCTGGGTGACAGCAAGACCCTGTCTCTAAAAAATTAAAAATTAAGAAATAAACTTAATACCTAAATATCTTTATTCAGTCAAATTGTTATTCAAATGTGAGACCATAAAAAAATATATTCTCATACAAACACAGCTTCAGAGGCTTAGCAAAAAAAAGTGTCCTTTTCTGAAAGAAGTAAGATAATAATAAGATAATAAGATAAACCCAGTTAAGAGAAGGGAGAGTTATCAGATTTCATGGTAAGACTTGTCACTATCCAAAAGGAGAAAAAAGTAATCAGAAGAACATGGCAAATATTAAGATTGGAAAGAATTATGATAGAAAAAATACAAATATGAATGGACTAACTCTCCAGGTGAGAGATTGCCAGATGTGGTATAAAACAAGCTAGCACTCTTAGACATTCCTAAAACATAAGACTATACAAAGAATGAAAGTGAAAGGAAAAAAATAGGTGTATACAAATCAAAGCTGGCGTATTAGCTATATTACTATCAGAAAAAGAAGAGTATAAGACGAAAAGCATCATTAAGAATGAGAGGGTGTCTCTCAATGATAATTGGTTCCGTTCACGAAGAAGATACAATTATTATAAATATTCAAGCATCTAATACAATAATCTCAATATATATAAAGCAAAAATTAAGAAACTGACATTAATACCAATGTTAGAAAAGAAGAAAATTTCAAACTTGATTAATTAAATGTCTGACTTCAGAAGTTAGGAAAAAAAATACGAAATGATGCTGAAAAAAGTAGAAGGAAAGAGGAATAAAGGTAAAAGCCATAATTAATGAAGTAGAGATCCAAGATACAAAAGAAAGGACAAGCCAAAATTAGTTCTTTGAAAAGCCTAATGTAACATGTTTAGTGGATATAGATTACAACAAAATTAATTATGTGCTTATGTATCAGCAACCAACAATTAGAAAATGTAATTATAAAAAAGACAGATACAGAGAAAGATCAATGAAACCAAAAGCTATTTCCTTGAAAAGATCATTAAAATTGGGCCGGGCGCGGTGGCTCATGCCTGTAATCGCAGCACTTTAGGAGGCCGAGGCAGGCACATCACAAGGTCAGGAGATGGATACCATCCTGGCTAACACGGTGAAACCCCGTCTCTACTAAAAATACAAAAAATTAGCTGGGCGAGGTGGCGGGCGCCTGTAGTCCCAGCTACTCAGGAGGCTGAGGCAGGAGAATGGTGTGAACCTGGGAGGCGGAGCTTGCAGTGAGCCAAGATCGCACCACTGCACTCCAGCCTGGGTGACACAGCAAGACTCTGTTTCAAAAAAAAAAAAATCATTAACATTGATAAACCCTAGCTAGACTGATCAGGAAAAAAAGAGAGAAATTAGCAAGATCAAAATAGAAAAGGAGATCCTACCTCGTGTTTACAGTGGAGTCCTTTAAACATTAAAGATCCTGCCAGTACTTAAAGGACAAGAGAACACCTATGAGCAATTTTAGGCCAATGTATCTGACAACTTAGGGGAAATGGATACCCTGAAAGACAAATTACCAGAACTGACACAAGAATAATAGAAAACATATACAGCCTTATATCTGTTACACTTAATTTGTAATTAAAAACCTTCCTCAGAACAGCTGTGTCAGATTGCTTCACGGATGAATTCTACCAAATGTTTAAGAAAGGAATGATACCAACTTTGTACAACCTCTTTTAGAAAGAGCTACATATTTTTTAGAAAATCTAGGAGGGAAGAACACTTCTCATTTGATACCAAACTCAATTGATACCCAACTTATTTGATAACTTCTCAACTCACCTTGATACCAAAACCAGACACAGACACTACAAAATTTGAAGTTACAGACTGGTATCTCTCAAGAACATAGACACAACAATCCAAACAAAATATTACTAAGTCAAGCTCAGTACTATATAAAAGAATGATACAGTCATGACCAAGTGGGATTTTTCTCAAGGACACAGGTTGGTCTAACTTTTAATGTCAATCAATGTACTTCATCATATTAGGAGATGAAAGAGAAAACTATATATCTCAATAGATGCAGGAAATTATTTGACAAATTCAACTGGTATTTAAAATTCTTAGTCAACTAAGAGTAGAAGATAATTTCCTCAACCTGATAAAGGACATCCATTAAAAACCTCAGCTACCAGTGTACTCAGTGGTGAAAGACTCCACCTGGAATCCGTACAAGGCAAGGTGTCCATTCAGTACGTATTCCCAGCATTTTCCTGGAGGCCCTAGACAGTGCCAGATGACAAGAAAAGGAAATAAAAGGAAGGAAAGGAAGAAAGAATTAGAGATCACATGATTGTATGCATAGAAAATCCTAAGGAAATTCTACAAAAGAAGCTATAGAACTAACAAGTGAATTCAACTAGATCCCAGGATACAGGGTCAGTATATAGAACCTGTTGTAGCAGTGAACACTTTGAAATGAAAGTGTTACATTAATAGCATCAAAAACATGATAAATTTTTAAATGCGTAAAAGGAACTATAAACATAAATGTAAAAGCTAAAACTATAAACTTTTTTTTTTTTTTTGAGACAGAATCTCACTCTTGCCCAGGCTGGAGTGCAGTGGCACAATCTCGGCTCACTGCAACCTCCGCCTCCCTGGTTCAAGCGATTCTCCTGCCTCAGTCTCCCAAGTAGCTGGGATTACAGGCACTCACCACCATACCCAGCTAATTTTTGTATTCCTAATAGAGACGGGGTTTCACCATGTTGGCCAGGCTGGTCTTGAACTCCTGACCTCTGGTGATCCACCCGCCTTGGGCTCCCAAAGTGCTGGATTACAGGCGCGAGCCACCATGCCCGTCCCTAACTATAAACTTCTAAAAGAAAGAAATACAAAAGCATATGAGAAAATATTCATGAGAGCTGGAATACAATGGTTTTGTACTTGGAAAAATATTATATTGGTTCTCTATTTTTCATACACTGGAATTAAATCCAGGTGGATTAAAGACCTAAATGTTTCTTTAAAAAAAAACTATACAGGGCCGGGCACATGGCTCATGCCTATAATCCCAGCACTTTGGGAGGCCAAGACAGGAGTTTTGTTTGAGCCCAGCCTGTGCAGCATAGAGAGACCCCCAACTCTACAAAAATAAACTAAAATTAACCAGGCGTAGTGGCATGCACCTGTAGTCCCAGCTACTCAGGAGGCTAGGGTGGGAAGATCACTTGAAACCGGAGTTCAAAGCTGCAGTGAACTGTGATTGCACCGCTGCATTCCAGCTTGGGGGACAGGGTGAGACCCTGTCTCAAAAAAAAACAACCAAAAAAAACTATATAATTTTGTGTGGAAAATATAGGTAAATATATTTTTGACTTTGGGGTAGTGAAAGACTCCTTAAGCCACAAAAAGAATTTAAAAAGAAATGATGAACATACTTGACCATATGAAAATTAGAACCTAAATCCATAAACCTTAAGAAAGTGAAATCTAAACTACAAACTGGGAGAAGAGATAAATAGTCTCAAGACTACATGAAGAACTCTGATAAATCAATGAGAAAACAACCTAATAGGAAAATAGAAAAAAAAACATGCATAGGCATTTCATGGAAGAAGAGATACAAAAGGCCAACAAACATAAAAAGAAATATTCTATTTCATTAGTAATCAGGGAAATGCAAATCAAAAGTGCAATGAGGTACATTCAGCTGGTAAATTTTCAGAAGTCTGAAAAGCCTATACCGGTGAGAATGTGGATCAACAAGATTTCTTATGCATTGCTGGCAAGAGTATAAATTGCTAGAAGCACTTTGAAAACAATGTGGCACTCTGCCTGTTGAGCAATCTGCCCACTGTTGCTCATTTACGTCAACTGTGTTCCAGCAATTGCACTTCTGGGTATAAACCTAAGAAAAACTTCACGTCTGCACCAGGAGATGGGAAAGAATATACACAGCAACATTTTTTGTAAAAGCAAAAAGTCTAGGCTGGGCGTAGACTCATGCCTGTAATCCCAGCACTTTGGGAGGCTGAGGCAGGCGGATCACGAAGTCAGGAGTTCGAGACCAGCCTGGCCAACATAGTGAAACCCCATCTCTACTAAAAATACAAAAATTAGTCGGGCATGGTGGTGGGCGCCTTTAGTCCCAGCTACTCGGGAGGCGGAGGTTGTGGTGAGCCAAGATCATGCCACTGCACTCCAGCCTGGGCAACGAGCGAAACTCCATCCCCCCAAAAAAAAAAAAAGAAAAAAAGAAAACAAAAAAAGGAAAAAGTCTAGAACCAACCCAAAGACCCAGCCAGTGAGAATGGGTGAAGTATGATATAACCACACTGTGTAATGTTATTCAGCAGTGAAAATCTATGAACCACAGTGACCTACAGTGTGGAGTTCTCTTCTTCATATAATGCTGAGAGAAGACAATATATATCATGATGTACTATGAATAAAGTTCATAAACAACAAAAACATTCACTATTGTTTAGGCAATTTATAAAATTTTTAAGCTAATTTTAATTACATATTTTACTGCCAGAAAACCTAGTTTTTAAAGACAAGGAAATTATAAACCCAGAGATTCTTATCGCAAGGGAAGAGAAGGGTACACGGTCGGATGAGCCCATTCAGCATTCTGGCTGCCGGGGTGGCTGCTAGTCCCAGATGTCACTAAGTCATTACCATTTATTTACTTTTTAAGCATGAAATTAAACTTTAAAAAAATAAATATTTAAATTCAGGAGCACAACTCCCGCTTGAAAAGAAAGCTGTGGTGAATCATTTAAAACCAAGATTTGTCCCAGATGGACTGGTTTCACAGGTGACTATTATACATTGAAATGGCAAGATGGGACATGAGACATTTTCTGTCAAACCCCTGAGGCCTTTGTCCTGTCGGCCTGAACCACTGGAATTAAGTCCCACAGCGTCTTCTGGGAGCCCTGGGGTGGTTTCAAGCCCGCCCTGCTGCTTCACAGACACAGCCAGGCACTGAGCCCCAGGCCCACTGCCCTGCCCCGACTCCAAGGATATCCAGCCCTGGTCTCTGGCCTTTCCAACCACTGATGATGTATCATCGAATTCTGTCTGGCCCCTCAGGACTAGTTTATGTGCATCTTAATTTGGCTTAATCGTGGCCACATTGCTTTATTCTTGGGCTCTCTCCTCTCAGAAATCGATGAGTGCCGGTCTCAGCCGTGCCTGCATGGGGGCTCTTGTCAGGACCGCGTTGCTGGGTACCTGTGCCTCTGCAGCACAGGCTATGAGGGCGCCCACTGTGAGCTGGGTAAGAGGGGCCCTGGCCCCGCTGGGGTGACAGCTGCAGCACACTGGCCATGTGCCTGAGGCACTGGGTCCCCCGGACAGGTCTCTGTCTGGATGGCCAGGGTGGCCACTGCATGCTTTCTCGGGCCCCTGCCAGCTCTGACATCCAAGACAAAGATTTTACAAATATCCCTTCCTGCACCTCCCCAGGGGAGACTGAGAGCCCAGCTGAGAAATGCTGGCCTGGCTTCAGGGCGCAGAGAAGGTGGGCGTCGGAGAGGGCAGGTCACAGTCTCTGACACCTGGTCGGTGCTTCCAGCCAGTGGAGGGAGGGGAGGCCTGCCCCATGAGCCCTGCACACTCTTGTACCTCGCTAGGGCTCTAAGCCTGAGAAACGCAGGCTCCAGGGAGGGCAAGGCCCAGGGAGCCGTGCCCAGTCGTGGCCCTGGGGAGCCTCCCATTGCGGAGTGGCCTGGAGGAAGGCATGGCCTGGAGGTGGGGCTTTGCCAGCAGGCAGTGGAGGTGGCACGCCTCCCGAGGAGGGGTGGGTTTGGGGCTGATGGAAGAAAAAGCACATGTCCTGAGTAGTTGCTCCCAGCTGGGAAAGGGGTAACTGAAGCCCCAGGAAATGCACGGAATCCTGGGGGCATGTGGGCGCCTCAGACTTGAGCCAGCAACACCCTTGACACCCCTTCTCTGTGCAGAGAGGGATGAGTGCCGAGCTCACCCGTGCAGAAATGGAGGGTCCTGCAGGAACCTCCCAGGGGCCTATGTCTGCCGGTGCCCTGCAGGCTTCGTTGGAGTCCACTGTGAGACAGGTAGGGGCTCCCTCCAGTGGGCCCCACATGCAGAGCCTGGGCCTCTGGAAGATCAGAGAGGAGGTGGGGCATCCCCACATTCCCTGCTGGGCAGGCCACCTGGGGAGAGGGACCCCCAGGGCTGCGGCCACCTTGGGAGGGAGGGGTGGAGGTGAGGGTGCTGGGGAGGGCTGAGGGGCGGGACCTGCCCACTGCCCCTCTCTCCTGGCCTCCGCCCCTAGACTCCTCCTTTCCCTTCTTCCCGCTGTCCTCTCCTCCCTCCCCCAGACTCCCCCCTTGCAGCTTGGGCCCACTCTCTGGGTGTTCTCCAGAGGTGGACGCCTGCGACTCCAGCCCCTGCCAGCATGGAGGCCGGTGTGAGAGCGGCGGCGGGGCCTACCTGTGCGTCTGCCCAGAGAGCTTCTTCGGCTACCACTGCGAGACAGGTAGGGCGGCAGGCCTGCCTGCTCCCCGCCCTCTGCCCGCCTGCTCCCCGCCCTCTGCCCGCCTGCTGCCCGCCCTCTGCCCGCCTGCTCCCCGCCCTCTGCCCGCCTGCTCCCCGCCCTCTGCCCGCCGCCTTGGAAGTCCCCTTCTCAGGCCAGTGGCCCTCCGCCTGTCTCCCTTGGTCCCACAATGGTGCCTTCTAAACCTCCCCATCTCCTGCGCTCACCCCCCAGACACCCCTCTTCACCCGAGGACACACCCAGGGGTGGGGCCTCACGTCCACACATAGGCCCTGCTGCCCTTGGACAGGCCAAGTTTCTTGCACACCCAGGTCTGGCCCCTGGCTGTCCTTCCATCTGGAACATTCTCCCTAATCAGCCCCCAGTGGGATACCTCCTGATGAGGCTTCCCTGACCACTGACCTCCCCTCCTCAAGCAGGACTGTCACTGGGGTGGTGGCCTGTCCTGTCCTGATCCAGTGTCTCCTCCCCTCAGCCAGTCCGGCTGGTGGCACTCCGCTGTGGAGGGTGGAGGAGCTGCTGGGTTGGGCCCCGCAGGGCAGTGGAGGTGGCAGAACCGAAGGGAGGCAGTAGCTGTCCTGTGCCCCCCGCCCCTCCACACCCACGCAGGAGGGACCCAGTGCCCCAGGAGCAAGGGCGGGGCTGGAGCAGGGACCCCTGGCCACGCCCCAACATACACTGCCACTTTTTCTCCCCTCAGTGAGTGACCCCTGCTTCTCCAGCCCCTGTGGGGGCCGTGGCTATTGCCTGGCCAGCAACGGCTCCCACAGCTGCACCTGCAAAGTGGGCTACACGGGCGAGGACTGCGCCAAAGGTGGGTGGCGAGGGCGCCTCCAGTGAGGGAGCCACGAGGGGGTCCCCTCTCCCTAGAGGGCCCAACGGTCTCCAAGGGCAGAGCGTCTGGCCGCTGCTTGCCCAGGCCCCTTCCCTGAGGAACAGGGAGGGGATAAAATCCCCCGGTGGGCTTGAAACACGGTCACACATTCAAAAGTGTGACCCTCCTGGAGGTACGTGGCCAGGGACAAAGAAGGACTCTGCCAGCGATGGCTGTGTCAGGCCCAAGAGCCAGACCCGGCTGAGCCGCCGACGGGAGCCAGGCATGCATAGCTAACGGCTGACCAGTCCCCTCCCCTTGTTTTGACCCAAACCCTGAAGAGCTCTTCCCACCGACGGCCCTCAAGATGGAGAGAGTGGAGGAGAGTGGGGTCTCTATCTCCTGGAACCCGCCCAATGGTCCAGCCGCCAGGCAGATGCTTGATGGCTACGCGGTCACCTACGTCTCCTCCGACGGCTCCTACCGCCGCACAGACTTTGTGGACAGGACCCGCTCCTCGCACCAGCTCCAGGCCCTGGCGGCCGGCAGGGCCTACAACATCTCCGTCTTCTCAGTGAAGCGAAACAGTAACAACAAGAATGACATCAGCAGGCCTGCCGTGCTGCTGGCCCGCACGCGTGAGTGTCCCCGAGCCTGGCCGTCCCTGCCCAGCCCCTGCCCCTCGAGGGCAGCGCTGGCCCCGGCACCTGCAGGGCGGCTGTCATGCCGTCCACCCTCCTAGTTCTTGCAGCAGCAAGACAGACAGCTGAGCTGGGGGTTGGAGGCACCGCCCTGCTGGAGACAGAGCTGTGTGGGAGTGGCCTTGGGTCCACAAGATACAGGCATGGGATTGGGGCGCATAGAATCGAGCCAAGAGTGGGAGCAGCACAACCCCCAGGCATGGAGCTAGGAAGTGGGACTGGGGAGGAATGGGGGCTTCCCAAAAGGGTCCCTAGAAGGAGCCAGTGTGGGAGACAGGGGCCGCGGGGGTGGGCTTGGGGGGGCTGGGACTCTGGGGTGCTCTGAAGGCCTGGGGAGAGTTTGAAAGAGGCACCTGCTCACAGGGATATGTAGGCGCTGAGGTGTGCTAAGGGGAGGCATCGGTGGCTCAATCGGGAAGAGCCGTGGGGCAGGCCCTAGATGGAATGACAGACCCAGAGCCTCCACCTGGAGCTGGCACTGAAAGCTGTGACCAGATGTGACCCCTGAAGAGGGGGTCCTAGGAGGAGCCTCCTCAGAGCCTGAGCCACCAAGATTGCAGGGGAGGCCCGGGTTGTGCACAGCCTGTGGGGTTGTTGCCGTGTCGGGGAGCAGAAGATGCTGAGCGCTCTAGGGAAGGCGTCAGGGCTTAGCGGGCTTGTGTGCTGCTGGGAGGGATTCTGGGAAGGAGAAAGGAGCCCTAGAACATGGCAGTGGACGGACAGGGGCAGGGCCGGAAGAAAGCAGAGGGCTGGCCTTCCACGGAGCCCGGCCGCATCAGCTAGAGCACAGGGGATCTCGGAACAGGCTGGGCAGGAACCAAGTGGGGTGCAGGGCCATGGGGCCATGGGACTCTCACCCAACATGCCTGTGGCCTCCAGACACAGGAGCAAGAATGGGGAAGGGGTGCTAGAGGCTCGAGGAAAGAGGAAAAGGTGCTGAGAGCACAGACTGCTGCGAAGTGGCGTGATGGATGGATGGGTGGGTGGGTGGCCAGGGCTTCAGGGAGGCCTAAGCATCCAGCAGGGCCCTGCGGGGCGGCCACGTGAGTTTGGTGAAACCTATGGGTAGCATGGCGGGTAGGTGGGGAGGAGCTCGGCGGTTCTCACAGGAGGAAAGCCTCCTGGCCACACCTGGGCCCTAGCTTGATGCCAATGCCAAGGGCATTGAGGGACAGGAGAAGGCATTCAAGGCAGCTTGAGCCCACCCAGAGGCCCACAAGGGCCTGTCCTGCAGGAGTTGACCACCAAGGGGCTGGAGTTCCCAACACAGCAAGGACACAGAGCACACCTCGGCCAGTGGAGAGCCTGGGCGCATGTGCGGGTGGCACTGAGCAGGTGTCAGCAGGAGCTGCCAGGGGCTGAGTAGGGGTGGCTCGCCTGGGCTGTTTTAGGAAGAAGCACCTGCAAGGCCGCCCCATGTGAGATCTGCCCTCGGAAGGTATCTGGAGTGAAGACAGAGCCCGCCCTGCCCGCTGCAGAGTTGGGGCTCCAGCCAGCCATGGTGGGTGGAAGGGACCGCTGTCCACAGACCGGGGTGCTGAGTTGCCGGGAGCTGAGCGCTGCCCTCTGGGCTCTGCCTGGTGCATCAGCAGTGGCACTGGAGCTTCGGAGGAGACTGGCTGGGCGGGAAGCGGAGCTCACAAGTGGCCCCTTCCCTGCAGTTGCTGGGAGTTCTGTATGTCTGTCCTCCTAAGACAGCGTTGCCCAGACCAGGCCCGGATGTGTGCTCTTAGACCAAAATAGTCAACTGGCACAGAAAAGGGGAGGTCCGGGTTACTCATGTCCAGAGGGACTCCGGCCCATCCCCTGCCATGTCACTGCCACATCTAAATGGAGACTAAGACCCCTGCCTCTGGTAAGACGGGCTGGCCCACAGCGGGCTCTGCAGCCGTCATGCTCACAGCGGGTTCTGCAGCTGTCAGCCCTGGAGGCCAGAGCCTGGGCATCCCACTCAGCCCGAGTTCCCTGAGCAGTTGATGGGACACCCTCTCCAGTGCCTCTCTGTGGCCCCCAGCACCCTCCCAAGCCTGGTTTCATCTTGAGCCCCTGCACTCCCCCAGGAGCAAGGAGGGGCCGGCACCTGCTGAACAGTCCATTCCCCCTAGGACCCCGCCCTGTGGAAGGCTTCGAGGTCACCAATGTGACGGCTAGCACCATCTCAGTGCAGTGGGCCCTGCACAGGATCCGCCATGCCACCGTCAGTGGGGTCCGTGTGTCCATCCGCCACCCTGAGGCCCTCAGGGACCAGGCCACCGATGTGGACAGGAGTGTGGACAGGTTCACCTTTAGGTAAGAAGGGACACCCAGAGCATGGGGCTGGGGTGAAGGCAGGGGTGGGGGCTCGGGGACACGGGGCCCAGGTCTCGGGCACATTCTCCGTGTGTGGACTGTACCACCTGCCGCTCCTCACCTGAGCGGAGACAAAGGTCTCAGGTGAGCCAGCCTCAGACCCTGGAGGCTTCACTCCCGCCTCACCTCATCAGGGCTGCCAAGAGAGGATACACCTTGGTAGTGTTTTAAAGTGTCCAAAAAGAGCAGGAAAAGCTCAGAAAATCCGGGGGCACACTTTCCACACAGATCATGAGAGTGACTTGGCCCCTCAGAGAGCAGCGGCCAGCGAGGGTAGATGGTAGCAGCCCCGAGCTCTCCCAGGAGTCCCACAGTGGACCCCTCAGAGAGCAGCGGCCAGCGAGGGTAGATGGTAGCAGCCCCGAGCTCTCCCAGGAGTCCCACAGTGGACCCCTGTGATTTGGTCGCCAACCAAAGAGAAAGCTTCCGAATCGTGCTCAGCGCAGGCAGGGGTGCAGGAAAAGATCGGAGAGCGAGTGGGAAGGAAGACTCCAGCCAGCAGCTTCCTGGGGCTGGGGTGGCATTGGCCTCACGTTGTCCTGTGGTTTCCTGAGAATTTACATCAACTCACCTGTGCTGAGGGCCCGTCCCCCATCCCTGCACAGTGACCACTTCCCCCTTCTCTGGCCTCTCCCAGCTGAACACCGGCCCTCTGACCATACTGTAGCAGCCCCAAGCGCACCCGATCCTCCTCCGCTGCCCGGACTATGGGTTGGCTTCCCGCCCTAGGAGCACACGGCTCTGAGGGCCATGAGTCTGCCCCTCGTGGAGGTTGCCTGGGCCACCAGCAGCAGGATGACCTCCCCGCAGTCACCTCCTGCCTGGGGGAGCTGCGGTCTGGCAGCAGAGTCACACACAGGTCCCAGACATCCCTGTTCTCTCTTTGTCACCTCCTGCCCACAGGGCCCTGCTGCCTGGGAAGAGGTACACCATCCAGCTGACCACCCTCAGTGGGCTCAGGGGAGAGGAGCACCCCACAGAGAGCCTGGCCACCGCGCCGACGCACGTGTGGACCCGTGAGTAGAGCAGCGCGGCCCCCGGCACACGAAAGGCCGTCTTCTAGAAGCTCTGGCTTCCTTCCAGCCTCCCCTAGTCCTCTCCAAAGCGTCCACAACACCAGAAACCCAGCCCCTGGCCTCCCAGATGTCTCTTCCGCTGGGGCCACTGGGCAGGAGCCGCTGGGCTGGGCTGGGCCCTTGTGCTGGGACAGCTGTCCAGGGCAGTCTCCATCTCTAAAGGCTCCTGGTAGCTCCTCAGCATGGAGTTCCTACTGGACACCGACCAGAGGGCCAGAGGACCTCACTGGGCCAGGGATACCCATGCTATCCAGGGCCCTTGTACCTTGCAACCAGCCCCCTCTAGCTAAGCTCCCTAAGTTCCTGGTGTCACTAGGCCCACACCCCCTCCCCAGTGCATGGGAGGGGTGACAGCATGGACAGTCAGCGCGCAGGGGAGGGACAGGTGAACTGGGCAGAGGGGAGGCTGCAGCTCCCTCTGTGAGGAACAGAGGCTTAAGCAGACCCCTGCCCACCTGTGCACTCAGATGCTGCCCGCCTGGCATGGGAAAGGCTGGTGGGGCAGGGGAGTCTGCACAGGGCTCCACGCAGCCAGGCTCAGGGGAACCGACTGTGCCGCAGGGAGGGCGCCAGCTGACGGGCCAGGGCCTGGGGGCTTCACAGGGTGGATCCTAACCCGAGGGGAGGGTGGCAACCAGGGGCCTGCAGGTCTCTCGGTTGGAAGATTGTGCTGTACGTGCCAGCCCACACCCCGCCTCGGCACTGTACCATTCTCCATAATAAAGAATCTGGCTTCCAGCAAGGCTGCGGCAGCCCATGTCCGGTTCTCAAACCGTGTTCTTGCCAGAAGACCCTGTGGGCACCCCCTCACCTCTCCCTGCTCCTGCCTCATCCAGGGCCCCTGCCTCCAGCAAACCTGACCGCCGCCCGAGTCACTGCCACCTCTGCCCACGTGGTCTGGGATGCCCCGACTCCAGGCAGCTTGCTGGAGGCTTATGTCATCAATGTGACCACCAGCCAGAGCACCAAGAGCCGCTATGTCCCCAACGGGAAGCTGGCGTCCTACACGGTGCGCGACCTGCTGCCGGGACGGCGGTACCAGCTCTCTGTGATAGCAGTGCAGAGCACGGAGCTCGGGCCGCAGCACAGCGAGCCCGCCCACCTCTACATCATCACCTGTGAGTGCCGTGGGCCCTGCGCGTGGGCGGGGCCAGTGTTTGCCAGCCCTCCACCCTGTTCAGGACTGACCTGGCCCTGCAGGGGCCTGGGATGCCAGGCAGACAGCCTAGAAACAGGACCGTGTTAGCAGGGGAGGAGTCTGTGTATGAAAGTGGAGGCTTTTCAAACCCACAAGGAAAGGAAGGACTCATGGGCAGGTGGCACCAACAACTGGAATAATAAGCACATTGAGCCTCAGTTTGTGCCGGACCCTCCCGTAGATCCCAGACAGGCCGAGCATCACCTGAAAACGGGTGCCGAGGGTGGCAGCGAGGAGGAAGCCCCCGGAAGTGGCCTGCATTGCAGCCCAGGCCTGACCCACGAAGAGCCACTGGACACAGACAGACAAAGGGCCAGGAGGCCACAGGCAGGGGCCTGCAAGGCAGGCAGGAATGCTGGGGAGCAGAGGCACAGGGCAGAAGCCGCTCGGAGTGGGGACAGATGCTCCGAAGGGCTCAGGTCTGCTCCCAAGTGCAGGGGTGGCCCTTCCAGGCTCCACCAGGGTCCCGAACGCCCCACTTAGGTCTTCCAAGTTCACAGAAGGAGCAGTGGGAAAATGCAGGAGCAGAACAGGGAGAGAAGAAAGAGACGGAGACAAGCAGGGAGGAGAGGCCACGGCGGGACAGAGCAGAGCAGTGCGCGGCTCCCCAGGGAAGAGAGGGCTCTGACCCCAGGCTCCTCCCCAACCCGTGAGGCTGTGCTGGGGACACGAAGTGCATAAGCTTGCCGAGTTCTCAGACCCAACCCTGCCACCCCCACCAGCTTGGGGCCAAGCCCACCAGCCAGGCAGAAGGGGCAGGCTGGGACCTCTGTGAGCCGGCGTCAGAGTGAGAGGGAGAGGGAAGGGGAAGGAGGGCCCAGCCTGGGAGGCTGAAGGACGCTGTTAGGGTGACAGATGCACCCTCACTCTCAGGGCACATGCTGGGGTGGGGACTCCCAGCTGAAGCGTCCCATCAGGAGGCCACTGGGGAGAAGCACTGTGTCTCCAGGGCAGCCTGGGACCTGAGTCCGAGCCCGAGTGCCCAGCCCCTTGAGAACTTGAGTGACGGGCAGGGGCCTAGACTCAGCCCTGCCTCATGACTCCCAGGCCAGTGCACGCCTGTGTCATGGCTGCGCATGGCTCCTCCTCAGAAGGGATGCGGCGGGTGGGCTGGAAGGGAACCCAGGGCATCTGGGGAAGCCACAAGCACCTTGGATGACCACGGCCCACGCACATGCCCCCCTTCCCTTCTCCAAGCACGGCTGAGTGTGAGGGGCACCACCCATGCCACAGGGGCAGGGACAGGAGCAGAGGGCAGCCCCAGACCAGCCCCTTCCTCCTGCCTGCTCTGCAGCCCCCAGGGATGGCGCTGACAGACGCTGGCACCAGGGAGGACACCACCCTCGGGTGCTCAAGAACAGACCGCCCCCGGCGCGCCTGCCGGAGCTGCGCCTGCTCAATGACCACAGCGCCCCCGAGACCCCCACCCAGCCCCCCAGGTACATGCCCCACCCATCGGCCCCATCGCCCGAGGCGGCGCTCGGACTGTGGTGACCCTCCCACCCTCTCTGCAGGTTCTCGGAGCTTGTGGACGGCAGAGGAAGAGTGAGCGCCAGGTTCGGTGGCTCACCCAGCAAAGCAGCCACCGTGAGATCACGTGAGTGCCAGGGCCTCCCCACCCACCTTGGTGGCCCACCCTCGTCCTCACTGCCACTCTCACCAGGTCCTGTCCCCTACATGATGAGCCCACCCCCACCGCCAGCGCAGTCTCCAGCCAGTGACCCCCACCCCGACTGTGCACAAGGCGCGGGGCTCGTGGGCCGCCGGCAGCATGCACCTCCATGGCAGGAGGGGCAGCTCGTGAGGGCCTCACGTCAGTGTGTGGGCTGGAGGCGCAGGCTGCTGGTAGGGCACGCAAGAGAAGATAAACATTTTAGAAGCAGGTCTGAGACATTACAGCAGCTTTATTTGCCAAAGTAGGGCTCTGAGCTTTGTTTTAGTAAACCATGGGCAGGAGGCCATGAGGGTCTAACCCGCCACTCCGAGTGTGGTCCGGCAAATCCTCCGCCACTGTCCTGGCAAGATCTTCCCGGTGGCAGCAAGGCTGATGGGCCCAGGTGCCTTGGGCCCTTCCCACCGGGTTTACTGGGTGAGTGCCGCTCTGGGAATCTGCCTGTGATTCTGACACAGAAGCCCTGAGACATGTTGGCAGGAGTGAGGCAGGCGCGACCCTGCCCCAGAGGGGACCTCTCTGGCCCTTGCCTCTCACCTGGAAGGCCAGGTGGTCATCCTCATGGAACTCCCCAACAGAGCCTAGTCACCAGTTTAATGAACACGCTCTGAGCAAAAACTCCTCAGGCAGAGGAGGGAGGGAAATGCAGCAAGGAGAGTGGCAAGCAGGGACCAGAGCCCTGGGGTCCCTGCCGCACGGTGAGCAGGGGAGAGAGCCCCCAGCAAGGTGTCTGAGGAGAGGGCAGGCAGCTGCCCGGGATGCCCAGTGGTGGGCAGGTGAGATCTGGAGTACAGAGGGGGGCCCGTTGTACTTGCAGCTATGGAAGCGGATATGAAGTGCCCGAGGGTGCGGTTGAGATCCCTGCATAAGAAGTGATGCAGTTGGGGGCGAGGGCATGAGGAAGGTCAGTACAGACTGAGGGCAGCTCAGAAAGAGCAGGGGGTGCCACAGCCTCCAAGAAGCAGGGGTGGAAGGAGAGGAATGCAGAATTTGACCCTAAGAAGAAAGCAACCGCATCAGCCGTGAGGATGGGGCCTCTCAGCATGATCAGTGGTGGCTGTCCCTGAAGCAGCTCTGAGGGGGCCCTGCAAGGGGAAGGCCGAGCCCCTCCAGAGGGTCAGCAGGAGGGTGAGGCCAGCCCTTCAGGGGAGGCAGCTCTGGGGCCGACAGGTGCTGGGGCCACGCAGGGAGCCTGGTCCCCACCAGGGACATCCGTGCTCCCTGAGATATAGAAGCACTCAAAAGGGTGGCCCCAGGACCATCCCGGGTGCAAAGCAGCTGCGCCGTGTGGTCACCGCCTGGCTTCTCCTAGAACCCACAGCCTCGGCGCAGCTCGAGAACATGGAGGAAGCCCCCAAGCGGGTCAGCCTGGCCCTCCAGCTCCCTGAACACGGCAGCAAGGACATCGGAAGTGAGTCAGCAGCGCTGGTGGGGACTTTGGGACTGACTGACTGCTCTCAGGGGCCTTAGAGGCTGCAGGCAGGAGGGACCACCCACGGTGAGGAATCAGGAGGCACAGAGCCTACCTGAGGGGAGGCTGAGCACCAGGCACCCCGGTGTGGGAAGATGGGGTGAAGCTACACCACCCAAGCAGTGGGACCCCACAGACGGGAACAGGCCAGGGGGCAGGACCCACCCAAACCACCCAGAGTCTGAGCTAGAGAGACTGGCTTTGATGCTGCCTCCCCTCCCCTCTCCTCCTTCGCCTCCACATGCAGCAGAGCCCACCCCAGCCCCTGCCTCTGGGCCCCTCACCCCTCACTTCTCCAAAGAGGAGCAGGCGGAGTCAGGATGGGAGAAGCAGAGGGAGCAGCCACTGGGCGAGCCCCAGCTTGAGGACTAGCTGGGCCCTGTGGACACTCAGGTTATGCAGGACCTGAACTGTCTCCTAGTCCGGGGCTCTGCCTCGTGAGGATCGAGGCCAGCACGTCCCTGCAGGGCACCAAGCATCTGCTGAGCACCTGCAGTAAGAGTTCCCAGACGCTCACGAGGCAGTTCCCCTTCGGGCAGCACCAATACATGTGTGTTCCTCACCCTGAGTCAGACTCTACCTTTCTCCTGGTTCTAATCCTTTGGGGCTGTGTCCTCTATGGACAGCTCTCCTAGCACCCGGTGACCTGTTCTCCCCTGAGTCATACCATAGACTCAGATTGGGATCACCCCTCAACCCAACCCCAAAGAAGTCCTAGTACTTGGTAAAGGTGTGAGCTGCTGAGCGTGGTCTCACCCGCAAGGCCTTGCCCCCAGCTTCTCAAGGACATGTGTACACATCAAGGGCACCTGCGGTGGGGTGTGTTTGCAAGTGGCGGTTTCGCTGAACCCTAAGTTCACCATCCCCCCCCCGCCCTCACCATACAAGGTCTGGACTTGCTGCTAGCCCCTGTGAGCACCAGGAGGACTGGTTTGTGCATCCGACGCAGAGAGTGAAGGATTCTCTTAATTCAGGTGTGGCCCATTCAGAGTGAAGACTCTCGTGTTGATCTTTAAGTGAACTAAAACAAACATTTCATCAGATGATTTGCATTATGTCAGCCCCTTTAAATACCAGGTGTTCATTTCCTAGAACTCAGAGATTGGAGGGGCGTGTGTTACCCTCCTGGGTCTCTTCAGCAGGAGAGATTCAAGATGACCCCCGGGCTGGCCCTGAGGTCACCACGGTCATGTGGTGTTTGCCAGCACGAGATGCTCATGCCCTGGTGGGTGCAAAATGATTTTAAGTGATAACATGAAAAGTAGACTCTTTAATGGCCCCTCGATGCGCAAAGCCAGTCATGATCTTTGGTTCATGTTGCACTCTCACGCTAGCTACCTTTTATTTAGTTATTAGCCTTTGAATAATGACTAAATCAAGAACCCAACCTATAAACTTGGATGTGAACGATACCTTCTATCTTGCCATCATACTCCCTGTTCTCTCCCCTCAGTTAACCATGATCCTGAACTTTGTGCCTAGAATTCCTTTGTTTTTTCAGAGTGGAAGGTGCGGGGAGTGATTCTATGGTACATATATGTATGGCAGAACAATAAGTGAGTTTTCTTTGCAAGATAATTATCTTGCCATGTGTGATCGTTAGACCTGTGTTTTCACTCCGCATTCTCGGACTGAGGTTGGCCCATGCGGTCTGGGCGGCTGCGGCTTATTCACACCTACTATTGAGCACAGAGTCCACTGAGTGAACTGACCGGCTCTTCTCCCCTCTCTGTGCAGAGAACATGTAGGTTGTGTTTGGTATGAGCAGTGCTGCAGTGGATGTTCCTGTACAGGTTTTCCAGTACGTGTGCGGGAGTGGAAAAGCTGGATCTAGGATGAGGATGTGTGAATGCCCAAATTACATGAGAACTAAGTCATTTTCTAAGAGGCGATAGCAGTCTGCGCTCCCTCCAGCAGTGATGAAGACATGCAGTGAATCCAGTCTCTCTAGAACTAGGTTTTGCCGGGTTTGCAGATCCTACAGGCAGAACGGGTGGGATGCACACCCCTGGGATCTGGGTTTGCATCTCCTGGGCACTGATGTGACTGCGCCTCTCCTCATGGGCATCCACCAAAGGTGTTTGCTTCTGTGAAATGCCTGATCACGCCTTTTGACTTTATGTTGGGTTATTTGTACTCTTTTTATTCATTTGTCAAAATTCTTATATGTTTTGATACTGATCCTTTGTCAGGTCTGTGTTCTGCAGGTATCTTCCTCCAGCCTCTGGCTTGTCCTTCCCTGTTCTTGGTGGTACTTCCTAATAGAGAAAAGTTCATAATCAAATTTATCAAGCATTAGTGGTTAACAAGTTGGGAGCCTTCTTTAAAAAATATCCTTCCCCACACCAAAGTTAGAAAGTTATTCATGTATATTTTTTTCACAAAGATGTAAAGTTTTGCTTTTGACCTGTAGGTCATTAATCTGTTAGACTGTGTGTGTGTGAGAAGTTGGGCTACAATTTCATTTTTTATGCATATGGGTAAACTGGATTTTTCATCTCTTCATGCTAAAAAGTCCCTTTTTCCCCCACTGTCAGTATCAAAATTCCACATATAAAAGTAGAATTCTGGCGGCGTCAATTTGATACATCTGTGCCAATACTGCCCTGTGTTCACTCTAACTTTGTAAGTCCTGGAACTGATTGGCAAAGTTCCTTTCCTTTACTCTTCATCTTCAGAAGTATCATTGCTACCCTTGGCCTTTTTTCTTCCACATATACACCTTCAAATCTAGTCACACTCTATGGAAAAGGCCTTTGAGATAATGATGACTGGGTGTGCATTCAATCCATTGACCATTTTTGTGAAAATTGACATCTTTAGGATAGTAAGTCTATATCCATGGACATGGGATGTCTCTCCATATATGACATTATGACTTATTTAATATCTTTCAGTAAAGTTTTATATGGAATTCAGACTTATTCCTAGGTATTTTATAGTTTGATACTATTATATAGTTTGATACTAGTATATACTTTAAAAGTTACTTTTCCTGATTATTTATTACTGGAGTATAGATATTTATTTGACCTTTGCATACTGACCTTATAGCCAACCATCTTGCCAAACTCTCCTATTCTTGTCATACATTCTTTGGGGTTTTCTATATATATATAAAATCATATCCTTTTAAAGATTAATTGTTTGCCTTTTAAAACTCAGACCTGCTCACACCTGTAATCCCAGCACTTTGGGAGGCCTAGGCAGGTGAATCACTTGAGGCCAGGAAGGAGTTCAAGACTAGCCTGGCCAACATGGTGAAACCTGTTGGTGTGGTAATGGGTTAAGGATAGGCATTTAGATCAGTGGAAAAGAACTGAGAGTCCAGGGCCGGGCGCGGGGGCTCACGCCTGTAATCCGTGGAAAAGAACTGAGAGTCCAGGGCCGGGCGCAGTGGCTCAGGCCTGTAATCCCAGCACTTTGGGAGGCCGAGGCGGGCGGATCACCAGGTCAGGAGATCGAGACCATGGTGAAACCCCGTCTCTACTAAAAATACAAAAAATTAGCTGGGCATGGTGGCGGGCGCCTGTGGTCCCAGCTACTCCGGAGGCTGAGGCAGGAGAATGGCGTGAACCCGGGAGGTGGAGCTTGCAGTGAGCTGAGATTGCGCCACTGCACTCCAGCCTGGGCGACAGAGCGAGACTCCGTCTCAAAAAAAAAAAAAAAGAATTGAGAGTCTGGAAATAAACCACACGTCAATGGCCAACTGACTTCTACAAGGGGGCTGAAACCATTCAATGTGGAAAGAATAGTCTCAGCAAATGGTGCTGGGACAGCTGGATATCCACATGCAAAAAGAATGAGGCCGGAGCCCTCGTACCATATACCTCATAACACAAATTACCACAAATTGACCAACAACCTAAATGTTAGGAGCTAAAACCAAAACTCTTAGAAGAAAACATAGGAGTAAATCTTCATGACCTTCGATCATGAGGGTCCTTAGGCTCAACAATAAAAGTATGAGCAACAACAAAAATCTATATATAAACTACTCTTCATCAAAACTTAAAACTTCTGTGCCTCAAAGGATGCCATCAAGGAAGTGACATGACAACCTGTGGAGTGGAGGAAACATGCAAATCATACCTGATCAGAGACCCGCGTCTAAAATAAAGAGCTCTGACAACTGAACAATAAAAAGACAAACAACCCAGTTCAGACATGGGCAAATCATACCTGATCAGAGACCCATATCTAAAATAAAGAGCTCTGACAACTAAACAATAAAAAGACAACCCAATTCAGACAGGGGCAAAGGACCTAAAAAGACATTTCTGCAAGGAAGATATGCAAATGGCCAGTAATCACACCGAAAAGATCCTTGACATCATTAGTCAGCAGGGAAATGCACATCAAAACCACTAGGATGGCGGGAATTAAAAAGTCAGATAATAATAAGCATTGGTGAGGACGTGGAGAGATCAGAACCCTCTACGCTGCTGGTGGGACTGTAAAGTGGTACAGCTGCTCTGGAAAACAGTCTGGCAGTTCCTTAAAGGATTAAACCAATAGTTACCGCATGACCCAGTAATTGCACTCCTAGGTATATACCCAAGAGAAATGAAAACCTATGTCCACATGAGGTCCTGTACACAAATATTTATAGCAGCACAGCACAAAAGCCAGAAAGTAGAAACCACCAAAGTGTCAATCAACTAACGAAAGGAAAAGTGGCCGGGCGCGGTGGCTCACGCCTGTAATCCCAGCACTTTGGGAGGCCGAGGCGGGCAGATCACCAGGTCAGGCGTTCGAGACAAGTCTGGCCAACGCGGTGAAACCCCGTCTCTACTAAAAATACAAAAATTAGCTGGGCGTGGTGGCGGGCGCCTGTAGTCCCAGCTCCTCAGGAGGCTGAGGCAGGAGAATCGCTTGAACCCGGGAGGTGGAGTTTGCAGTGAGGTGAGATCGCGCCACTGCACTGCAGCCTGGGAGACAGAACTAGACTCCGTCTCAAAAAAAAAAAAAAAAGAAAGAAAGAAAAGAAAGGATAAGCAAAACATGGTATATCCACTCAATGGAACACGATTCAACCATAAAACAAGGACGCATGCTGCATGCTACAACATGGATGAATCTTGAAAACATGCTAAGTGGAAGAAGCCAGACACAGAAGACTCTATGTACTATGATTCCATTCATATGAAAGTCCAGCAGAGGGAGCTCTCTAGTGACAGAAAGTACATTAGCGGTTGCTCAGGACTGGAGGGTGGAGGGGATGGGGAAGGCAGTAACAGCTAAAAGGTACAAGGTTTCTTTCTGAGGTCACGAAAATGTTCTAAAATTGTGCTGATGGATGCCTGTATCTGTGAATATGCTTAAAACCAATAAATTGTACACTTTGGGTGAATTTTATGTTATATGAATTATCTCAATAATGCCTGCTTTAAAAAAGTTATGTGCAGGCCAGGCACGGTGGCTCATGCCTGTAATCCCAGCACTTTGGGAGGCTGAGGCAGGTGGATCACTTGAGGTCAGGAGTTCGAGACCAGCCTGGCCAACATAGGGAAACCCTGTCTCTACTAAAAATACAAAAATTAGCCAGGCATGGTGGCACACGCCTATAATCCCAGCTATTCAGGAGGCTGAGGCAGAAGAATTGCTTGAACCCAGGAGGCGGAGGCTGCAGCGAGCCGAGATCGCACCATTGCACTCCAGCCTGGGTGACAGGGTAAGACTCCATCTCAAAAAAAAAAAAAAAAAGGCCGGGCGCGGTGGCTCACATCTGTAATCCCAGCACTTTGGGAGGCCGAGGCAGGTGGATCACAAGTTCAGGAGATCGAGACCATCCTGGCTAACATGGTGAAACCCCATCTCTACTAAAAATACAAAAAATTAGCCGGGCGCAGTGGCAGGCGCCTGTAGTCCCAGCTACTCAGGAGGCTGAGGCAGGAGAATGGCATGAACCCAGGAGGCGGAGCTTGCAGTGAGCCAAGATCGCCCCACTGCACTCCAGCCTGGGCGACAGAGTGAGACTCCATCTCAAAAAAAAAAAAAAAAAGTAACGTGCAGAACAGTGTTTTCAGTATGTTGTCTTTTGTGTAGGAAAATGGAGAAGGGAAATACAAATTTTGTCCTCATTTTAATAAAGAAATGAAACTAATAAGATGGTTCACTAAATGAGGAGGGAAAGAACTGCATAATGGGACTGGAGATCGGCGAGGCTTCTCTGAATGAACCTTGTTTTACAGTTTTGACTTTAGAACCAAAAAAAAGGTTTTAAAAACAATAAAAAGAAAAGGCAACACCTAAAAATTGAAAACATACTGAAATAAGTAAACCTAGTTATCATGTGGATGGCATAACCACACAGGAAAAAAATATCATTGCAAGCGATTTTAATAAGAGTAGTCTGTTCACCCCTAATGGAATATGGTCTAAGGATAAAAAGCATCGCCAAGGAATGTTAGGCTATACTCAGTGATCTTAATGTTAGTAGTAATACCTGAATTGTTATTTTGAAATGATTGCATGTATATGGTAGGATAAAGAAAATAATTGTTAACGCCACCAAGATTTTCAGTGTAAAGAATTAAAAATATAAAATGAAAGAAGTTAAAAATCTTGTTTGTTTTGGCTGGGCGCAGTGGCTCACACCTGTAATCCCAGCACTTTGGGAGGCTGAAACGGGCAGTTGACTTGAGGTCAGGAGTTTGAATCCAGCCTGGACAACATGGTGAAACCCCGTCTCTACTAAAATACAAAAATTAGCCAGGCATGGTGGTGCGCGCCTGTAGTACCAGCTACTCGGGAGGCTGAGGTGGGAGAATCACTTGAACCCAGGAGGCAGAGGTTACAGTGAGCTGAGATCGCGACACTGCACTCCAGCCTGGGCAACAGAGCAAGACTCCATCTCAAAATAAATAAATAAAATCTTGTTTGTCTTTTGATTCTGTTAATTTGAAATGGAAATATTAGTATGAACTCATAATGTGTTTATTTTTTAAAGAAGCCTAATTTTCTAGTTCTGTTCATTGAAAGGCCTGAAGCTGTGACATCCCATAATAGGGAGCGGTGTGAGTGCCAGGCTGTGGGCTCTAGATCTCGTTCTCACCAAGAAGCCAGTGATCTTTGGAGAAATGGGTGATTCCAAGACTGAAGCAGGATGTGGACAAAATAAGCCCAGGACATGTTGTGTAAAAAGCAAGCAAGCTTTCAAAACAGCAGACCATGTCCTGAGGGCGGGGAGCCAACCTGAAGGGCTCCCGCTGTCCAAAGACAGAATAAATTGAGCATCAGGAAAACAACTGACAGCAATGGACGGAAGCCCATGAAATATACCAATATCTCTGTGTTCATCGTGATGCTCAGAAAGAAGAAGCAACCTAGTGGGCAACTTTGGAGCTTGCTGAGGACCAACTCGGTCTGCAGGCACACAAGCAAAGGAGCAGGGTGGAGCCTTCACGCTGCCGTGCCTGTGTGGACCAGTCCAGGGTGACCACGGGGTAGGTGAGGGAAAGCCTGTCTTCACAGACCACTCTCCAGCTGGTGAGGGCAGGAGCGACAGGGACAGACACAGGTCTGTGAGAGGACAGCCCTTGGATCAGGGATCTCGATGTCTTGCTCGAGCCATCAGGTGCAAGGCCCGTGGGGACTTTTTTCTGGGTTGGTCAGGCTGCCAGCACTGGACCAGTGACCAGTCCTCGTGTCACTCGAGTGGGACTTGGACACATCACAGGCCGCCTGGGCTGGCTGGGGGTGCACACGCATCCCTGGGCAGCAGCCCTGCAAAGACCATCTGAACCTAAATCCTATCAAGCACCTCTCTCTAGTGAGAGTTCACAGGAAACACAGGGGTGGGATCAAGTGAGCAGTAAGTCACATCCATTAGAGCACCAGGAGGGACCTCAGGATCCAAGCAGCAGAAACCGTGTTCAGGGGCAAAGCCAGCAAGGGTCGGGGTGGGGAGGGGCCACAGGCCAGTGGGGGCTCAGCACTGAAGGCCCCGCTCCTCCCTCCCTCTCCCTCCTCCTTCTCCTCCTCCTTGTTTTTGTTTGTCTTCCTTCCTTCCAGTAATGAGGTCAGGGCCGAGCACACTGCGGCCTGTCTCCTCACCTCTGCTCTCTCTCAACACCTGAACTGGGACCACGCTCTAGGGCCCAGAGGCGTTTGGGAGGCCACCGCAGCACACCACAGAGGAGTGCACGGCCACCCTGCATCAGGTCATCAAGGAAGGGACAGCAACATGTCCATGAGGCAGGCCTGTCCTGGGGTTCCAGTGACTAACCTCTCGTGACCTCTGTTTCCAGACGTCCCTGGCAACTGTTCAGAAAACCCCTGTCAGAACGGAGGCACTTGTGTGCCGGGCGCAGACGCCCACAGCTGTGACTGCGGGCCAGGGTTCAAAGGCAGACGCTGCGAGCTCGGTAAGTCGGGGCTTGGCCTCAGGGCGCCCCTTCCAACACAGCCTGTGCCTCAGCCTAGGACTGCTGGGCCACAGCTGGGTTTGCCACGGGAGCCTCCAAACGATGAGGTGCCAGACAGGGAGTCTGGTGCACGGGGCTGACCCCTGAGCCCCCAGGGGCTGCGCTGCTGCCCCAAGCACCAGGATGAGAGGTGCTGCCCATCACGGGGGTCAGAACAGCCACAGCATGCGAGGCACAGCTTCGGAGGGCTCCCTGACCCAGCCAGAGCGGTGTCAGGAGAAGGGACTCTCCACCCCCACAATACCAACCCACCCCGGCCTTAGAGGAAGCCAGCTGCAGACCCCCGGGCCCTCTCCCACCATCCCGCCTTGGAGGAAGCCAGCCTAAGGACCCCCGGGCCCTCTCCCTTGGGCAAGGCCTCTCAAGAGGGGCAGGAGGAGCCGTCAGGAGCACCTGGTGAGCCACTGCCCTTCTTTGTCGCAGCCTGTATAAAGGTGTCCCGCCCCTGCACAAGGCTGTTCTCCGAGACAAAGGCCTTTCCAGTCTGGGAGGGAGGCGTCTGTCACCACGTGTAAGTTGGTTTCTGTCCTCCGCCTTACCGCATTTGTCGTGTGTTCTTGACTCCTCAAAGTGCTGTCTCAAAGCTACCCAGCTAACCCTGAGGAGGGACGATGGCTGCAGTCACAGAAGGGACTTGCTTTGACCATCGATTCCCTCCATGTCACAAATTAGGCAGCTGAGGCAGAAAAACCGAATAACTGCCCCAAGTCCATGCAGCTCAGGAGCAGGGGCTGAGAAGAACGCAGGCTCCTGGTCCCCAGGCCCCCAGGCCTTCCTTCCCACACATCAGCCCAGTCCCCACTGGATGGCAGAGCCAACTGATGTGACCTTCCTCTCTTCTCTTCCTCAGAGCCCCCTGGAAAAACAAACAGCTCATGAGAATGCCGGCCCCAGTTCTGCCATTAACTCATGATGTGGCCTTAGGCCCCCCATCTCCAAAATGGGCTGTGGAGGGAGAGATGCCCAGCCCATCTCTTAGGTCCTTTCTTGCTAACACTCTATGACTCTGTCGGTCACACAGTCCATTTAGTCAACAGATGACTTACTGAGCACCTGCTGTGTGCCGGGCACTGTCCATTTAGTCAACAGATGACTTACTGAGTACCTGCTGTGTGCCGGGCACTGTTCTAGATACTCAGCACACATCAGAACAGAGCAGACCAAAGCCCTGCCTTCAGGACCCGTTCATTGCAGATGAGGGGACAGACAACAGACAGCAGTGAGAGTGTGGTGTGTGGTGTGGCAGGTGGTGAGTGCAAAGGGAAAAAGGACGAGATGACAGGACGAGACCAGGAGAGCCTGCTGGGGATGGGCAGGGCTGGTGCAGCAAGAGGGCAGCCTCCTGGGGAGGGCGATGCTGAACAGACATGGAGGAGGGATGGACATTCCAGAGCCAGAGGACAGTTACCAGGGCCCCAAGTCAGGAGTGTCCCTGGCATGTTGGGGGAGAAGTGGAGAGTGGTGAGAGGTGAGGGACAGGGAACCCTCGGGGCCATGGAGACCCACAGAAGGACTCTGGTGTTTGTCCGGCATGAAATGGGGAGGAGCTACTGAAGGGTTCTGAGCAGAAGAGTGACATGTTCGATTACACTACTTTGGATGCTCTGTGGAGAATGGGATGTAGACGGGCAAGGGTAGAAGCTTCATTAGAGCTTGGACATGAAGCCAGGTGTAATATGTAGCAGGAACACATATGAGATACTAATCTGTGTTGGGATTTGGGAAGCCGTGTTGACAGCCCACTGAATTCGGATTCTATGCAGTGAGAGTCCGAATCCACAGTATCTGCCATCTTCCCGCTGTGCTTAGTTACACCAGTGCCTGCTGGTGACCACCAAGTATCCAACAAGAAGACCCTTCACTTCCTGAAAGCATTCTATCCTTTCACTTTTAACCTATCTGCATATTTCAAGTGACTTTCTAGTATTTAACATAGAGGTGGGTCTTGCTGGATATCTAGTCTGACAGTCTGGTTTTTATTGGAGTATTTAGACCATTTACTACCTTCCACATAATGGCTGATGTGGTTGGATTTAAACTGCCATATTACTATTTGTTTTCTATTTTTCCCACCTGCTTTTTGTTCCTTTTTTCTTTTTTCCTGCCTAATTTTGGATTACTTTTTAGGATTCCATTTTGTCTCCACTATGGGCTTACTGGTTATACTTCTTAGGTTTATTGTTTAGAGGTTGCTCTGGGATTTGCCATACACATCTTCACCTTAACACAATGTACCCTTAATTACTATTGTACGAGTTCAATATGATGGCAGCGTCTAGGATTTTTTTTTTTTTTTTTTTGAGACAAAGTCTCCCTCTTGTCCCCCAGGCTGGAGTGCGATGGTGCGATCTTGGCTCATCGCAACCTCTGCCTCCTGGGTTCAAGCAATTCTCCTGCCTCAGCCCCCCGAGTAGCTGGGATTACAGGCGCCTGCCACCACACCCTGCTAATTTTTGTATTTTTAGTAGAGACAAAGTTTACGTAGAGACAGGGTTTCACCATGTTGGCCAGGCTGGTCTCAAACTCATGACCTCAGGTGATCCACCCACCTTGCCCTCCCAAAGTGCTGGGATTACAGGCGTGAGTGACTGTGCCCGGCCAGCAGTGTCTAGGATTTACCATACACATCTTCAACTTCACGCCGCATACCTTTAATCACTAGTAGACAACTTCAGTATCCATGGCAGCGGCTGACATCAAGCTTCCACTTCCCTCCCATCCTTTGAATTATTATCAGACTTTTTCCTTCCACATATGCTGTGAACTGCACTATACGTTATTTTTGCACTCAAAAATTATCTTGTTTTAGATATTGAAAGTAAAGTATTTTGTATTTATTGTACATCTGCCTGCCGACTCCAGCACTCTTCATTCCTTTTTGTAGATCTAGGATTCCATCTGGTATCATTTCTCTTTGCCATAAGAACTTAACTCTAACATCTCCTATAGCACAGGTCTGCAGGAGATGAATTCTCTCTGCTTTTGTCTGAAACTATTTTTTTTTCACCTTCATTTTTGAAGAATATATTTGCTGAATATAGACTTCTTGATTGACAGTTATATTTTTTTCTTTCATGACTTAAAAGTTGTCATGGCTTTGTCTTCTGGCTTGCATAGTTCCAGACAAGAAGACTGCAGTCATTCTTACCTGTGTTACACTGTATGGAATGTGTCTTCCTGCCCCTTTTATGTTTTCCCTTTATGACTGTTTTTGGACAATTTAATTATGATGTGCTTCTCGGTATGGCTACGTTTTGATTCTCTGGAGTTTAAGCTTCTTGTATTTCTGGGTTTTAATTTTGTCAAACTTCGTAAAATTTTTGCCATTATTTCTTCATATATTTTTCCTGTCCCTCCATTTCTTCTACTTCTGGGACTCCAGTTATGCGTGTATTAGACTGATATTGTCCCACAGGTCACTGCAGCTCTTCTCAACTTTTTCAGTCTTTTCATTTTGGACAGATTCTATTGCTATGCACTCAAGGTCATTGATCTTTTCTTCTGCAGCATCTACCATTAATCCTGTTCAACAAAAGTTTTATTAATACTGTGTTTTATCATCTCCAGAAGTTTCATTTAGTTGTTTCTTAGATGCTCCAATTTCTATCTTCATTATCTTTATATTTTCCTTTAGCTCACTGAACATGTGGAACAAATTTATAATAGATATTTTAAGGTCCTCATCTGCTATTTCTGTCATCACTCTCATGTCTGGGTCTTATTCTATTTGATTATTTTTCTCTAGGTTATGGGTCACTTTTTTGATTATTCAAATGATTCTTGAATGTCTTATAGTTTTTTATTGGATGCTGGGCATTGTAAGTTTTATGTTACTGACGCTGGATTTGTTTGTTTGTTTGTTTTCTTTTCAAGAATGTTTTTTCTCTGCAAGGCATTATCTGAGTATAGTTTGATCCTTCTGAGGCTTGTTTTAGGTGGCTTTGGAGTAGCCTTTATTCTGGGGTTAATTTTGCCCTAGTTCTATGGCATGGCCTTTCTGCGGTTTCTTTTTTTTTTTTTTTTTTTTTTTTGAGACAGTGTCTTGCTCTGTCGCCCAGGCTGGAGTGCAGTGGAGCGATCTCAGCTCACTACAACCTCCGCCCTCCTGGGTTCAAGCTATTCTCCTGCCTCAGACTCCCAAGTAGCTGGGATTACAGGCACTCACCACCATGCCCAGCTAATTTTTGTATTTTAGTAGAGACAGGGTTTCACCATGTTGGCCAGGCTGGCCTCAAACTCCTGACCTCAAGTGATCGGCCCGCCTTGGCCTCCCAAAGTGCTGGTATTACAGGAGTGAGCCACCGCACCTGGCCCTGTCTGGGGTTTCTATGGATGGCCTAATAAACAAGATCTCTCTACTCTGGCTCTGGAAATCGTTCAACTCCTCAGTAGTTCTTCTTTGCCTTGTGGGGATTCACCCTATGCATGCACAGCTTTATTTCCAACCACAGGCCCAAGGGGACCCTACACAGATTCTGGAGTTCCTCCTCTGCATAGTTCCCTCCTCTTCAGTACTGCCCCACAAATTCCAGCTGCCTCTGTCTCCCCAACTTCAATCTCTGTTTCCTCAACTCAGTGTGACCACTGCTTGGATCCCCTTTCTCTGTGATGCCATCCAAAAACTTCTCTAGGCTGAATTCCAGGCTGACCACAGGACTCATCTCATCTGTTTCTCCTCTCTCAGGGATTACAGTCTCGTGTTGTCTGTTTTCTAACATCTGACATACAGTTACTTACTATATTTTGTCCAGTTCTCTGGTTGTTCACATTGGGAGGTTAATTCCAGATTCTGTTACTCTTTCATGTCCAGAAATGGAAGTCTTACCACAGGTTTTCGATCCTAAAGGTTCTATGAGACTTAGCATATGAGTTGGAGCTTTGCCTGCTGAACTCCTTGGATTTCCCTTTTAAACAGCTCTGACATTTGAGAACTTTAACAAAAGACAAAACGCCTTCCCATCCATTATTATCTACAAACTTGTAAGAGAGATGGTATGAGTAGGTCCCATTTTTACCTGCAACCGAGGCTTAAAACTTGAAGAGACTTGCTCAAAGTAGCCTGGTTAATAAATGGAAGAGGCAGGAGATGAAATCGGGTCTCCTGTTCTACAATGCCTACATCCGAATCCCGAATCCCCAACACTCCTCAAACTTCTCTGTGAAATACCCAGAAAAACAGAAAAGCGAGGCCATACCTTCCCCAGGCCTCCGGCCAGGTGGCTGCCTCTAGCACTGACATGTCTTTGACATTTCACATTTTATTTTTAGTACCATATCCTTTGTCAGTGCTCATCAGAATGCACATTAAAATGGGTTTATTTTATGCATATTACTGTACCACAATAAATTTATTACAAATCACATGACCTTTATGTTAGACATTTTAATACATCAATAGGAGGTCACGTTTCATTCAGAAAATAGCAGTTTTTCCCTCAAACACCTTCAGGTTTACTGTGGGTTCACATAGCCTAGGTTAAGCAGTTGGCAACATTTTGCTTCACTGTCTGGTTTTACAAAGCTTTCTTGTGACAACAGGTATAAAAGAGTCTACCGAGTTCACCAAGACATCTGCTTCAAAGAGAGCTGTGAAAGCACAAGCCTCAAGAAGACCCCAAACAGGTGCCTCTGGGGAGCAGGCCCATGCCGTGTCCTGCATGTAGCCCACAGGGTGATGGGGCAAGGGCGGGGTGCTATGGGATGCTGCAGGCCTGTGGGCTGAGCCAGGCGGTCTACTCGCCCAGATAGGCAGCCCCTGGGCAGCCACGTTCTGCTACGAAACTGTATGTCCATATATGTGCATGTGAGCATACCCAGAGGGGCACAGCCGGGCATGCTGGGTGCTGGGGGGGGTCACTCTGGTTATGCATATTCACACAGAACATGGTGCTACAATTGGGAAGCACAGGGTGTTACGGACAGCCCCGAGTATTTAATGGCCGATATAGCGCGTCGCTCTTTACTTTTTATTCACTCACACCCAGGTTCTTTCCACAAAGGGTTCAAGGTAGTTACAAGAATTACTACTGTTTGGCGTTTGCTGAAAGAAGTACGTGAGAATATTATATGCTTTAGAAACCACAGAGTCGAAGCCTGTCATCGTCCTCATAGACCAATGAGTAGCCACACGTACTTGTTTGGCATTACCAAGTGTCCGGGCAAGGCCGCAGCCTGCAGCTCACCAGCCGTGCTGCTCGGCCTGTGCACGTCACCGGCTCTTCCCTAGGGTAGCTTTTGCTTGCTTTCTCCCACGTCCATCCTCTCTCTCTCTGACTCACAGCCAGCCAGGTTTCTAGCCTTGTCATTCCTAAACTACTGCCTCAAGCCAGGCGGGCGCACACAAACTAAAATGCTAATCTCCACAGCGGTGTCTGGACTAATGGTGTCCCCCACCGTGGAATGTATGTGAGCTAAAGACAGGATCTCAGCAGGCAGCCTGGACTGAGGTAGCTGTAGAATTCAAGGTACACAGTCTCTTTTTCATTAAACGACTTTTCTCTAATTATTTCAGGAAACAAAGTAAGAGTCAGACACTGGAGAAATCTTAAGGTACGTCCCTGCTGCTCCCGCCCCACTACCACAGAGCTGCTGGGAAGTGGGGGGCGACTGCCCAGCCCCGGGATCTCAGAGTGCCGCTGCCTGCTTACTCAGCACTGCTAAAGGAAGCGCGGTCCTGTGCTGCTGTGTTACAGACTCCCGGGCAGGAAGGTTCAGAAGTCCCCAAGGGGAAACAGACATGAACCTGGTCTAGCCACTGACAAATACACCTTCAGGTGGAAATGAGGCTCTCTGTGGATAGGGCAAATCCCACTCTCTCTCAAGGGAAATGTGGCCAAGAAACCCCTAGATCAGCTGCAGTGGGAGGAAGAGGCAGGGGGGTGGGCCCTTGGAGAGGCTGGAAGACCACCTGGCACCTGGGAGGAGGGGCCACGGGCAGCGGGAGGGCCTGGGCTGCTGAGAAATTCCGGGGGCTCCAGGAGAGGGCTGAGAGAGTGCCTCCCAGATCTTGTGAACGGCATTCTGTTGGAACTAAAAGTGGGGCAGGGGCCTTGATCGCTTAATATTTAGAAAGTGTTGAAGACCGCCGCTAGAAAGTCGTCACTGACACTGGGCTCATAGGCATTCATAAATCCTGACGTGAAAGGAACTTCCTCTCGCCTTTGTTTAAGCCAGCATTTCCCAAACTCTTTTGGCAACCAAACCCCATCCTGCCCCCACCTCCCCACACAAACTGCCGAATCTTAAACAACACTGGCATTCTTCACAATCGTTTGCAAGAGACTGGGATATACCATAGAAAGCCATCTACAACCTGTTACCAGTTTCATACTGACCATCATTTTTTATCAACATGTCACTGCATGAAAGATGAATCTCTGGTTGGCCTAGGACAGCTTTGCTCTTCCTGCCCCTTATAGGAGCCCTCACAGTTCATCTTCCTGGTGGCGCAGATGAGTGAGGCACCCTTGGGTAACAAGCCACTTCAAAACAGGTCTATGTTTTGTTACGTGCCTAAAAAAATAAAGGAGAAATGTCATTCAGGAACCTTTAAAAACAAACAGAAGCAAAACAGCTTTTCAGATATAGGCTCACACACACCAAAGGAAGAGTGTCCACACCCCCTTGGGGGAAAGGTCTGGGCCGGAGCTCCGCACATGGCAGGAACTTGAGCTCTGAGTTGGCCATGACAGAGTGCATGCATCTGCCTCTTCGGATGTGGAAAGTCTCTCCATAAGAGAGTAGCCGGCAGCATTCACTTCCTGTTGACTCGAGGGAATCACTTCCCGCTCCCACCTCACCCTCCAAAGACACACACACTAAGCACACTCCAGGCTTGTAAGCAATTTCCTACAGCCGAGCATCACTTAACAATGGAGATGCATTCTGAGAAATGCTTTGTGAGGCAATTTCATCTGGGCGAACATCATAGCGCATACTTAGAACAAACCTAGATGGCACCGCGTACTGCGCACCTAGGCTGTGTGGCAGAGCCCATGCTCCCGGGCTACACACCACAGCGTGTTACTGAATACTGTAGGCGGTCGTAACACAGTGCCAAGTGTGTGTGTATCTAAACGTAGAAAACCTACAGTAAAAATAGATATAAAAGATAAAAAATGGTATACCTGGGCAGGGCGCTTAGCGTAGCTGGAATGCGCAGGACTGGCAGTTGCACAATAATAAATTAGTCCTGCAATAAGAAATTAACCTTAGCTTACTGTAACTTTTTTACTTTATACATTTTTAATTTTTACTTTTTAACTCTTTTTAATAACAGCTTAAAATACAAACACACTGTACGGATGTTCAAAATTGTTTTCTGTCCTTAGTGCTTTTCTCTGTTTTTAAAATTTTTAATTGTTTTTTACTATTTAACTTTTGTTAAAAACTAAGACACAAACACACACATTGGCTTATGCCTACACAGGGGCAGGATCATCCATGTCACCTTCTTCCACTTCCACATCGTGTCCCAGTAACACACATGGAGCTGCCACCTCCTGTGACAATGATGCCTTCTTCTGGAAACCTCCTGAAGGACCTGCCTGAGGCCATTTTATAGTTAACTTTTTTTCATAAGTAGAAGGAGTACACTCTAAAATAATGATGAAGAGTATAGTAAATACGTAAACCAGTAACATCACAAATTATCATCAAGTATTATGTACTCTACATAATTGTATGTGCTAGACTTCTATACACAGGGCAGTGCAGTAGGTTTGTATACACCAGCATCACCACAAACACAAAAAGAATTATTCTAGCACTTTGGGAGGCCGAGGCCGGCGGATCACTTGAGGCCAGGAGTTCGAGACCAGCCTGGCCAACATGATGAAACCCTGTCTCTACTAAAAATACAAAAATTAGTCAGACATGGTGGTGGGCACCTGTAATCTCAGCTACTGAAGAGGCTGAGTCAGGAAAATCACTTGAACTTGGAAGGCAGAGGTTGCAGTGGGCTGAGATTGCGCCACTATACTACAGCTTAGGCAACTGAGCAAGACCCTCTGTCTCAAAAAAAAAAAAAAAAGAAAAAAGAATTCTGTACGATGGCTATGACCTCAGCTCCACTGTAATCTCATGGGACCACTGTCATGCGCGCGGTCCTTCATCGTGCAGTGCCTAACTGTACTAGGATTAAGAATCCACAAACATAATTTGGGTTTGAGATATTTATACGGTGGTAAGTCACCTGAAATATTAATGTATCTTTTTAAATGCTTGCCTAGCACATCCACTCCCATAAAAACAAATCAGAAACCCCCAACTAATTATCAAATACTGACTTATAGAATACCTATTCTTGAAATAATGGAGACAACACACAAAAAAGCAGGAAACAGAAACACACGCACCCAGACACCCATCCAAGAACAACACGAGAATTCATTTCAACCCAGAGCAACCTGACACAGCTGTGCCCTTGGAGAAAAGACCCAGAGTCGTTACCGGAAGGAGGAGGGCAGGGAAGAGGAACAGGCTGTGATTTCACATTTAAAAGTTGCAATGCTGAGCCCACATGTTCCTAAAGATGGGGATGTAGTCGGTGGAGGCTGCCCCTCCCCGTGTGCACTGCCATATGGTAGAATCCTGGTGCTCTAAGAACGCGGGGTCCTCCCCGTGTGCACTGCCATATGGTAGAATCCTGGTGCTCTAAGAACGTGGGGTCCTCTGGGTGACAGAGGCCCTGAGGGCCACTAAGAGAAGCAGGAAGCAGCCCATTTAAAGAGGAGTGGGAATGCCTGTCATTCTCCTCATGCTTCACTTTGTTTTTTCTTCAAAGGATTTAAGACGTTCTTGTTACACTCCACCAACCTCACGAGTTTCTAACACCCAGGAAGATGAGGTCTAAAAACTGGATGAAAAAGGACACCCTGAGAAAAGGTCCTAGCTGGAGTCAGTCCCCTCTGTGACCTCTCTCCTCAGGCCTCTAGAGGACAGATGGCCAGGCCTGTGCACACACCAGCCCACCCTGAGAGACCCCTCTGGGACCAACCACCTGTGAGTCCTGCGATGCGTTTAAGCAGCCTGTGCCCTCACCCAAGCTGCAGTTCCTGAAGGTGTAGTCTGTGTCTCTGCGGATGAGATGACAGCTCGCCATTCCCCGGAATCAGTGAGGCTGTCAGTCAGCCACGCTTCTGCAGTATGCAGAAACCTGTTCTTAGACTCCAAAGCCAGAGAAAGAATTCTCCCTTCGAGGCCCAACAAATTGAGAAGGAACTGTGATGGACCACTTCCAAAACAGAGACGGGGGCAGGGGCTGAAGGGCAGAGACCAGGTGATGTCAGAAGGAAAGCCGGGTTGCAGACACAGCCGCCCCTGCTCTGGTCCTCCAGCGTGTTTATGACGCTCGTGCAGGTCGACGAGCCATCCTATGGACTAGTTAACACTAAGGTGGAGTTCAGACTTTTTTAGACAACGGCGCGACTGGCAGCCTTTCTCTATCAAGGGTCAGACGGTAAACGTTTTCAGCTTTGCAGACCAGAGGTCCCTGTGGCTACAGTAGCGCAGACACAGCCACAGGCATGTCATTGAATGGCTGCGGCTATGTTCCAATAAAAACTTATTTACAATAACAGGTGGTGGCCAAATTGGCCCATGGGCCTTATTTGGTGAACCCTGTTCTATGAGATCACCTAGGCTTCAGCCTTAAACAGTGGAAGCCATCCCCTGAATGACAAGTCACAAGGGTATCAAAGAAAGACCCCTGAATTTTCATGGAAAAAGCTATTCAGACCCCTGCTTGGAAAGCTAAGGCACACTGCCACGAAGCAGCAAGGACGCCTTACAAGTCTCAGTGCAACAGAGATGGACACCTGGGCTGGGCTGGACAATGTTTAAGGTTCCTTTTAGTCCATGACTCAAGTGATACTGTTTTAGGCTATCAGGTAGTAAACACGATCTTAGACATCCCCATCTTTGTAAGCAGAACAGTACGGCACTTCACCACATCTGCTTCCCACCATGCTTCTAAGCAGCTGTCTTCCCCCTGCTAATGTTACAACCAAAGCAGCCACCCCACCTCCTCTCGTGTTGAGCCTCACGACCGCTGACCCAGCTGGAAAGCCAGCGCCCTGCCGCGTCACCCTGACTCTGCTCAGAGCCAGCATTCCAGCCACAAAGAGGGCCTCCTTCCTTTCCTCTTTCATAAAAATGTTTTTTGAAGAGTTAGAGTATATTTTAGGCTTTTTATCTTTATTAAAATTTCATGTGCATGTGTCTGTGTATTCTGCAATTTGTCATTTTCAGAAAGAAGGAACAGGCAATTCGCGAAGTTTCACCTGTACTCCCGAGCTGTTCCCCAGGCTCCAGACCCACTTGAGAGCAGAAGGTGGAGCTCAATGAAGGGTCTCGAGCTCAGCGAAGGGTCACTGGGTGAACTGAGAGAAACCACGTTCACAAACGCGTACTGCGGACTTCCTGCCGCCCTGGGACCTGTCACTGTTTGTCCATGTAAGCTACAGCATTACTAGCAGATGCTAAGATCGAGTGATATCACTGGAAAAGTAGGTGAATCCTACTAGGAAACTTTCTACTCCCTACTAGGACCTCAAGCCCCTCAGCCACACAGCAAATGCTAATATGCTCCAGTGTTAGCTTAGAAGCCTTGTGTCAACAAGAACTGGCTCCTGAGTCCCAAGCTTGGTGCCACACAGCAAATGCTAATATGCTCCAGTGTTAGCTTAGAAGCCTTGTGTCAACAAGAACTGGCTCCTGAGTCCCAAGCTTGGTGCCACACAGCAAATGCTAATATGCTCCAGTGTTAGCTTAGAAGCCTTGTGTCAACAAGAACTGGCTCCTGAGTCCCAAGTGCTGTCACAGGACTTGCCCATTGGGATGTTTTCCACATTAAATATCAAGTAAAAAGACTTCCTGGTGCTCAGGAATTACAGTTCGTTCTTGAAACATTCCAAAGAGGCCACCACAGCTTTTCCCATGTGGCTTCTTTTAAAAACTCAAATGGCTTCCTTGAAAATACTCAAAGTCCACCCAAGGAAATTAGTAATAATAGAATCAGAAAACTGTCAGGAGCATAAAGATTTCTGTATCAAAATGAAAGAAGCAATCCTGAGTTGCTGAATTACCCATCTGCTAATGAAACCGGGATGGACTGATCATCTAACCAAGTGCAGACTGAGGATTCTACTTAGTCCTCCGACTGGGTACAACAACAGCCTAGGTTCTAGGGAGGGTGGCAGTGACCGGGATGCCACAATGGAAGAGAAAATGAAAACACTGGCACAGTGAAATGTCTCATTTCCAAACAGTTTTGCCTATGGCCAAGCAAGGCAATAAAGACAAACTCTCCCTTTTCCCCATTGCGTGTGGGCTGCCAGGTACAAGTAAGGGAATCTTTGCTGTGCCCACTGTCCTCCAGTAGAGAACCCAACAGGCAAGGGCCCCACTCAGGTATCAGCTCACCTCCTGCACCTCCCCTTAGCAGGAACTCCTTCCACTGGCAAAGGACTGCCACTGCCATCTGACTCAACTGTGGCGATGTGGACGGAGTCACCGAGCTGCTTTTCTTTTGCAAAACAAAAGTCTTTTTCTTTGCAGTCACGCTGTAAGACGAGGCTGCTGGAGAAAACAAAAGCACCTAGATTTCAGTGCTGAATCCCCACAATTGCATGCAGCTCACACCTACCAGGGGTATTCCAGTGCATAGGGGAAAGGAACCCGGCTGAAAAACCAGCTCCTTATTTTTCTTTTAAATAAAATAATACGATCCTAAGTCCATTTACCATCTGAAGTTGTCACGAGTGAACAGTCACATTACTGTTGTGGACCAGGCCTTAGATGAGTTTCTCAGGCTCAGCACTGACATTCTGGGCCGGATCATCCTCTCTTGTGGGACCATCCTGTGCACTGCAGGATGTTTCACAGCACCCCTGGCCTCTACCCACTAGAATCCTACAATCTACCAGATCCTAGGATCTAGTTGATCCTAGAATGCTACCAAGGAGACTTGAATTTTGGTCCCATCATCAAAAATGCCTTCTGCATCAATCCTATGCCAGTTTCCCCTAAAAGAGGGCTAACTGGAATGTTCTAGGATGTACCAATCCTCCAGGACCCTCTTAGAGCTCATGCCATCAGAGACAGGCCTCTATCTCAGGGATCACCCCGGCTGACATCAAATTCCTCTTCTCTTTTCCCAACATTTCAAATTGTTCTTCGGACTCATTGAGTTCCCTAAGGTGACACGCCCCCCCCCCCCCCCACACCCACCTTGGGGGGTCACGGATTGCTCCCTGTGGCCCTGGCTTCAGCCCACCTGCTCCATGACCCTATGCTCTTCTCCTCTGGTTCTCGAAGCTGTCTGTAACCAGGGCAGGGGAGATAACTGTATGGGACCATTCCCTGGCCTCCACCTGCCCCAGCACTCTCCAGGCCAGCACAGTCTGGCACTACAGACTACAGGGCCGGAGACACCAGGCTTGGAAGTGACCACTGGCCAAGAGCTGACATAAAAGCCAACTTCCCCAAACAGGAAGGGCCTGTTCTTCACAAAGATAAAGAAAACTGCCAGCATTTTGCTGGCCTTAAGAAGCCATGCAAAATTAACCAGTACATCATGAATTAACTTCTTTTACTCTGCTGTGCACTGAATACCATTATGAAGCAATATACTTTTGGATTAAAAATAAGCATTTTTGTGGAAAATCTGCTACATGTTTTCATAAAATAAAGTGCTATGATGTACTAAAACCTCACATTGCCTTCTCGTAATTTTATTTTTATCACAAGAAGGAAATACATAGTGATTCCTGAACCGGAAGAATGAACCCCATCTTCCAACTGTCACGGAATTATCACCAACATATTCAAAAGAGAAAAAAATAAAACCAATTGTTGATATATTGAGTCCCCTTGATGTGAATAGCTCAACATAAGTATCTTATTCAGGATGGGACAGGGCCCTCCCCACAGACACGTGACAACAGATCAAACATGCATTTCCTGTTTCCTGTTTGGTTTGATCTGTCTGCCTCTCAGGTGACTTATAATTTTTTTCATCAAGAGACCAGTTTTAGAATAAAAAATAACTTGAGAAGATTCAAGTAAAGGACCCAAAAGCTTTAAGAGAATGAAAAGCTTCCTTGATATCTCTGGGCCCTTTCGCTCTAGTCCTTCCATCACAGCTATTCCTCCTCGTCGTCGTCCTCATCCTCATCATTGTCCTCCGCCTCGTCGTCGTCCTCATCATCGTCATCCTCATCATTGTCATCCTCATCATTGTCCTCCTCATCATCGTCATCCTCATCCTCATCCAGACTTGCCCTTTTGTCATCAGATGTGCTGCTCTCAGACTCCTCCTCCTCCCGAGCCAGGAGCTTCTTAAAAACTTGAAACTCCTCAACAGAAGTACAGGCTGTCCTGGCCAAAAACTCAGCTTCTGAAACTCTGAGAATGTCCTTGAGCAATGGGTTAGGGATCTGTGTCTGCCCCTTCTTATCAGGGGTTTGGTACCGTCCCAGGCGCTCCAGGTAAATGTGTCTCTGCTTAATCTTGGTTAGTGAATACTGCAAGTACTCACTCTTTACAATGTCTGGATGCTTAATTCCCATCCTGAAGTATGCATACTGGAAGACACAAACACACTTAGGAGTCCCAGATACAGAGTATTGAAACCTATCATTCTATAAACCATAAAAACTTAAGTTGTACAAAAGGATTCAAAAAGAATTGCCTAATTGACAACAGCGAATACCCAGTCTAGGATACTGACATTTGTGTGACAGCCAGCAGTTTCAAAACACTTTCAAATTCATCCTGAGAAACATGGAGCAGGAAATAAAGGGGTGGGAGGGAAAAGGGGCAGGAGGGAGAAGGGGCAGAAGGAAGAGGTGGTATTTTTCTTTAAATGGGGAAGGAAAAGGATGAATATGGAAAGAATAGGCAAAACATTCAGAAAACATCTAGAAATTCGACCTAAGTTGTCATAATTATTACCAAAAAATCGGACAACTGTTAAAATTACATTTTCAAAATCAACATGCAAAATAGATTCTAAGGACAGGAAGGTTTCAGCTATTTTAAAATTAGCTATTTCAGAGTCCCCACTTAGACTCTAAGAATAGGACTGGATCATTCATTATTAATGGCAGAAAAGTTGAAGAATAGGTTTGATCTGTAGTAAAGAAATTAAAGATTTCTCTTTGGCTGATGTATGCAGAGAATCTAGTCTTTCACTTCCTCCACTCAAATATGAGGTGTCCGAGGCTTCTTATCCATATAACTGACCTTCACTACATTTGAAAAACCTGAGAAACTTGCTGTTACTACACTAATCACGGTACCAGTCATTCTCACCTGAAACTACGCTAATCCCATTACCAGTCATTCTCACCTGAAACTACGCTAATCACGCTATCAGTCATTCTCACCTGAAACTTGTATTCCAGTTGACCCAGGTCCTCTCGAAGAACAGAGGGGCAACTGTGCAAAATCTTGGTGACTTGCTGTACCGTGAAAAGGCACTTCTCCTTGAGAAGCCTGACAGTGTCGTTAATGTCCTGCTGGCGCATGGTGAAAATTTCAGGGCAACAGTAAAGCACCCTCTTTAATTTCCCTGCAGAACATTCAAAAAAGGCAAGCATATAATTTCAGGATACTCCAGAAACTCAAGGAGCTAGCTGCACCCAATTTAAGTCCACATTTAAAAACAAACAAGGATCCTCTCCTTCCACAGAGCAAGTGGCAATTTCAGATCTATCTTCCCAGAAGCACCATGGAAATGATACATCTCCCCACTGACTTCCTGACACTCCTCAGACTCACCATCCTTCCCTCCCTATATTCCTGCTTTATTCTGGCCTCCCACCTGAAAGGTGCCAACTTTGTATTTTGGGTCTCCTCTTGCCCTCCTCACTTGGAAAAGAATTTCCCAGGCATTTACTGGAAAGATCAGAGAGTAATATGGGAGAGTAGTTTCCTCCATATTGCTGGTTTGGGTTGATGTTTCCTTCTATAATAAAATAGTCATTGAAGCATTCACAACTAACATTCTCAAGCTGAACTCAATGAAAAGGAGTTCCATCACCATCGTCATCATAACAGTAATAACAATAATAGTAATCATGAGGACACACAACACCAATGCTGACGTCCTGGTTACCAGGGTCACCATATATCTTCTCCAAGCCAGGGCACCTTGAGTGAAAGAGGCCCTATTAAAACCGCACTAACTGGTGTAAACTGGGACTATTCCAGGCCTTCCTAGGGATAGCTGAGCAAAATTCAGTAATGGGAAACTTAAAGTCAACTATTTAAACTGTTAATTAAAATTTTCCTAACATTTGAGTTAGTGATTATCTTAATATGTGAGGAATTTCAGTTTAGGTTTATCTTCATTTCTTAAGGCTGTGCTGAGTTTGCTAATTAATCACCACCACACATAATATATTTAGACTTTTAGATTACACTGTAAGAATCTGTTAAGAAAAATATACAAGGCTACCTTTTTCTTATCTTCTAGAGAAGGAGGCCTGTAGAGATGCTGTGAAATGGTGGATCCTAAACCTTCTACCACTGCCTCAAAAAACATCTTACCAGGAAGAGTCAATAATGCAAAGAAATAATAGTGGAACTCCTCTGGTCAAAGTGGGTAAGGGTCCTTGGAGACCCCCAACTCCTCCAGAAGGCCCTTAAAGAGATTCAAGGAACTTTGAGCATCCTTGAGATGTGAATATTGTTGGGGGCAGGAGTGGGGGATAAATAGAAGGGAAGGCCACTCCACGAGTATCCCAGGAACCTGGCCAGATCTCTCATGTTCCAGAGTAAATCTAAACACTCGACTAGAATCTAAGTCTTTACAAGAGATGTTGGTTTGACATCACATCACAGAGACAGAGCACTAAGACCATTTCATGTTGATTTAAACATCAAATGCTATATGTACACATATTTATCAACATCACATTATCAGCATCAACCCACTGAACACATACCATATGCCCACCACTGCACTAGGTGCTGAAGATCCCACGGTGAACAAGGCAGACAAGAGTCTCTGCCCTGGCACTCAATTTTTTCTTCTAGTCTTAACTCCTCCTCCTTCCCTCTCAAAATGTATTCTGCACAGAAAGCCACTCCTATTCCTCACCTCCAAGCCAAATTATACAGTCCTCTCCAGGAACACTGACATACTCAGAAACCTCCCCTAATCCATCTCACCTTAGGCTGCTCTTTCCCCACCTCTGGCTCCTGTCACACTATATAAAATCTTTTTTTTTTTTTTTGAGACAGCCTTGCTGTCACCCAGGCTGGAGTGCAGTGGCGCCATCTCAGCTCACTGCAACCTCCGCCTCCTGGGTTCAAGCGATTTTCATGCCTCAGCCTCCCAAGTAGCTGGAATTACAGGTGCGTGCCACCAAGCCCAGCTAATTTTTCTATTTTTAGTTGAGTCAGGGTTTCACCATGTTGGCCAGGCTGATCTTGAACCCCTGACCTCAAGTGATCTGCCTGCCTCGGCCTCCCAAAGATCTGGGATTACAGGCATGAGCCACCGCACCCAGCCAAAATCTGCAACTTCTTGTACCTTCTCCAAGCCCAAGCTTTTGCAGGTAACTGGAGCGCTTCCTCATTTGCATAATAGGCAGTTTCAATAACTGGGGACTTTTCTTCAAGACCACACACACAGGCTCTGGATTCAGACCCAAGAGAATAAATTCTGAAATGATGTCCAGCAACTGTTGAAGACTGGCACCTCGCCGTACACTGAGCAATTCATTAATATGGGCATTGCTGAAACCCATGTCCAGGAGGGAACTCATGACCCTCTCTAGCTCCAAGGACCCTTGTACCACAGGAGTCCCCTGCTTCTCAAGGAGGCACTGAACAAGATTCCTCCTGCACTCTGGTTCCTGCACATAGTTATTGGATCTAACACAAGATAACTCCTCAATGACCCCTCCATTGGAGGCTGTAGTCAGTTTGCGCAACAAAGAAGCTGTCGTCCTTCTCTGTTCTCCAAGATGAGGAGTCTGCCTAGCCATACAGGCCCAGGTGAGGGGGATCAGGCGGTGCCAATCAAGGACCTGTAAGACACAGGACCAAAAGACAATTAATTCCTCACTATTCCAGTGTAATGGACACCATAAGACTTCTGAGCCAGAGTACTTACTGCCTTGGTTCCACACAAACATACAATTTTTATAAGCAATCTGCAAAATCCTATCTGAACTTAAGCCTACAGAGAAGGAAGCTCACAAAGAACAGGGTATTTCAAGGCCACAGAGATGGGAGTCAAGCAGGTACAATATTGTTAGCTTTTGCAGCTTTAAGGATGGGAGCAGGGACATGGAGGAAGAGGGAAAAACTATTTCTAGGCCACCTGGTCATGTGTGCCAGAAAAGTCTGGACCTCAGACTACTTTCCAGATTCATGTTCTTAAATTCATTCCACGAGAAGAATCTTGTGGGATACAGAGTTGGCCCTTGAACAACAAGGGTTTGAACTGCTTGGATCCACTTATATGTGGATTTTCTTCCGCCTCTGCCACCCTTGAGACACCAAGACCAAACTCTCCTTCACCTCCTCTTCAGCCTAAAGACCTTATGAGGATCTACTTCCTCTTAATGAATAGTAAATACATTTTCTCTTAGGATTTTCTTTTTGTTTTTTGAGACGGGGGTCTCACTCTGTTGCCCAGGCTGGAGTGCAGTGGTGCAATCATGGCTCACTGCAGCCTTGACTTCCCCAGGCTGAGGTAATCCTCCCACCTCAGCCTTCTGAGTAGCTGGGACTACAGGTGCACACTACACCCTGCTAATTTTTGTATTTTTTGTAGAGACGGGGTTTTGCCCTTATGATTTTCTGAATAACGTTTTCTTTTCTCTAGCTTACTTTAAGAATACAGAATGCAATATATATATATACAAGATATGTGTTAACTGTTTATGTTGTCGGTAAGGCTTCCAGTCATGAGTAGGCTATTAGTAGTTGAGTTTTGGAGGAGTCAAACGTTATACACTGATTTTCAACTGGTGTGGGGGCGGTCTGGTGCCCCTAACCCCTGTGTTGTTCAAGGGTCACAGTAATTAGTCAACTTGCATACACAATTCCAGTTGACCTCAAAAGTCTTCAGTGGTTCAGGCTGGTGCTTAACAAACTATGCACAAATCATCCAGGCACTCTAAGCCAGCAGTCTTCAACGTTTTTGGCACCAGGGACTGGCTTCATGGAAGACAATTTTTCCACAGACTGGTGAGGGGTTTCAGGATGATTCAAGCATATTACATTTGTTGTGCACTTTATTTCTGTTATTTTCACGTTGTAATATAAGATGAAATAATTATACAACTCACCATAATGTAGAATCACTGGGAGCCCTGAGCTTGTTTTCCTACAACCAGGAGGTGCCATCTGGGGTTGATGGGAAACAGTGACAGATCATCGGGCATCAGATTCTCATAAGGAGCGCAACCTGGACCCCTCAAAGGCGCAGTTCACAATAGGGTTCGCGCTCCAGTGAGAATCTAAGGCGGCTGGTCTGACAGGAGGCGGAGCTCAGGCGGTAATGCCAGCGAAGGGAGCGGCTGTAAATACAGTCTGGCTGGCTCACTTGCCGCTCACCTCCTGCTGTGCAGCCTGGTTCCTAATAGGCAAGGGACGGTACCGGGGGTTGGGGAACCCCTGCTCTAAAACCTTCACATCGGTCCCAACCCCTTCTCCAGCGTCATCGATTGTCGCCCTGGGGCCACCCTGCCAAGCCCAAGCTCTGGCTGCTCTCCAGCCTCCCCTGTCCAGATGCTCCCTCCGCCAGGAACACCTGGCAGTCGCTGGGGTCAGCGGGCGCGGCCCGTGGAACTGGGCTCAAGCCTAAAGACCTCTATGCTGATTCCGCTTCCTCTTAATGAAAAGTACATGTTATCTTCCTTGTGAAGTTCAAACTCTTGTTCAACAGTCAACTCAGGCCGGGCGCGGTGGCTCACGCCTGTAATCCCAGCACTTTGGGAGTTCGAGGCGGGTGGATCACCTGAGGCCAGAAGTTACAGACCAGACTGGCCAACACGGTGAAACCCCGTCTCTACTAAAAATACAAAAATTAGCCAGGCATGGTGGCGGGCGCCTGTAATCCCAGCTACTTGGGAGGCTGAAGCAGTAGAATTGCTTGAACCCGGGAGGCGGAGGTTGCAGTGAGCCGAGATCGCGCCATTGCACTCCAGCCTGGAGACAGAGCGAGACTTTGTCTCAAAAAAAAAAAATGTCAACTCTATATCCCACAATAATTGAGCAGAGCCACGGGTCCAGGATGCCAAAACCAGGTCAGCGTGCACGGACCTCCGGGAGGGCTCCACGACCTGGCCGTGAAACACTCGGCGGCCGCGGTTCCTCTGCGTCGCTGCCCGCCCGCCTGCGACCCGGAGAAGCCCGCGCGCCCAGCTCGAGCTTACCTGACGGCCGAACGCAGCCATAGCGCGGAGAAGATGGCAGCAGTTACGGCGCCGGAAGCAGCGGTCCTCCCCCGTCCTTCACTTCCGGCCCCCGGTCCGTCACCGACGCCGTTCCCAGCGCCAGCGCGGTGTGGTGGATCGTGATTCCGGCCCGGAGCTGTGCTGAGCGTTCACGGCCCCGCGGGGCTCAGGTGTCCCGGGGCCGCCCCTTAGAAAGCCGGAAGGCCGGAGTCGCGCCCGTCACCGTGCCGCCGCCTCTGCCGCGGCCTCAGCCTTCGGGGGCCTCGGTGTCCGGTTGTTCCCGTTGCACTGCCGTGTCCCGTTTCGCAGAGCTCTGGGCCGCGTGAACGAATGGGTCGTCCTGGCCCATACTTGTGTTTCAGATGACCTGAGAATTCCTCTCAAGAGTACAGGTAGAGGGGAACTGGTTCCTTGCTTCGGGAACTTCACCCGAGAGCGCAGAAATCCTTCCCGAGGCAGGAAAAATGGATTCCGTTCCATGTAGAGATATTTAAGATTTTATTGTGTAAAAATCTGTATTCAGCGTGAACACCGGGGCCACCTACGCACAAAAAGAAGTCTTTACCGCTTTTCTTTCTTTTTACTCTCAGCCAGTGGAAGATGAGAATTTGCCGTTTTTAAAAGACCCAAGTAAAATGACAGGAATTACGGCACATTTCCCTTTATAAGCAAGAGCCTTCCCAACTTCGAGGTCTGGTTCCCTCTTAGGATGAAATATAGTAAAGTTTTAGCCCAATGTGTATTCATTCTTAAATTTCCTCTCTCGACCTAAGAGCGTAGGCATCTTTCACAAGGTGATGCTTGTGAAGAATAAAAAGGTGTGCTTTCTCAGCTGCCTAAATCCTGCCACCAAAGCCTTAATTTATAAGCATTTCTTGTTTTATCTACTTCATTCTGGACTGACATAAAGGATTTGATTCTTGCATGGGCACACATTTACATATCTGCTTTGCGCCAGGCATGGAGTGGGGTGCCAAACAATTTATGTAAAACTGTCTTTTGACAAAAGGATTATGTCAAAGAAAAGGAAGGTTCTAATCCGTGTAGAAACTAAAGAATTGGTTGCTTTGGCAGAGTGCAGTGGCCCACGCCTGTAATCCCAGCACTGTGAGAGGCTGAGGTGGGGGGGATTGCCTGGGCTCAGGAGTTCAAGACCAACCTGAGCAACATAGGAAAATCCTGTCTCTACAAAAAATAAAAAATTAGCCGGGAGTAGTGGCGTGCACCTGTAGTCCCAGCTACTCAGGAGCCTGAAGTGGGAGGATCACTTGAGTCCAGGAGGTTGAGGCTGCAGTGAGCCATGATTGCACCACTGCACTCCAGCCTGCGTAACAGAGCAAGACCTTGTCTCAAAAAACAAAAGGAAAAAAAAAATTGGTTGCCTTTGTTGTTTTTTATAATGTAATTTTCTTCTCAAAATACTCAACTGTCAACATCTCACAATAAATTGTGTTAATGCTACACCAAAAGCCTAAGAAAATCCCATGAGCCACCCCAACTCCCTGGAAAGAATCAAGGAACCTGAACAGTTTGTCTAGCTCTAGAAATAAAATGACAGCTGGGACATGGGGATTACTATGAAAAATTGACATGAGCCCGGGTGTGGTGGCTCACGCCTGTAATCCCAGCACTTTGGGAGGCCGAGGTGGGCAGATCACCTGAGGTCAGGGGTTTGAGACCAGCCTGGAAAACATGGTGAAACCCCATCTCTACTAAAAATACAAAAATTAGCCAGGCATGGTGGTGGGCACCTGTAGTGTCAGCTACTCAGGAGGCTGAGGCAGGAGAATCACTTGAACCTGGGAGGCGGAGGTTGCAGTGAGCCAAGATCACGCCATTGTACTGCAGCCTGGGCAACAAAAGCGAAAGTACTTCTCAAAAAAAAAAAAAAAAAATTTGACATCACCTTCAGTCTTGTGTGAAAACTTTGCTCTCTCGAACCATACTTTAAAAATATGCAGTGGGTTGGGCACGGTGGCTCATGCTTGTAATCCCAGCACTTTGAGAGGCTGAGATGGGTGGATCACCTGAGGTCAGGAGTTCGAGACCAGCCTGGCCAATATAGTGAAACCCTGCCTCTACTAAAAATACAAAAATTAGCCAGGTAACGTGATAACGCACACTTGTAATCCCAGCTACTCGGGAGGCTGAGGCAGGAGAATTGCTTGAACCCAGGGAACGGAGGTTGCAGTGAGCCGAGATTGCACCATTGCACTCCAGCCTGGGTGACAGAGCAAGATTCCATCTTAAAAAAAAAAAAAAAAATGGAGTGGAAAAATTGTCAGCCTCAGCCTCAGAACTTTCCTCTCTGGGTTCTTTCTGCAAAGAACGTTTGCAAAATACCAGACCTTCCACTGCCATGAAGTCAGATGAGCTTTAATTATTTTTTCTTATAAAGAAGTAACAGTTCTTAGAAAGCTCAGACTATGCATTCTCAACCCATTAAACACCTGTCTGCAAACACCATTGTGGCCGAACGCAGTGGCTCATGCCTGTAATCCCAACATTTTGGGAGGCCGAGGCGGGCGGATCATGAGGTCAGGAGTTTGAGACCAGCCTGGCCAACATAGTGAAACCTCGTCTCTACTAAAAATACAAAAATTTAGCCAGGCGTGGTGGTGGGCACCTGTAATCCCAGCTACTTGGGAGGCTGAGGCAGAATTGCTTGAACCTGGGAGGCGGAGGTTGCAGTGAGCTGAGATCGCACCATTGCACTCCAGCCCAGGCGACAGTATAAGACTCTGTCTCTAAATAAATAAACAAACAAACAAACACCATTCTATAACATCCTCTGTGTTATAAGCACCATAAACACTACAAGGTAGGGGTTCTTAAAACATCAGAAAACTCTTTGAATTCTGAAGAGTGAACATCACTGACTTTAATACACACCTGTAAAACCCTTGTACCTTGAATGTCCCTGATAGAGGAGGGTCCTCCCCCACCAACTCCATCAGTCACTTGTGGTGGCAGCGAGGCTCAGGCAGCACTTTCTGAAGAAAGGGATGGCAATAGCCCATATCCTACTAGATGGGACTAAAATTAACTCTGATCATCCCAAAACAGTTGAGTGCCTCCTAAATAACCACTAGAAATAGCTCAGAACCACGCAGGAGGCAGCCTGGCTCCCAGGCAGCTTCCAGAGGGTTCTGGGCAGGAGTCTCAGAATGTGGAAAAACCGTCTGCAAGTGATGACATGTGGGAAAAGGGTAGGGGTTTAGGTTTTTGGTTTTTTTCCTACTGTCTCAGCAGGGGAAAAAAATGAAAGGTTCTGCTCTCACCTCTAGCTATTCCCTCCTCTCTAACACAGACATGAAATAAAACAATCCTAAGTACTTGACCTAGCCAAGTCTGTCTGAGGGGGATGGACTGGAGTCTAAGGGAGGGAAGCAGCCAGTTGAGTATCTGACAAACACCCTGGAACCTGAGCAGCTCGGAGGAATACAGGGCTGGAGCCCCTCACACAGACCAGAGGTGGGGGCTGGGCCAGGAAGCCCCTCATGTGGACAGAGGTGGGAGCTGGCTGGCCATGGGATATTTGGGGACTGCTGGCAGTGAGCCAGCCACGTGTTTGACAGCAGAGTCTTGCTACAGACAGAAGGGAGGTCCCTGAGGAAGCCACCCTCCCCCGTCTTACCAGATGGAGCAAGCTTCAGAGCCCTAGGCCCACCCCTGGCAGGGCCTGCTTGTAAAAGGAACCCCAGAATGGCCAAGGCTAGACTTCTCTCCAACTGTGGCAAGTGGGGTGCACACATGGAAAAATGAGGAAACCAGGTATTTCTCACACTTAGCACACGGGAACAGTTCACAACATCCAAGTCAGGATAACTGTTTACTAACAAAGGTGCTTTAATTTGAAAAGCATTTGAGGAAATAAATTAATGAAATAGTCTGGCCATTTGACTAACCAGTTCTACAAATTTCACATATCCGTCACTCAGATGAGCATATACCAAGTCAGAGGAAACAAAACATGCACATATACAAAAGTAGAAAGAGAAAACACTCATGCCTTCAGAAGTTCACAAATTAAAAGCCCTTTAATAATATAAAACAGTTGAACACTGGAATGTTTTTTTCTAGGTCATGAAAAAAGTGAATTCCAAATCTATGTAATAAATCTAAAATAATACAGCATCACTGTCTTCTGTTCTGGTGTTTATCAAACCTGCACATGAGTTTTTAGAAGGTGAATTGGGGATGCTTCAGAATGTATTTTCTCCAAACAGATGGAGCCTGAAAACTGTGTGATTTTCCAAACCAAGTGGAGAAAAGCAGGAAGAAATTGGTGTTTAGCTGGTCAGCAGACGGGGATCCCCGGGATGCAAACAGCCTTGGCCATTAGGAGCCTCGCCTGGAACGGGGCCCCCACAAAGCTCCTGAGCCTGGGCCACATCACTCAGGCTCCTGTTCCCCATCTCCAGGCTCGCAGCGGACAGAACTCCACTTTCTGAAGAAACAAGAAGGTAACTGTATCACGTGCTAACAACTTAAGGTTCTAAAATACTTTGCTTCTCACTTGAAGAAGTCCTAGAACAAAAGCCTAAGGTGAGGCCCTCAGAAATCCAACTGGCAATGTCCCGGAAGTACAGATCCTGCCAAGGTGGGGATCTAAGCCCAGGGCCATCAACCGCAGCTTGGTCCAAATGCTCTGAGCAGTGGTTTTGGCTCTGTGGCCAGAGCCTTGTCTGAAGAGCCCTCGGCCCCGCCGGCTGCTAGAGAATCACTCTCAGCATCTGTGGCCTCATCCTCCCCTTCGGCCCAGTCAGACCATCACCAGCTGCATTCCTCAAACCATCTTTGAGGGTTCCGACCCCTTCTGCCAGGAGCTCCCATGACACCTGCCCACCCTCCAAGGTCCAAAGCCACACCCTGAACCCCAGTGGTGTCCAGAGGCCTCGGGACAGAATCAAACCCCCTCTCACAGGTGACAGGTCAGCTATAGGCCCTGACATTTGTGTCCAAGACAGCATGGGGGAGAGAGCCTCCTTTTCCTCCTTTTGACCTAGGAAGGCAGCCTGGGGACCTCGTTATTCCAAGTGAAGTCATGTGGGGTGGAGGGATGCTGAGAAGCCTCACCTGGCTTGTTTACTCGAAACACCTCTTCCCATGTATAGTCAGCAAGATTCACAGGCTGTGTTACCCACGGGTCTGTCACCAGCTTCTCCAAGGTGGTGCGTCTCTCAGGGACTGGCTGCAGCAGCCCAGACACAAGGCTCATGAGTTCTGGGGACACAAAGAACACAGATGGTAGGTCCAGATTGGGATGAAGTGGAGCACATCTCAGATTCCTGGGTGCTCACCACCCCCCCGCAGAGCCTCTGACTGGGCAGGTGGCGGCCCAGGAACCTCTAGTGCAGGGCCCAGCTGTGCTTGGACAGAAGCTGCAGGAAACATTCATTGCCTCTGAAATGAAAGCTTGGAGTTCAAGATGCCATCCCACTCAACCAAAATCCAGGTGGTGCAGAGGTTCCTAACTGCTCTATTCTCAGGGGCTCTGGCAATGCAGAGCTGTGAATAACGCAGGGTTAACATGACAGGTGAGGGGATGCCAGCACAAGCTGAGAGAAGCCCCCAGCCTTGCATCTGGATTCGGGCCCCAGTTCCTTTAACCATGTAGGCACCAAGTCAACAGGGCCACTTGGAGCCTCCCTGTCCTGACTGCAAGTGTGTTTCTCACAAGAGGGCCTCTAAGATCCAAAGAGGAACATTAACAAAAACTAAATTATCAAGATGTTTTAAAGTCATATGCAAATTATTTGATGAATAGAAAAGAAACAAATGAGACTGTTGATATGGACAGAGATACACTGAGGAATGAGGAAATGGGAAAAAAAAGTGGCTGGTCTCTAAGGACAGTGTCGACTGTCTACCACTTGCAGCTCACGCTCACCTTTGGACACCAGGTATGGCGGGTGTATGGCAGCCTCCACGGTCTCCTCCAGCTCACAGAAGGGGTTCTCCTCAAAGACCAGCGTGTACAGAGTGACTCCCAGAGACCACATCTCCAGCTCCGGCCCTCTGTAGCTGTGAGGAGGAGGAGGCATCAGGACGCCACGGCACTCAGCGCAGGCTTGCCAAGCCCGCCCATGGGAAGCACCATGGCCCTTCCCGACCAGCACACAGGCCAGGCAGTGGTTTCCCAAGAGGAGGGTCACTCCACCCCTCAAACACGCCCTCCATTTCCACGCACTTCTGCCCCAGGCCAGCCAGCAGGCCATGTGCCAGGAGTGGAGAGGCCATCGGGCAGCTCCGAGGCTAATCAGGAACTTCCTTGTGGACACCAACCACAAGACGTGTCTACCAGAGGGGGGAGCGGGGGGAGGGCTTCCTGGAGGAAGCAGAGTACACGTCCATTGGCTTTGCTGAGGGCCACGGGAGCTGCAGGCCACTTCAGAACAGGGTCACGTGCCCTTCAGACGTGATCAGGCATGTTCACGATCTTGGTGTGAACGGGCTTGGTGTGACCATGGACACACATGCCCTTTAGGAAGATGGCTGTGGCGACGATGTGAAGGGTGCTGCAGGACGAGACTGAACAGGGAAAAACACCGAAGGATGAAAGCAAACAAGAAGGACGTGGTGAAGGTGGGTGTTCACACAGTGGGCCAAATGGAGGAGCAAGCTTCAGGGAGAAGACACCCAAAGGACTATTGTTACTTCCTGTCGCCGTAAACATCCTCATCCACGCTACCATTTATTTCCTGTCACCGTAAACATCCTCATCCACGCTACCATTTATTTCCTGTCACCGTAAACATCCTCATCCACGCTACCATTTATTTCCTGTCGCCGTAAACATCCTCATCCACGCTACCATTTATTTCCTGTCACCGTAAACATCCTCATCCATGCTACCATTTATTTCCTGTCACCGTAAACATCCTCATCCATGCTACCATCTATTGGGTACCTAGAGATGCCAATGCTGTACCAGCATTTTACATGGCTTAACCCAAATCCTCACAACAACCTAGCAAGATAAATATGACTTTCATTTTGCACAGAAGAGCAAGGCTTGGTGAGGTGAAGTTGCTGCCAAGCACGCACCAGAGCCAGGTCACCAGCACCCACAGCCCTGCCCCTGCACTGGCCAAGGCCATGCGTCTCCAGGTCCGCAGCTGGGGGTCTGTCCCCAGAAGAGGTCTGGGAAGCAGCAGCCTGTTCTCAGAACCAGAATTAGACAAGGGAGCCAAGAGAAACCACAGCAGTGAGAAGAGTGGCACGGACAGAGCCCCGGGCTGGACTCGGAGAAGAGGGGCTGGGAGGGAGGGGAGGGGAGGGGAGGGGAGGGCTCAAGAGGGCAGATCACAGAGGCCAGAGCAGCAGCGTGGGTGAAAGTCGGGCCCCCAGGCTGAGTCAGCAGGGTGGTGGGGTGGCTAGCACAGACCGCAGGGAAGCTGAGCGGACGGATGAGAGCTGTAGGGGCTAGAGCAAGAAAATCAGTTTCAGCAGTTTTTGTTTTTGTGTTGTTTCTGTTTTTTAGAGAGATTTCAAGATGTTTAGAAGCTGAAGAGAAATATCCAATAGAACAGAACAGAGGTTGGCAAACTTTTCCTGTGAAGGGTCAAATAGTAAATATTTCAGGTTTTGGGCCACATGGTCCCCACTGCAACTCAACTCTGTCATGTAGGACAAAGGCAGCTACAGACGACACATAAGCAAATGAGCACAGCTCCATTCCAATAAAACTTTATTTATAGAAACAAGAGGCAGGGGATGTTTGCACACACGTTTGTAGCAGCATCACGAACAACATAAAGATGGAAGCAAAAGGTAGAAGCAACACAAATGTCCACTGACAGATGAATAAGTACAGCATATCCAGAAAACGCAATCAAATTCAGCCTTGAAAAGGAAGATGCTGGCACAGGCCACAACATGGATGGACCTTGAGGACTTTATGCAAAGTGAAATAAGCCAGTCACCAAAAGGCAAATGCTGTACGATTCCACGTATAGGAGGTCCCTAGAGTAGTCAGATTCATAGAGAAAATAGCAGAATGGCAGCTGCCAGGGCCTGAGGAAGGGGAAGAGGGACCTAAGGCCACAGTCTGCCGACCCTGGAGTAGACGGAGATGAAGATGACAAGACAGAAGCCAGGGCCCTGAGGATGGGATTGAGAATAAGAACTCAGAAACCCTTTCATCCAGGGAGATGGGGAGAGGACGCAGGAGGGAGGAAGGAGCTCCTGAGAGGAGGCCTGCAGCCCCGCAGGCCCAGGAGCAGTACACCGCTCACAGCCAGAAAGGAGAGGCCAGGAGGCAGGGCAGAGCCCTGGCAGGGCAGGCGCTCAGGGAGAGGGTGGGAGCCACAGCTCTGGGAGGCAGGGCCAAGGTGGCCAAGCAGCACTGAGCTCTCGCCCAGGTTGGATCCCCCCTGCACCCTCCCCAAGCTTCACGGCCTGGGTACAGGAAGGGGTGACAAGCCATGCAGCAGGCATCATGGGTCAGTGGACAGGGGACAGGCAGTTCCCTCCAGCACGGAGGGCACGACAACCACTGCAGGGCAGGCAGAGCCCACCAGCGCCCACCAGGCTCTAGGGCAACCAAACTAGATCTGAAGGGAAACTCCACGGCCCTTCTTAGACCAACCCCCTTCGATATTTCACGCTGTTTGGTGGCTCTGAAGATGCATGGAGGTTCTAGCGGGGAAGAGCCCATTTTCACTTCCTCCATACTCTGCACACAGGGCATCCAGGCCCAGAAGAGCTCAACGCTGCCTGGCATGGAGAGGTTGGCGCAGGCTGAGGCTGCTGGGCTCTGAGGACTCAGGGTGTGCAGCCTGGAACCTGCACCTCCTAATGAAATATGGCCTAAGCAGACACCAGGATCCAGAGCCCAGCCACTCCTCTCCCCAATGCTGAGGCCCTCCCGAGAGCCCAAGGCACGGCATGGAGCTCGTGCGTGACTGCGAGCAAATGCCCTGGCCTCAGGCCACCAGGTCAGGTGCAGCAGGTCTGTGAGGGACCCCGTGTGCCTCTCCTGTGGGGGCAGCATCAGCTTCCCTCCTAGAGAACCACATGGAGCAGATATGGGCGGTGCAGCAGAGCACTGCAGCAGAGGGCCAGGAGGGTCCAAGCAGTGCTGTGATCATCCGACTCTCTAACCATGAACTCACCTAGAGATGCATTCCAACCACACCTCTCTAAAATACATGTAGGTGTTAGTGGAAAACACCTGCTATCTATTTCTGACTTAATAAAGTCTATTTCATACACATAGACACATTTGGTTTACAGGCAGATGAGACAGTGATCGGGCACGTCAGCAGACAGTCTCCACTCAGGCCCTACAAATGAACCACAATCTTCCTTTCCGTTTTGCTTTCCTCTCTAAAGTCCCCCGAGAGGAGGCCCTGCCCAGGCCGGCCCCCGACTCACAGGCTCCCCAGACTGCAGAGATGCAAACTCAGCCACACACCCAAGGACGCCGCTTCTCCCCACAGCAGAGCAGAGGCTCAGCTGGCCCACTCCAGTGACATGGAGTCTGGCTGGTCAGCGACAGCCCCTCCAGCCAAGGGCTCCACCTTCAGCACGAATCCTCTGCCTCGGGACTTTCTCTAGTGCTTGATTTCTTGTATGGTCAGCCCCGCGGTATTTTATTGAAATAGATATTATTCCTGTCATCAAAATAAATAAACCTAACTAAAAAGAATCCTCTTCACTTATTTGAAGAGTGCCATTTTGGGGGACTCTTCAATATTTTTCTTGGCTTTTTATTATATGAAACTCCAAACAAATAAAAGCTGAGAAAATAAAATTATTAACTCCTATATCCATCGCCCAGTGCCTTTGCCCAATATGACCTTGCCTGCCTGCCCACTTACTTTCCAGCATATCACCCTGACCACTCAACACTCATCACAAAGAGGCACAAAGGAAGCCATTTTCCCACCCAAAATCAAGCCACCCTCAGGGTCCTGACAGAGGACACGAGGACGGGCCGCACCGCAGCCGCATACGTACGGATTCCCCATGAGAACTTCCGGTGCACAGTACTCGATGGTCCCACAAAAAGTATAAAATAATTTTCCCCTTTCCAAGTAGGCGGCCGAGCCAAAGTCTATCAGCTTGATTGTGAAGTCCTCGGCGATCACGATGTTCTCATCCTTGATGTCACGGTGGATGATGTCCTTCAAGCGCAGGTATCCCACTGCTGACACTAGCTGGAATCAGGAGGCCAGAGGGGGCTTTTTAAAAAAGCAATTCAACTAAAATATGCATTTAAAATAAACTGGAACAAAAAAAAACACAAAGAAAAAATAAACCTCCGACTCATAATGAACTGGGGACAGGAAAGATTTTTCAATGCTGAAGATATGATTGGAAGCAAACAGGAAACAAAGCCCTTCAGGAGGCGTGTTCACTGGGGATGGCCACGTTAGCCGGCAAGGTGGCAACATCAATGAGACTCGTGAGTTCTGTTTGCTGCTGAGAAAAGCTTCCCAGCAGACACTCGCCCCCACCAACGCACACCATGCCTATTTCAGGAGGAAAGACAGGCCACAAAGCCACAGCTCAAAGACACTCATGGTGGGCAAGTGAATGGGTGCAGGTTTGGTGTTAAGTGGGAAGTACCCAAGAGAAAGCACCAAGTCGATAACCTCAGCTCACAGGGAGGGAAAGTGACTTGCCCAGAGTTCAGGCAGCAATTTGGGGCAGAGCTGGGAGCACAGCCTCAGTGGCTTCTCAGAGAGCAGCATGACGTATCAGCCATCCTTTCCCCAAATGTGTGGCTACTCAATGATGCAGACTTAAAGCAGTTACACTGGAAACGGGCTTCGTTCCCACGGAGGTGCAGCTGCAGTGCTCCACTGCCTGCCCACTCTGCCTCTCCAATAACAGAGGCCAGCAACATCGGCCTTTCAGTTTAGCTCAACTAGGATGAATTAAACGTCTGACTGTCATAATTTGGACACCCATTATACCAATCAACTTAGTGACTTCATGGATGTATCATGTTGATCTTTTGAGACAAATTTATATTTACAAATGAGTATCTTTCAAATCAGGAGCAATAATCACAGGTTAGCTAAGCCCGATTAACTTACATTTAATAAATATACGCATATTTATACACATATATACAAACATATACATACCTGCATATTTATATATACATACCTGCATATTTATATATACATACCTGCATATTTATACATACATTTAGATACATACATGTGCACATATATACACACCTGCATACACACGTGTGCATACCTATACACATAACATATACTTGTACATAGGTACACACATAAATACACATATACAAGCATGCATGCATACATACTTACATATATATGTAGATATATACAAATCAGTCAGGATCCAATCAGGAGACAGAAATCACACATGAACTTGAACATGGAAAGTTTCATTAAGATTTATTAACTAGTACTGAGAGATTAACCACAAAGGGCTAAAGAGCGACTTGAAGAAAGCTGCTCTTCCTGCAGATGCTTCTGTGCCCTGGACTGGCCATGCTGCCCTGGAGCGGCCTGAACCAAGCCAGGGCTGTTCCCAGGCCCAGCTCCCCGACCCCGCTGCTGAGCAGGTCCTGATGAATCTGGAGCTGACAGGCAATGCCCTGAGAACCAGCATGATTCCTACATACATTGATGTGCGATCATATACTTTATAAAATTGTGCATCTGTATTTACATAGAATAACATTTATGTCTATATATTTACAAAAGGGGTAGAGATTCTTTTGGCAAAAATTTTAGAGTATAAACACCATAATTATGTGTCTCACTAGCCCCAGAATTAACAGCTGTCAGGCAGCAGCTTTTAACAAGCGACCCTCAACATAACCTCATACAGATACTCTGTTTGCTGTAAAAAGTTTCAGAAACAAGTGTTGGCCACAAACTAAAGGGAGGACGTCACCTTCCAACACAGGAAGAGGGAGAGAGGTGACCCTTTTTTGCAGAACCATAATATCTGAAACTTACAAGTAGGAGCCTGAGAAACTAAACTTCGGAAACCCAACAACCCGAGAGTGTGTAGCTTTAAGGAAGAAATGTTGATTCACGGAAGCTGTCATTAGAAATCGAGTTGTCCCCAGCAAACAATCCAAGAGCAAATGTGAGTTGTCTACACAGCCCTTTGCTGGTATTTCTCCAGTTCTTCTGGGGGAGCTGGGAGCAGTACAGGATGGAACCGCCACCCTCTCCTTAAAACCCAACACGAGTTACCGTTTCTTCCCCCTGTCCCTCTGCTAGGGTGCCTTCCTATTTGGATCATCACTCTCCCATTCCAATAAAATAATGGCCGAAGTTCAATATGTAATTAGACACGAAACAGATCAAGACAAATACTTACTGAAAAGTGAGAATGTCAGGATCTCAGTTTTGCTGGTTAATTACCTCAACAGCCACCATTTAGTGGGCACTTACAACCTGCAGGCCGCTGTGCCGCACACATGCCTTTGAGACGCTCTCTGGCTGCATCCTAACCCTTACTGGTTAATTTTTATGATTGTTGTGGATATTTTATGTATGTAAATAAACCTTAACCATTAAACATACTTTCTCAGTCATTCCAGGACTGTATCTGGCCTCATCCTTCCTTCCCAACCTCACTTTCTCTACTTCAATCATAGAATTTTCTTCTCAAAATATATATCCTACTCCATGAAATCCCCACACAGAAGGCTAGATCCAGCTCAGAGAGAGAACCGAGTATGGATCACTGATCTTTGCAGCCACCGGACCCAGGCACCCAGGCCTGCGTTCACACTAACACGGCTCTGGCCTGCTCTCACTTGTCGGAAGATGTAGCTCGCCAGGGGCTCATCCAGCCTGGGGTGGCGGTCGATGAAAGCGAAGAGGTCTAGGCCGGAGCCGTGCTTCTCCATCACAAGCTGGAAGAACCCTTGGTTTTCAAATATATCCAATACCTAGGAAGAGACAAAGCCAAGTCCAACTCTACCAAAACATCTTCAAGTCAACAAATTGAAGACATTTGACATGAGCCAAGTTAGGGTATCTCTGAAGAGGAAACCATCACCTTGATGATATTGGCGTGCTCCACCCTGGATAGAATTGCGATCTCTAAAGTAACTTTCCCAAGTTTGGGATCCTCAATCCAACAATCCTCCAAGACCTTCTCCTTCTTAATAAACTTCACCACCACCTGTGAGGAAGACAGAGCGTAGTGGAAATAGCTGGAGCCAGTCCTCAAGCATCCCATTGCACCAGGGCCACCCAGTCCTCAAGCATCCCATTACACCAGGGCCACCCGGTCCTCAAGCATCCCATTACACCAGGGCCACCTGGTCCCCAAGCATCCCATTACACCAGGGCCACCCGGTCCCCAAGCATCCCATTACACCAGGGACACCCAGTCCTCAAGCATCCCATTACACCAGGGACACCCGGTCCTCAAGCATCCCATTACACCAGGGCCACCCAGTCCTCAAGCATCCCATTACACCGGGGCCACCCGGTCCCCAAGCATCCCGTTACACCAGGGGCCACCGGTCCTCAAGCATCCCATTACGCCAGGGCCACCCGGTCCCCAAGCATCCCGTTACACCAGGGGCCACCCAGTCCTCAAGCATCCCATTACGCCGGGGCCACCCGGTCCCCAAGCATCCCGTTACGCCAGGGGCCACTCGGTCCTCAAGCATCCCGTTACACCAGGGGCCACCATCAGTCCTCAAGCATCCCATTACGCCGGGGCCACCTGGTCCTCAAGCATCCCATTACACCAGGGGCCACCATCGGTCCTCAAGCATCCCATTACGCCAGGGCCACCCAGTCCTCAAGCATCCCATTACACCAGAGACACCCAGTCCTCCAGCATCCCATTACACCAGGGACACCCAATCCTCAAGCATCCCATTACACCAGGGCCACCCAGTCCTCAAGCATCCCATTCCACCAGGGCCACCCAGTCCTCAAGCATCCCATTACACCAGGGCCACCATTGGTCCATGCGGCAGACACATCCCCTGCATTTACCTCCCCTAAGTCCCACGGACATGAAAGAAGAAACAAAGTGATAAACGCCTGCAGCACAAGGAAGCACAGAAGGGGGTCAGCAGCTGACCAGAAATGCAGCGTCATTACTGCCCATTCTGTAAGGTGGACAGATGGGTGAGATGGAGAATCCAGGTGGAGCTGAGGGAGCCATAACCTGGGCTGGAGAGAGGGCCCCAGAGGCCTCAGGGCATGTGCCCCGGAGAACATCCACGTCACCCCGACTTCTCAACCAAGGACTGGAAAGCCCTGGCCAAGAGAATAAACGAAGAAGCCAGAAAACTAGAAAATACAAAGAAAAGCTATCACTCTTAGACATGTTTTCAACATTGACTCTGAGATTAATCAGACTTTAGCAAGACTGACAGACATAAGGTAAATATAAGAAAAACAGTGCTACCACAGTCAATGATAGTCAAAGTGTAACAGAAAAAGATACCATTCACAAAAGAAAGAACACTGCAAGTCGCTGAAAATCTGGTCGCCCAACACAACGCCTGCTGCTACGTGGGTGTCGGCACGCAGCTGAAGGAGCGATGGGCAACCCAGCGGGTGCCAACCACAGGATGGGCCTGTTCAGGTGTCAGGAAGAGATGCTGAGTGAGATCACGCACCAAGGAACGATGAGTGCCAAGAAGGAAAAAAAGATGGGGCAGGAAGTGCCGCGGGGGTGCAGCCCCTGCGAGGTGCATGGGATAGGGAGTGAGTCCCGGGAAGGCAGCTTCTGAGCGCCTCGGGGAAGGCCCTCCAGGCAGAGGGCAGCGGGAGCACAGGACTGTGGCAGAGCGCACCTGAGCTGTGAGGAGGTGTGAGGGAGGCGGGGGGCTGGGCAGGCAACGTAAGTGGGCATCGGGAGGGCATCGGGGCCAGGGCGGGAGCAGGAAGAATCATCGGAGCCTGGGCAACATCCAGGCCTCTCACCGTCATCAGGAGAGAAGGGGGCAACTTGGGTGCCAGCCTGTGAGAGGTGAAAGGAGACAAATTCTGAAGACCCTTTGACGGGAGGGTCACTATGGCCCAAAAGGCCAGAAGTGAGACTGAGGGAAAGCAAGAAGACGAGGGGAAGCAGGCTGTGGTCCTGAGGAGCAAAAGAAGGGCCTGCTGAGATGTGGCAGAGCTCCAGAAGCCTCCGGGAGGGCGGGAGCCCTGACACTCTAGGTGAAGAGGCCTGCGGCCTGTCCAGCTGCAGGGCCAAGGAGACAAGAGGGCAGGCTCCTCCAGGGGGGCCCATGCACACCTAAAATGAGTGTCAGGAGGAGGGAGAAGGAAAGAATTAACGGAACCAAAGAACGGAAGCTTTAAATATTCAGATCAAAGTCTTACCAAGTATCAAGCAAGAATAAAGAAAACACACACAAACATAAACCCCTAAAGACATCCTGGTGAAAACTTTGAAAGACAAAGATTTTACATCTAGAAAGAAAAATAAATCACGTTTTGCTGTCAGCAAAATTCACTTCAAAATAATGCTAGATTACAACAGATACAGGTCTAAAAAGTTCTGAGAGGAGAAAGGCATATCATCACTAAAATATGAGAGAAAAATAAACACACTTTAATACATACAAGGACTGAATGTATAGTACCCATGAATCCTTCCTGGAAAAACTGGCAACGAATATATTCTAGCAAATGAAAAATAAACCTGGAAAAAAGAAGAAACTGGACATAAAAATAATGGAGACTTAACAAAAGAACAACAAGACTTGTACACTGAAATTACAAAACACTACCGAAAGAAATTAAAGATCTAAATGAATAGAAAACTTTCCACGTTCACAGATCAGGAGACTAAATATTGTTAAGATGACAATACTCTCCAAAGTGAGCTACAGATTCAATGTGATTCCTATGAGAATCTCAGCTGGCTTTTTTGCAAAACTGACAAGCTCATCCTAAAATCCTTAAGAAAGTGAAAAATGGCCAAAACAATCTCAAAATAGCCAAAACAAGCTTGGAAAAAAAAAAAACACAAAGTTGAAGGACTAGCATTTTCCAGTTTCATAACTTACTACAGAGCTACAGTAATCAAGACAGTGTGGTACTGGCTTAAGGACACACTTAAGATAGAAAGACAGACTATAGATCAATGGAATAGAATTCAGAGTCCAGAAACAAATCCATGCATCTATGGTCAACTGATTTTTGACAAGGGTGCCAAAAACCACTCAATGGGGAGAGGACAGTCTTCAACAAGCAGTGCTAGTACAACTAGATATCCACATACGAAAGGGTGAAGTCCAACCCCAGTCTCACACCACACACAAAAATTAACTTCAAAAATAGATCAAAGACTTACATGTAAAATCTAAAACCATAAGACTCTTAGAGAAAACATGGGAGTAAATCTTTATGACCTTGGGCTTGGCAGAGTCTTCCTAGATATAACACCAAAACACAAGTGACAAACGGTAAAAGAGACCAACTAAACGTCATCCATTTAAAATGTTTCTGCTTCCCAGTCTTCAGGAGCCCCCAGTGCAAAGCCCAGGGGCTGGCAGGGGCCCACGGCGCAGGGCAGACAGCCTGGCCAAGGAACAGGCCAGCGTGTACACCAAGCTGTGTGGTGTACACACCCCGCACCCGGTGGAGGCCATGATGGGGCACTTCCCGCAGCTCCTGGACCCGCAGCAGCTGGCTGCCGAGATCTTCTCATACAAGTCCCAGCACCCCAGTGAGTAAGCTGCCCGTGGCTGGCAAGGGCAGCACCCCCAGCCTCCAAGGGCTGTCAGGCTGGGCCTTGCGCCATCGAGCAGCCCGTTCCCAGCCCTGAGGCCCACCCCAGAGGCTGGACAGAGGGAGGATTCAAGTCGGGAGGGAAGCCCACAAACCAAAGATACCATAGGACTGGTTCTGGCCCATGCAGCACCTCTAGGTGTCTGCCTGAGTGGGTCAGAAGCGATCACCCTGTTGATACACATTGTATCTCTGTAGTTTAAGGAGACGCTGCCAGTAACGGCGTCCGTCCATGGCTGAGGCCCAAACTGTCTTTTCTTTCGGAGGGTGGGGAGGGAGGTGGGGACAGCAGAGGCCTGGGCTGCGTGCCCTGTGCACGCCACCCCACTTCCGCCCTACCCCTGGGACGTTGGCCTTGGCTGGCTAGTTGGGCATCATGTGCCCACCCTCCAAGGGCCTCCTCTACACCAATGAGGCCTCATCCATGCTCTCGCTGGGCATGTGGCTTCATGTCAGTAAGCAAGATGCTTCTTTTTTTTTTTTTTTTTGGAGACAAGAGTCTTGCTCTGTCGCCCAGGCTGGAGTGCAGTGGCGCAATCTCGGCTCACTGCAAGCTCCGCCTCCCGGGTTCATGCCATTCTCCTGCCTCAGCCTCCTGAGTAGCTGGAACTACAGGTGCCCGCCACCACGCCCGGCTAATTTTTTTGTATTTTTAGTAGAGACAGGGTTTCACCGTGTTAGCCAGGATGGTCTCGATCTCCTGACCTCGTGATCCACCTGCCTTGGCCTCCCAAAGTGCTGGGATTACAGGCATGAGCCACCGCGCCCGGCCTGCAAGATGCTTCTTAATAACCCACCTTCTGCCCCACTCTGTTCCTTATCCTGCTGCCCCTGTAGGAGTCAAGGGCCCTCTGTCTACACCCTCTCCTCCTCCTCCATCCTCTATTCAGAGTCATCTTGTCCTTCCCCACGGGTGGGGGAACATGTGTATGTTTGTGTACACATGTAAATTTTAAATATTTTAAGCAGAAAGTCCTTACCTCCTATAAACCATCCATAAAGTACAATCAATGTGAGAAAATAAATAATAAAATTAATAAAATAAAATAAAATGTGCTTCAAATGAAACATCAAGAAAGTGAAAAGACAACACATTTAATGGAGAAAATATTTGCAAATCATATATCTGATCAAGAAATTGTATCTAAAATACAGAACTCATACAATTTAATAATAAAAAGACAACCCAATTTAAAAGTAGGCAAAGGGGCAGGGCCAGGCACAGTGGCTCACACCTGTAATCCTAGCACTTTGGGAGGCTAAGGCGGGTAGATAACCTGAGGTCAGGAGTTCGAGACCAGCCTGGCCAACATGGTGCAACCCCATCTCTACTAAAAATACAAAAATCAGCTGGGCCTGGTGGTGTGCACCTGTGATCCCAGCTACTCAGGAGGCTAAGGCAGGAGAATCGCTTGAACCTGGGAGGTGGAGGTTGCAGTGAGCCAAGATTGTGCCACTGCACTCCAGCCTGGGCGACAAAGCAAGACTCTGTCTCAAAAGAAAAAAAAAATGGGCAAAGGATCAGAACAGACATTTCTCCAAAGAAGATTTACAAACAGCCAATAAGATCATGAAAAGACACTTGACATCATTAGTCATCAGGGAAATGCAAATCATAACCACAGTGAGCTACCCCTTCACACCCCCTAGAATGGCTAGAAATGAAAAGACAATAATAAGTGTTGACAAGGATATGTAGACCAGGAACCCTTGTACACTGCTGATGGGAATGTAAAAACAGTATAACCTTTTTAGAAAACTGTTCAGCAGTTCCTCAAAACATTAGACACAGAGTTACGACATGACCCATGAAGTGCACTACTAGGTATATGCCTAGAACTGAAAACATATGTTCACACAAATCTTATATACAATTGTTCATAGAAGCATTATTCCTAATGGCCAAAAAATGGAAACAACACAAATGTCCATCAGCTGATAAACGGATAAACAAAATATGGTGTCTGTTCATATAATGGAATATTACTCGGTCATAAAAAAGAATGAAGTACTTATACATGCTGCAATATGGATGAACCTTGAAAACATTATGTTAGATGAAAGAATCCAGTGACAAAAGAGCATGCTGTGCATGATTCCATTTATATGAAGTGTCCAGAATAGGCAAATCTATTGAGACAGAAAGTAGATTTGTGGTTGCCCAGGATGGGATGGAGGAAATTCGAGCAGGACGGGGGTTATGCGACTGACTACTGATGGGTATGAGGTTTCTTTCTGAGGTCATGAAATGTTCTTCGTTTGTGGTGATGGTTGCACAATTCTGTATATACTAAAATCTACTGAACTGTTCACTCTAAATGGGTGAATTATATGGTATGTGAACTATATCTCAATACCGATGCCAAAAATCATGATGAAATATTAAAAACTAACAAGAAACAAAAACATGACATAATAAAATATAGTCAACAGAAAGTAGGAAAAATAGAGGGGAAAATAACAAAGCACAGAAATATCCAGAAACAATAGAAAACATCTAGATTTAGATTATAGATTTAAATCCAGCCATATCAGTAATTTCATTAAACATCAACGGTATAAACACCTCAATTAGAGACTTTCAGACTGAATTTCAAAAGCAAGATCCAAGTGTATGCTGCCTACAGAAGACCATTTTAAATATAGACATAAATGACTAAAAGTAAAAGAATGAGAAAAGTTTACTATGTGAACACAAATCAAATGAAAGCTGGAGTAGTCATACTAATATCAAAGTAGACTTCAGAACAAGGCATATCAAATTAGGAATTAGTTCATCAAGAAGATGCTATGATACTAAATGGGTATTCCTATAACAACAGAGCTTCCAAATATATGAAGTAAAATCTGGGAGGATTACAAAGGGAAACAAGCAAATCCACAAGTATAGGTAGAGACTTCAAAACATAATACAAGCATCAACAAATTTAAAGAAACTGACATTATACAAAGTATGTTCTCTATAAAGAAATTAAAAACAAAAAGATATCTGAACAATCACCAAATAATTGGCAATTAAACAACACACTTCTAAATAACACAAAGTAACAACGTATTTGTAAATGAATGAATGTGAAAGCACAACATATGAAAATATGTGATACACAGATAAAGCTGGGGTTGGAGAAAAATTAAAACATTAAATGATTATATTAGAAAAAAGCATAGCTCAAATAAATGATCTAAGATACCACCTTAGGAAAATAGAAGAAGAAAATAAAATTAAATCCAAAGTAAGAAAAAATAATGAAAAAAATTTTTTATAATAAGAGAAAAGTCACAAGATTGAAAATAGATTATAAATAAGAAAAATTAATGAAACCCAAAGCAGGTTATTTGAAAAGATTAAGCATGTTTTCAGCATGCATGTGCAGTGCCCGTGAGATATGAGCATCTCAGTGGGGAGTAGGAGAATGGTGCAAGCCCCAGGCTCAGAAAGGAGGGAACACAGGTCCAGATGTGGGATCTCAACACAATGGCAGGAGGCGAAGCCCTGAGCCTGGCCTGTTCGAGGTCTGAATCTACAATTGGACGGGATCAGCAACCCTGGATGTCAACGTGTGTGCTGCTGGGAGAGCCTCTTTGAATCCGGAAACCGCCCACATGCCAGGTTGTGTGCTTGGTGCCATACCTAGAGGACTCCTCCAAAAACCCCAGGTTTGAGAACTGGGACCAAAAGTCGAGAGCCATGTGAAGTGGTGCCCGGCGCCACTCCCCCCCCACAGCCAGGTTACCTCCTTGTTTTTTTCCTTGTCCACAGCAGTCCACACGAAGCCGAAGGCCCCACTGCCCAGCGGGCTCATGGTACTGTACTTTTGGGAGTACTCGCCCTCACAGGCCGCCAACCCCTCCAGTTCCACAGCCTTGGGGGGCTCCTCAAACCAGGGTCTGGCTCTGAGCACCTGCAATGCAGAAGAAGGTCTGTGGGGTCACATGCAACTGCACCGGGCAGAGGTGCAGCACCCACAGTGGTCCCCCTGCGTCTTCAGCAGCCGCCCGAGGCAGGTGTGCCCTGCACTCCAGTCCCCTCTCCTCCCATGCTCTCAGACAGGTCTGAAAGCCTATCTCCACAGGGCACCCCAAGCAGCCTCAGCACACTGATCCCAACTGGCACACATGTCGAAACGTGTTTACACCCCACCATATACATGGGCCTAGGCAGATTTAAAGTGGCTTCTTTTTTTTTTTTTTTTTTTTAGACGGAGTCTGGCTCTGTCGCCCAGGCTGGAGTGCAGTGGCGCAATCTCGGCTCACTGCAAGCTCCGCCTCCCAGGTTCACGCCATTCTCCTGCCTCAGCCTCCCGAGTAGCTGGGACTACAGGCGCCCACCACTATGCCCGGCTAAATTTTTGTATTTTTTTTAGTAGAGATGGGGTTTCACTGTGTTAGCCAGGATGGTCTTGATCTCCTGACCTCGTGATCCACCCGCCTTGGCCTCCCAAAGTGCTGGGATTACAGGCTTGAGCCACCATGCCCGACCTAAAGTGGCTTCATAGTCACACTGGATATTAAAAGACAGTGTGAAAAGTTACAAAGAGGGCCAGGCGCAATGGCTCACGCCTATAATCCCAGCACTTTGGGAGGCTGAGGCAGGTGGATCGCCTGAGGTCAGGAGGTTCAATACCAGCCTTGCCAACATGGAGAAACCCAGTCTCTACTAAAAATACAAAATTAGCCAGGCGTGGTGGCGCGTGCCTGTAATCCCCACTACTCGGGAGGCTGAGGCGGGCGAATCACTTGAACCCGGGAAGCAGAGGTTGCAGTGAGCTGAGAAAGCACCATTGCACTCCAGCCTGGGGAACAAGAGCAAGACTCCGTCCCAGAAAAAAAAAAAAAAAGCTACAAACAGACTGTATTCCCGTCCCCAAGGAAACAGAGAGAGATGCCAACTAGGATATTTGCCACACAGTACAAGGCAAGTCCAGGGCAGGCATTGATTGCAAATACCCACTTCCACCAGGCTGGGTCCGGTGAGCTCAGCAGCGGTAGAGTGGGTGGAGCCGGGCAGGCTGGCAAGGAACAGGCGGGTCCTGGCGGCTGAGTCGCGTTGGCTGTGGAGGAGGTCTTTCACCAGCCAGCAGCAGAACAGAGGTGTGGGGCCCTGGAGCTCCACCCGCCTCACCTCAAACTGTATACCTGAAGGGTGAGAAGGTAAGAACGCACAGGCCTGTGCTGACCTGGCTAGACAGCAGCTTTAGGTTAGAAAAGTCCAGTCCCCAGAATGCAACAGTCCAATCCCCAGCAGCTTTAAGTTAGAAAGTTCAATCCCCAGAACACAGACCAGAGAGCAGCCCAGGCAGAGGCAGGCAGCACCAAGGCCTGGAGGAAAGCTGTCAGGGCCGGCCAGGGAAAGACCCCTGGGGCATAGCCTGCAGGCCTGCAACAACCACACCTCCTCACTCAGGGCAGCCAGAGGCCAAGGAAGCCCTCCAGAGAGGCCTGTAGCGGAGGGTGCAGACAACCCCCAACTCAGAATAGCCGGGAGAACCTGCACTCAACGTGCCCTACACACGGTGGGTCTTCGGCCTTCCAGTGACAAGAATGTGAATGGCTTACATTAAAAGCATGTACACATGTACCTACTCTACTCACTAACAGCCATATTCAATTCCATACCCACTTACATAGAGAAAGCATGTGTGCATTTTCCACAGCCTCCTAGCTATACACCAACATAAGTGTGGTTAGCTTTCTTTGGTGGTGGGGGTTTACAGCCCATTTTATTTTCTTCTTGTTTATATTTCTAATGTTTCTACAAATAACACGTATTATTTACAAAATTCTTTTAAGTGTAAGAAAAAAACCCTAGCTATCAACACTACAAAATCAGCAATATGGAAACAACTGGCTAAAATAATGTGGACCTATTAAGAAATGAGGAAAATACAGCCAGGCATGGTGGCTCATGCCTGTAATCTCAGCACTTTGGGAGGCCGAGGCGGGCGGATCACGAGGTCAGGAGATCGAGACCATCCTGGCTAACACGGTGAAACCCCATCTCTACTAAAAATACAAAAAATTAGCCTGGCTCAGTGGCTCACGCCTGTAATCCCAGCACTTTGGGAGGCCGAGGCAGGTGGATCACAAGGTCAGGAGTTCGAGACCAGCCTGGCCATCATAGTGAAACACTGTCTCTACTAAAAAAACAAAAAAATTAGCTGGGTGTGGTGGCACACGCCTGTAGTCCCAGCTACTCAGGAGGCTGGGGCAGGAGAATCATTTGAACCCAGGAGGCGGAGGTTGCAGTAAGCCGAGACCATGCCATTGCACTCCAGCTAGGGTGGACAGAGTAAGACTCTGTCTCAAAAAATAAAAAAAATAGGCCGGGCACGGTGGCTCACACCTGTAATCCCAGCATTTTGGGAAGCCGAGGCGGGCGGATCACGACGTCAGGAGAACGAGACCATCCTGGCTAACACAGTGAAATCCCGTCTCTACTAAAAATAGAAAAAATTAGCCGGGCGTGCTGGTGGGTGCCTGTAGTCCCAGCTACTAGGGAGGCTGAGGCAGGAGAATGGCATGAACCCGGGAGGCGGAGCTTGCAGTAAGCTGAGATCGCGCTACTGCACTCCAGCCTGGGCAACAGAGAGAGACTCTGTCTCAAAAAAAAAGAAAAAAAAAAAAAAAAGAAATGAAAATAAAAAAGAAAGTAAAACAGAATCAATCTCAAAGGGGCAAGCAGAGGGGCCCGATCACATGACCCTCACAGAAGGGCAGGTTTTTCAGAGATCAGGGCAGCCTAAACACCAAAAGCACGGAAGAAGAACACGTGAGCATCTCACCACGCTCACATCCCTCTCGGCCTGTCTGTGTGACCACTGAGGTGGGGGCTGGTGGGAGGTGGAGAGACAGACTCTAGCGTGACACCCCCACGCTTCTCCTGCTCCCGACGGGATCTCCCCAGGCTGCTGGGAGGAGCGGCTCTCTAAGTGTATGGCCTGAGTCAGGGGGCACAGCTGGAACTGACGGGCATGGGGCAGGTGGCCTGGGACCTTGGGCGCCACCCTCCCCAGGCACACACATTCGTAATCTTAATTTTCTAGGGGTGGATGATATGCATTCTCCTTGAAAACATGATTTCTGCTAACACTATTCCAGGGTGAAACCCCATCAGACCCCAGAACAAGGAAGGCCCTGCACCCCCACTGCACTGTGCTCTGGGAGCACCACACTTCTTCCTATGGGGCCCGGGACATACTCAGCCGTAAGCCATCTCGATGGTAGCAGCTCCCGGAGTAGGCACCCTCCTGGATCTCCCGCTGCAGGCCAGCAGCCCCGCGCATCACGATCACGGGCGTGGAGGTGACCTGGACGTTCAGCCTTGGCTCCTCTGCTGATGGGCACGTGTCCTCAGGGCCAGCATCCAACGTGGAAGGAACGTGTCCTGGGCTTTCTCTGTCGCTTGCTGCATAATGCTCAGAGGACACCAAACAAACCTCAAGCGGTTCTGTTGGATCATGTCCCACACAGCTCTCCCGGAACCGTCGGCCTTGGCCAAGGTCAACACAGGTGCCGGTCAGTAGTAACAGCTCCCTGTCATCCAGGACACACGACCCCTGTTCCTGGAGACTGCCTACATCTGGATCGGAGCCCACTGCCAAGGAAGAGGGTGTCTCTCTGAGTTCAGACGTAGCACAGGAACAATTTGATGACGTTTGGTCTGTCTGGTCACTGAAAAAGAGTTCCTTGAGGTTCCAGGAAAACGAATTCACATCAACCTCCTGGGCCTCCACTGCTTCCAGGCCCCCAGGGAGGTCCGTGGCCAAGGCATAGCAGGCTGAGGAGCTGCCCGTGCAGCCACCGCACAGGTCTCTGCCTCCCAGATCGCAGGACGACACAGGAGCGGTGACAGCCTGGCACTCTGTCGGAACGAGTTCGGCGTGGGGGACATCCAGGGCTCCTGCAAGGCTCAACTGGGACAGCTGCTCCTTAATCAAGCAGGTCTGCAGCTCTTCTCGGTCGTTTTCCACTCCCAGCCACGGCTCATCTAGAGTAGGTGTCCCAAACGAGAGGCCTGCCATCCCAGAGGGGCTGGGGGCCAAGTCCTGGCTTCGCCACCACAAGCCCCATTCACTCCCATAGCAAGGGCAGTGCATCAGGAGGCTGCCCCCCGCCAGCTGACCCTTGGCCTGGGGCTTGGCCACGGCAGCCCCAGCCCAAAGGTCTGAACCGCTGGGACCACTGACTCCCATCCGCTCTAGCTGGGCCTTCTGACACAGGCCACACATGCCAGCATCACTGCCCCCATCCTCAGCTGGGACTGGAGCTTCAGAATCTTCGCAGGAAGCAAATGGCTTCACATCCACTGGTTCAGACCTGCTTTCTCCCAGAAGATCCTGTCCGGGGCTCTCTATTGCCACAGGTTCCTCTCTCCCCAAGGCAGTGATTTGCTGGTCCTTGGGCAGCGCCTGTTCACCGTGCACTGGCAGGCTTCCTTCTGGGACATTGTCCACCCTGGGGATAATGACATGGGTGACCATCATGTAGGGCCACAGATGAGTCAAAAGGAGAGATTGCACCGATTCTCCATTAGAACTAAGTACAAAGCATTTAATGCCACCAATTTATAACAAGAAAAAGACCAAATTTTGTGACCAAGTTAAAAAATAAAGCACTTAGTCTCAAATTTCTCCAAATTAAGTCCACATTTAGAAATGATTTTGCAGAGAATGCTACCAAAAGCCCAACAGTAAAGTACAGGAGAACTTGCCAATGCTTTGGTCAGCGCTCTCGCTTCATCTCAGGGCCCCCAAACCCCCCGTCAGCCGTGCAGCCTAGCCTCGGCCCCACCTGCAAGGGGAAGTCCGTGCTGCTGCCTTGAGGAGGTGTGAGAGGAAACGAGAGAGAGATTGGAGAGTCCCTGGTAAACTCCACAACAGTAAAAAAACAACTGATTGACTACAAACACCATCCGATTTCACAGCCGACTAGGGAAATGGCTCTCAGATTTGGGAAATGGCTCTCAGATGGGGCCCACACAGAAGGGGCCAGGGGCCAGGGGGCCGGGCGTGGTGGCTCACGCCTGTAATCCCAGCACTTTGGGAGGCCGAGGTGGGCAGATCACTTGAGGTCAGGAGGTTCGAGACCAGACTGGCCAACATGGCAAAGTCCTGTCTCTACTAAAAATACAAAAATTAGCCCGGTGAGGTGGCAGGCACCTATAATCCCAGCTACTTGGAGGCTGAGGCAGGAGAATGGTTTGAGCCTGGGAGGCAGAGGTTGCAGTGAGCTGAGATTGTACCAGCTCACTGGTGAGATGGGTGACAGAGTGAGACTCCGTCTCAAACACAAACAAAAAAAGAAGGGGACACGGGCCGAAAAAGAGAGAGGAGGCTGGTGAGGGCGGCTCCTAAGAGGTGGCACACAATGTCCTCCAGCATTCAGCACATGGTGACCCATGAGGAGGCTGCCACAGTCCAGACAGGATGATCACAGAGCCAAGGGACCCAGGCCTCCTGTCAGCCCAGCCACTGGCCTCCACATGACAGACTGACACTGGGCACCAGATGCACAGAATGTGACCGCACCACCTCACTCGGGGACAGACACACAGGTTAACATCAGCAACCTAATAAAGGTATACCAGAGGCTCAGAAAGAGGACAGGATCGGGCACAGTGGCCCACACCTGTAATCCCAGCACTGTGGGAGGCTGAGCCCAGGAGTTCGAGACCAGCCTGGGCAACATAGTGAGACCTCGTCTCTACAAAACATTTAAAAATTAGCCAGCGTGGTGACACACACCTGTAGTCTCAGCTACTTGGGAGGCTGAAGCGGGAACCTCGCTTGAGCACAGGAGTCTAGGCTGCAGTGAGCTGTGATCGCACCACTGCACTCCAGCCTGGGCAATGGCCAAGACCATCTCAAAAAAAAAAAGACGGAAGAGGAAGGATACAACCCAAGGGTGGGTTCCACAGAGAAAGGGATTGTGAGCCAAGTTCTGAGGAAAAGCAGTTTTCTGAGGGGAACTGAGGGGGAGGCTGAGGGTCTGCGTCTGCCTGCCTCTCTCCCTCCATGTCTCCCGCCTCTCTCCCTCCATGTCTCCCATCTCTCTCTCCCCTGTACCTCCCTCTCCCGCTCTCCATCCATCCCATGCTTGAGACAAACCCCATGCAAATGCTAGGAAACTGCACATCCTCCTGCAGGATCAGGTAAGACAGGAGGCGAATGCACACCACGAGGGTCTCACAAAGCCCCTTGCCAAAGAGTCTGGGCAACTTCTGGGGCACAGTCCAGACACAAAGCTGAGGCCCCTGGGCAGCACTGCATCTTCACCCATGCTCTTGGGGCCTTAGCGGGCTGCTGCAGCCTCAGTACCCGTTCTCTCCACAGTCACCTGGGTCCACGGCCCTTCCATCAAAACCCTTGGGCCAGATGTGTTTGGGGATTTCAGAAAAGTCATATGACCACTTGCTAGGGAGACCCCAGCAGGCTGGGGAGAGGGCTTCACGGGCATCCACTGCCCTGTGTCTGCAGCAAGGCCTCTGAACACTCAAACTGCAGAGGTCAAGGGAAAACCACAAACAGCTTCTCACGTGCTTAGGGCCAATTTGACCGTCCAATGCTTTTAGCATCAATTCTAAGAAAAATATTTCAGTGTTGGGGGCTTTTTGGATTTCATAATTTTGGCTAAGAGATTGTGAAACTGTGGATCTCTGACTTTCAGCATGACAGCAACTCAGGAAACATGAGGACATCCTCCAGCTGCCCTGGCAGCCAGGCATCGCCACGCCACTCAGTTCTGGCCAGCATGCAGTCAGGGCATGAAGGATGTGATCTGCCGACTGCACACAGGCCTTGAGCTGCTGGGACCTCAACCCAGGGCAGCCCCAGGGACCGTAGGTCCTCCAGTGGGGAAGCACCAGGACCTGACCCCCGTGGAGACCCGAGACCCCCACCTGCTGTCTGAGCACATCACCTGGGGTCTCTTCGAGGACCTGATGCCCAGTGTAACAATTCACTCAGCTTCAGCATCCATTTGCTAAAAATCAGACTACACTCCCAGGATTACCAGGAGAACTAAAGGAGACAACTTACGAGGAAGCACCCAACGTAGTCCCTAAAACACAAAAGCACTCCGTACAGCTCACCTCCTTCCTTCATGCTTCCTAACCCTGTTCTGTCTTACTGTTTCAGCTTATTGTCCTGACCAGACTACAATTCTTAGGGACACACCCCAAGTCTTCTGTAATGCTTATTTGTTGAATAAGCGAACGAGTGAGTGAATGACTGAGCGGGGAATGAATGGATAAATCTCTATAGTCATAACTGCACTAGCTGTGCAGTGGATGCTAATCAAACTCTCAGAACTGTGACATCCAGAAACGTCCAATGCAATAGAAAGACTAGGAATTGGCTGATCTTGGGCAACTCCCTTGGTACCACCAAGTCCTGGAAGATGAGTTGTGTCCAAGGTCCTGAGGATAGCAACGGGCCACGTGGCCTCTGTCCACCAAGATGTCCCAGACAACGGGAGCACTGGCAAGGGGGCCCGGCCGCTAGTGCTGTTGAGCACCCACGGGTCAGACTTGGGCCCTCAACCACGGCCGCCCCACTTCAGCTTGGTGGCACCTCTGGAGAGGTGCGCACAGCAATATTATTCATAGTAATATTGAAAACTCACGTGTTGAGCGCCTGCTCTGTTCCACTCGCAGTGGAAGTAGAGCAAATAGAGCCAACAGCTACCCTCTCACGCCACTCAACGCGGACCCACAGTGGCAAAGGGAAAATCAGGGAGGCTAAGCAAACAAGAGAAAGCACCGGCACATCGGCCAGTGGGAAAGTGGCCCATGAGCTAGGGTGCCATCCAGGAGGCTTCGGTTCCGAGGAGGCCTGTAGAGGAAGATCTGCAGGACATGTGTGTGCGTACACATACACACACATTTAGGACACTGTGTATGGTATAATCCCAGCCGTGCTCAGGGAACAGAAGCAGTTACATGTGAGCACACATATGCACATGCACACATAGAAGTATAATATACAACTATAGTTAAATGCACAAGAAAGAAGGCCTGGAAGGCTCTAACTGCTGACTGCGGTCCCCTGGGGGAAAGAGTAGGATTGGAGGAGGGGGATTGGAAGACGGCCAGGGGAACTATTGCTTTTACCATTATTCTTCTATAATTAAAAAAACACATATGCATGTATTACATTTTTTTTTTTTTTTTGAGACGGAGTCTCACTCTGTCGCCCAGGCTGGAGTGCAGTGGCGCGATCTAGGCTCACTGCAAGCTCCGCCTCCCAGGTTCACACCATTCTCCTGCCTCAGCCTCCCGAGTAGCTGGGACTACAGGCGCCCGCCACCATGCCTGGCTAATTTTTTGTATTTTTAGTAGAGACGGGGTTGCACCGTGTTAGCCAGGATGGTCTCCATCTGCCGACCTCATGATCCACCCACTTCAGCCTCCCAAAGTGCTGGGATTATAGGCGTGATCCACCGCGCCTGGCCCATGCATTACATATTTTTAAACATACATACATACTTTATATGTATCTATTACATATTTTTTAAATAATTTCAAGACTAGAAAACACAACTATGTGGATAAATATCACAGACACAGCAATAAGCAGAAGGCAGACAGAAGGAAATGCATGCGTCAGGCTCAACGGCAGGCAGTCTAACCTCTGCCCTGACCCAGGGCAGCAGGGTGTAGGGGGCACAGTGCAGGAAGGGACCCAGGGTCTGCAGGCAGCCAAGAAAGGGTCCTGGGCCACCTGGGCACCTACAGTTTGGGCACCTTTACTGCATGCTGTGCATAAGAAAAGATTCTGGGTCAGGTATGGTGGCTCACACCTGTAATCCCAGGACTTTGGGAGGCCAAGGCGGGTGGACCATGAGGTCAAGGGATCGAGACCAGTCTGGCCAACATAGTGAAACCCCGCCTCTAGTAAAAATACAAAAATTAGCCGGGCGTGGTGGCAGGTGCCTGTAGTCTCAGCTACTCAGGAGGCTGAGGCAGGAGAATCACTTGAACCAGGGGGCAGAAGTTACAGTGAACCAAGATCACGCCACTGCACTCTAGCCTGGGCAGCTGAGTGAGACTCCATCTCAAAAAAAAAAAAAAAAAAAAGATTCCGAAGAAGAAAATGGGTTAAAAATACACACACACGTGCTATGTACAATACGACTATGAGAATAGAACAAGTTTTTATTTCTACTTTTCCAAATGTTCCTAATTCTCTAATATAAACTTTCTTTACTCTAAATAGAATATTTTAAAATGTGCAAAGAGAACAGCTTCATATGACTTTGAAAATGATAAAATTAATCCCAGCACTTTGGGAGGCCAAGGCGGGTGGATAACAAAGTCAGGAAATCGAGACCATCCTGGCCAACATGGTGAAACTAAAAAAAATACAAAAAAGTAACCGGGCGTGGTGGCGGGCGCCTGTAGTCCCCAGCTACTCGGGAGGCTGAGGCAGGAGAATGGTGTGAACCCGGGAGGCGGAGCTTGCAATGCAATGAGCAATGAGCTGAGATCGCACCACTGCACTCCAGCCTGGGTGACACAGCGAGACTCTGTCTAAAAAAAAAAAAAAAAAAAAAAAAAAAGAAAATGATAAAATTATGATTCCATCAGTTCTCTGAAATCTACCTCAACATTCTGGAACTCTCCACAGCCTGTTTCCTTATCCCTACAGTGAGACAGTAACACCATGGTGCCCTCCCATACAGGCTGATAAGGACTCAGCCAGGCAGCACAGAAAACCCAGCAGTCAGTGTGTGTGGAAGAGAGCAGGTGCTCAACACATGTGAGTTTTCAATGTTACTATGAATAATAGGCTGAACATTTCTCTCTGACTTGTTCCTCATTCACCTACCATCTGTCTGGACTTTTAGTAAACCTGCAACCTCCCACCAAGGGACTTACCCTGGAGCAGGCTGAGGTGAGAGGCAGGAAAGGAGCTGGCCTCCAGCAATCAGCTCAGTCTGAGTCCCGGTGAAGATGTCTTGGCTTTCCATCAGCTTCCGGATCTCATCTCGGGGCACAACGTGGCCACCAGCAAGCACGACATTAATCCTTGGATCTGGCAGCAACACCAAAAAAGAGCGTTTGCTCTTCACAGGCACTCCCTAAAACGAATCTGCTCATTCGCCTGGAACTCACTGAGACTGCTTCACAGCATGACCAGCATCGACCACCTCTCACCACCCCAGGCGTCCCAGGTCCAACCCAGCGCCCTCTTCTCTGCCTCCTGTCTCCCTGCTCCTTGGCCCAGGACACCTGCAGCCAGCTACCATGATCCTATTAACACCCAAGTCAGAGCACGGCACTCACCTGCTGACAACCCTCCAACAGCTCCCATCTGACTCTGGATAGAAGCCGAAGTCTCGGCCATGGCCCCCCAACTCTGTGGCCTCACTCCTCCAGGTCTCTCCACCTGGCCTCCCTGCCATATCTGAAGTATTAGAGGCCTTGGGATCATGGCTCCTGATCCCAGAAATGCTGTACCTGGGTATCTACAAGGCTTCCCTAGGCCTCCTGGGACCCCAAGCCTAAGACTGCATGCCCTCTTCCCCTCTTTGCCTTCCTCCCGAGCTCTGGCCACTTCCTGGGCTCCATGTCACCTGGCTCCCTCCAGTCCCCGTGAGCGCAGGGGCATCTGCACGCAGTGCAGCCTGGCACGTGGTAGGGGATGAATGTATGTCTCTTGGTTACATGAGAGAAAGCAGCCTGCATTAGGAAGGACCCTGGGAGGCCACGCACAGTGGCTCACACCTGTAATCCCAGCACTTTGGGAGACCGAGGCGGGCAGATCACCTGAGGCTGGGAGTTCGAGACCAGCCTGACCAACATGGAGAAACCCCGTCTCCACTAAAAACACAAAATTAGCCAGGCATGGTGCTACATCCCTGTAATCCCAGCTACTCGGAAGGCTGGGACAGGAGAATCACCTGAACCCAGGAGGCAGAGGTTGCAGTGAGACGAGATGGTGCCACTGCACTCCAGCCTCAGCAACAAGAGCGAAACTCTGTCTCAAAAAAAAAAAAAAAAAAGGACGACCCCAGAAAGAACCCTAGCCCCAAGCCGAGAGAAGCCTGCTCTGTGACCAGGACAGTTGGGTGGTTCGGCATAACTTCTCCAAGAGGCATTTTTGACAGTAACTAGCAAACGTGTTCATTCCCTGAATCCAGAAGTTCCACTTCTAAGAATTCATCCTAAGGAAACAATGCGAGAGTAACAGAAATGTGATCCCCTCCCCCCACCACCAAATATCCGACAAACAGCATGTACTCAACACAGGCATGCATGCACAGGTCAGAATTTGGAATTCTGGAAAAAGGGGAAGGGGAATATAATTAGTGCTAGAGGAAAAAGCTTGTATAAAGGACAGACTGAGATAGAAAAACCCAGATACAATGAAGGGAACCACATGCTAAGGAAAGCCGGGATTGTAAGGAGAACCAACAGCCTAACAAAGTATCTTTTAAAACAAATGTTACAATCCAGCTTCTAATGCCCCAGGCGAGACCCTGTGGGGAAGGAGGCTGGGCGCATGTGCCAAAGAACTCACACAATGCCCAGACAGCTAAAGAGTGTCTGACGGTAAATGTTTATCTCACCAGGCTGGTCAGTCTCGTGAAGCTGTAGTTTTTCTCAGTGACTGTATTAAATCCACTTTCGCACTCATTCGATACCCGAGTGACCGCATGCAGGACAACCTCGCAAGCCAGCACCTGCCGACCCGCCTGGCCCCACCACGATGCAGAGCCCCGAGGTGGCTGTGCTTTCTGCCAGCACTGGCCACTCTCTCTCTCTCACCCCCACTGTGTCCTTCCATAGAACAGAGACCCCCCCACCTGACACCCCTGCCACACCATCACCTGGACCCTTGGGCCCCAGCCTGCCCCAGGAACTCCAGAACCACACCCAGTGAGCCCACGCTCCAGGTGGGCAGAGGCCCTGGAGGCAGAGTTCCGGGGTCCCCACCAGGGCAGAGCCAGGGACAGGGCGCACCCCCACCCCATGCTTGTCAACAAGAATGAGCACTGTGGAAGCAGCCAGGGGCCTGCTCCTTACCAGGAGCTCAGGCGTGGGCCCTGCCAGGACATCAGCGGGTTCTACTGCCCCTCATTGCTCCCAGCCAGAGTGGGTCCCTCGGGACAGGAGGCAGTGTGCTCACCCTGTCTTCACAAGCCACACACCTAAGACTGTGCATATGAAAGGGACTCGGAGTATTTGTTGAAATCATTTAAAATGTTAAATTAAAACTATGTGGGATAAACATAATTAAACCAGGAAATACTGGTAGAACATTCAATTTAGGAATTGCAGTCAACCCTCAGTACACTCAGGGGATGGGTTCCAGGACCCCCAGAATGCCAAAATCCGAGCACCCTCAAGTCCCACAGCCCACCCGTGGAACGCAGGTGCATGGAAAGTCAGCCCTCCATATACGCCAACTTCACCTCCCACCAGTACTGGATTTCTGAGGTTGAAAAGAATCTGTGTATAAGTGGACCCTCTAATGTCAAACCCAGTTGTTCAAGGGTCAGCGGTAATCCGATATGCTACATGGCTTCACTTAAACTACATGAAGCTATATAAGTTTACTTAGAAAAGACAAGACGGTCAGTTAGCTGTGTCTCGGATGCTGTGTCTCGGATATCATGGGCACTGGTGATGCACTCTTGGGGGGTTTTCTATTCTCTTCTCTATGCTCATATGTTTATAAGAATATGTCACAGCCCCCGAGACAGAGAGGAACATCAAACCAGAAAACAGTCACCCCCTACTCCGCCCCCCACCACCCCTGAGCCTCTGGAGGGACAATAGCTCCTGCTCCTCCCAGCCCTGTCTCAGAGGCATGGGGCTGTCTGGGGCTCAGCAGCTACAGGCGCATTCAGGAGGAAGAGGACGTCTTACCCTGGCCCCCCTCAGCTGGGTCCTGGCCCTGCCACGGGTCCAAGGTTCTCTCCCCACACCCACTCTCATTGCCGACGTCCAGGCAGCTGGCCAGGTCTGGGAGCTGTAATGAGCTGTTGTACGCAAGGTCCATGTAGCTGTAGAAACCAGGAATCAGGAAAGTGATATTCTAGAAAACAAAGCAGGGACATTTCAGAACCTGGAGGATCCACGCTGACCCACTGGACCGTCCCCCTGGGGGAGGAATGAACACAAGGAGAGCCAGTCCCTGAGGGTTCACCCTTAAGGTCAGGAAAGGCCTCGGGCCAAATGCCCTTCGACGCACCTGAAGCCCCTCAGATGCTCAACATGTGATCTGTGATTTTCCCCTTAAGAAAAAGGTAAAAACATACTCTGCGGCAAGTTACAGTGACATCGACACATCTTTGGAGCAGACATCTGGCCTTTGGCCCCATGTTTAGATGGATCTGGGAGCCTGTGTTTGCAAGCCTCACCTCACGCGGCTCACTGGTGGCCGGAACAGTGACATGCACCCAGGACAGAAGGACTGTGGGGCCTTCCTCCCAGGCCAGGAGCTGCTCTGACAGATGCTTCCTCTGAACCTGTGTGTGGCCCCCTCACCGGGACACTGCCCATAGCTGTAATGCCAGAACCCGCTCTAACCTCACAGAGGGCACAAGTGTCCATGCCCCCAAAATCCCTGCAAGGTCTCAATGCCCTCAGCTCCTGTGGGAACCCCTCATCCAGGAAGAACACTAACTGCTTTTTAACTAACTTAAATTTAACGTAACTACAATTCAGCTTAGCTACTTTTTAGTATTTCTACTAGGGTGAGAAATGAACCCCCGCAGTTGTGTCGTAAACCCTGGTCCATCAGTCAGACCAGATCTCTCAGGGCTTCGAAGCACAGTGCTCCTCTCCCTCCGACGGTGGTTGCTGGGGAAGGGTGGAGAGGAAGGAGCTTGGCAGCCATGAGCAGGGACCTCCCTCCCTGGACCCAAGGTCCTTCCTGGGTAAAGGAGCGAGCTGGAGAGCTTGCCGGGTGCGAGGCCTGTGCCACACGCAAGCCCGCACTGCAGAGCACAGCAGCTTCCTCCCAGGGAACGGGAGCCAGGCGCCCAGGGCAGCCCCACCTTGCCCAGGAGCTCCGTCTTTCCGTAACCAAACAGTGTCAGCGCGAAGCTGTGGTTGATGCCGTGGATGGTCCCATCCGGCAGGAGGGTGATGAGGCCACTGATGGTGCAGAACACCCAGACAGATGCCCGGTAGCCGCTCACAGGGGCCGCCTCACCGGTGGTCGCCTCCTCGCTGCTGGGTTGGGATTTCAGCTTTAAGCTCAGAGGGAAGGTGGTACCGTCCCTGGCTCTTCCAACAGACCTCTGAATCTTGAGATTCTGAAAGAAAGGCTTGTCGTTTGGCTTAAGCCGTGTTTCACGTGGACAGAGCACTGAGTCTGTGCTGCGTCCGACCCGACTTCTACCCCACGTCATCGGGGAAGGTCCCCAGGACATCTCACACCCACACTGCTCTGCCTTCCCTCTCCTCCCAGGCCCAGCTGGCCCAGGAAAGAGCCCTTCTGTGGGTGGGGAGGACTCAGTGTCCAGAGCCGCCCCAGGCACAGCAACCCCAGGGCAAGTGAGACACCCCAGTGAGGGGCCGGGCACCAGCAGGGAGGGAGGGAGGGAGGACTGTGGGGCTCAGGCTCGGGGCTCAGCCACGCCACTGGCAACTGTGCCATCCTTGATCTGGCACCAGGATACTGGCCCCACAGGCAGCACTACACCAGCTGCGCAGCTGTGGATGTTACCTCCCACCCCTCAGCCTTGGGCAGCGTCCCAGCATCCACCTCTGTGGGTGGCCCAGCTCCTGGGAGAAGACTCAGGGGACAAGAGTGGTCAGCTGGGAGACCACATAGGCTCCGGCCCTTGGTCAAGGCCTCAGCGCACAGGAAGCTCAAAACTGAGCATGTCCCACCCCTAAGGCCACCCTTGCCTTCAGAAACCCTTGGTCTGCGTCTCCAGTTATGGATTCAGAGCTAAGAACTCCACCCCATCACACAGTGCGGGAGGTCAGGAGCCCTACCTTTGGGATGTGCTGGCCAGAAGGAGGGAGCTGCACAGAAGGGATCAGGTCTGTGATATGCTGCCCAGCCACGTCCTCCCCAGACACGTACCCGTGAAGATGAGCAAAGAGACTGTCACATGACGTGACGGTGCCCTGGAGGAAAAGCCCCGTGCTTATCATAAAAGCTTCTTGTGCTCCAGCTGTAAATTTAACTAAGCTTCAATATGTTCAAGCCAAAAGCAAGACCCCAACATGACTTCTCCATCGGAAGGGCAAGAGACATATACACATGAATTTGATAAGAGCTTCATCATCTGTCTCCTTCTACCAGAGACGTACCTAAATTGTGGGCCTTCTTGTTCTTCAGGAGCCTGGCCCACACCACAGCTCATTAATAACATCCCAGTTCACATATGAGGGCTGTCTCTAATGCCAGCTACTATCCTGGGGGGTTTACATATATTATCTCATTTAAATGTTGAAACAATCTTATGAGGAGTTATGATTATGCCCCAGTTCACAGGTGAGGAACTGAAGTATAGGAAGTTCGTTCCCTGCCCAAGCACACGCAATCAGCGAGGGTACCACTGGGCAGACCCTCCAGGCTCCTCATCCTCTCTTTCTTCCCAAAGGAATGAGACAGGGACCAGCACTTGCTGAAGAGGAGAACGACGCCGGCTCCAGCGTCCATGAGACATGAGGCAAAGTTGCACACTCACATCGCTCTGGAAAGCGACCCAGGTCGAGACCCTCTCCACGGGCTCCAGGACCACCACGCAGCATAGGCGGCGCTCCTGCCGCATCCTCTTCATCCACACAGACACTGGAATCTTCTCCCCACTACGGCTGATGATGTCCACCTGTGGAAACAGACAGGTTCACACCTGCATGCCATGAACCCAAAAGACCAGTATGGGTGGGGCACCTGCCTCCAGGAGGCCCAAACTCCAGGCACTGCAACGTTTTCAACTTCTGCTTACCTGATTTTCATTTCAGAAATTTACCAAAGCACAAACAAGATTTCCCATACTGAACATTAAAATCTCCAAGTGCAAGTTTTATCAAGAGAGTAGATTTCATTCTCAGTTCATGGTAATATTGCAGGGTGAAAAAAGCAGTATCTGTTATTTCTTAAAGAAACAGACACCAACACATGGTGAATATCTTAGTTTTTTTCTTCTTAGTAGTCAGTTTCTTGAACCAGTGATTTTCTGATACAATTGGTCCTAAGCCTGTGACATCAGTTCAGTTCAAGCAATGGGGTCTTCTGTGTGAAAGCCACACACTAGGTGGGAAACAGGCAACCTGGAGGATCTGGATGACTACTAGAGCCTCAGATCATACCCCAACCTCCACTGCCCTCCAACGCTACTCCCCCAGTCCCCGACCGGCTGACGAGGGGAAACCCTACAATCAGCCATGCCTTGGGCTTTTTCCATGCCTTGGGCTCAGTCCTCCACATCCAACTCAGCTCACCTGTCAACATCCAGGTTGGACACATGGCACAGGTGAGAGAATCAACACTGTCTAGGGAAATGCTTCCAGGCCAACACCCCCGCCCGCTCCCACAAACACCAAACAGAATGTAAAAATCAATAGACAATAAAACCATATTACTCTTGAGCATCTGATGTGCTGCCCGGCAGGACTGCAAAACATTAGTGAAGCTACAGCCCTCAGACAAAGCAAGGGCCACCCACGACACCTCCCAGGAGTCCAGCCACAGCCACAGTGTCCATTCCTGCGATGATTCGTTCTTAAAGGGCCCCCACCCCCACTGCAGCTGAAGCGGGGAAACGGCGCCTGGGATGACATTTTCAGCTGAAGAAGCTGAGATGTCCTGGTGCCACCCAACCCCCAGCAGAGCTCCTGGTAGGGAACACTGAGCTGTTCCTGCCACACACTGCTGGTCTTGAGGCCAGACTGAACGCTGCACCCGCATCCACTCACCACCGTGCCAAACACCACCGCAGCGTGGCCGTCGGCCTCCATGTGCTCCTCGCTGAGGGCCTCCACCACATCAGAATCTGACCTCAGAAAGAACTGCGTGAGCTTCTGGCCAATCAGGTCCTGGCTGCTGTACCCCAGGAGCCCGCAAGCTTTGTCGTTAGCAACCAGGATCTGAGGAATCACAAAGAGGAGCAAGGATGCAGACATCCCCAGCAGCTCCACCAGCTGCCCAGAACAGCCCAGGACGACCATGCAGAAGCCAGCCTTTTCCTGACAGACAGGGTCTCACTCTGTTGCCCAGGCTGGAGTGCAGTGGCGCAATCAGAGCTCACTGCAGCGGCGCAATCAGAGCTCACTGCAACCTTGAACTCCTGGGTTCAAGTGATCCTCCTGCCTCAGCCTCCCTGGTAGCTGGGACTACAGGTGTGTGCCACCGCACCTGGCTAATTTCTTTGTAGAGATGGGATCTTGCTATGTTGCCCAGGCTGGTCTTGAACTCCTGGGCTCAAGCAAACTTCCCACCTCCCGAAGTGCCCAAATGTTTTTCTAATTGCATTAAAACACACAAATCCCAGGTTTAAGGCACAAACCACAAATCCACATCTACACAGCTGGATCTAAAAGAGAAGCAAATACCTCTGTGGTCTTGGCATCCACCGTGAAGATGGCCTTGTTAGGGTTGCACACAGGGGCCGGAAGCAGAGGTGAGGACCACCCTGAGGACAGTCCCCGCAGCAGGGAGCAGCAGGACACACTGCCCCGCGGTTCGGACGGGTCCGTGTGCTCAGGGGCAGCAGGGCAGTGCAGTTTACTTGTACAAATATTCTGGGCAGCCAGTGATGATAGACAATAGGAGCTCCATCTGTCTTCTGAAAAGAGAAGCGAAGCGAAGCTTTAGACTTCACACAGCTGCCAGAGTCCACCTTCTGAAACAGGCAAAGCACACAGCCCTTGCCCTCAACTCCTGCAAAAAGATCTAAGGATTAAGTCAGTCTGCACAGCTAACACACACTCTCACTGCGTGTCTGAACATGGTCCCCAGAATCCACTTAGGCAACCACCAGGTCCACTCGGAAGCACAAACAGCATAAGATCAACACTTCTGTGTCTAAATTACACTCAAAGCCAGGCGTGCCTATAATCCCAGTTCTTTGGAAGGCTGAGGCAGGAAGGTTGCTTGAGTTCAGGAGTTCAAGACCAGCCTGGACAACACAGCGAGACCCTGTCCCTACTAAAAATAAAATTTGTAAAAATCAGTTGGGCATAGTGGCGTGCCCTTGCAGCCCCATCTACTCAGGAGGCTAAGGCAGGAGGATTGCCTGAGCCCAGGAGTTTGAGACTGCAGCGAGCTATGACTGCGCCACTGCACTCCAGCCTGAGCAACAGTCAGACCTTGTCCCAAAAAACAAAAAAGCTTAATTACACTCAAAGGTTCCTTCCTTCCCACCTTCTGTCCTCTGTCAGTCATTCCAAGACCCCATGGCCACTCCGGTGGCTGCCCCGTCACCTCCTCCTTGGAAGCGTTCCTACGATTCAAGAGCTCCTTGTGCAGCGTTCTCTCAGCAACGCCTCCAATGGCTCCCAAAACCCTCAGCCCCGTCATTCCTCAGGCCTCACCCTCCTCCCACACCACCCTCCTCGGGCACCTGGGCTCCCCCACCTCCCACCTCTCAGTGACCCTGGCTCCATCTCACCCATTCCTCGGTAGCTTTAAATACATCTAATTAGAAATGCACTGAAGACTCTCACACTCGCACCTCCAGCCTGGACCTCCCACGGCCCACTCGCCTGCTTCCCCATCTCTGGAGACACCAGATACATTCTTCCAGTGCTCAAAACCAAGCACTCAAGACCTGACCCTTCCATTTCTCTCCCATCCCCTCCCCTCCATGTCCTCCAGCCAGGACCCCTGACTTTCTCAGTGAGTGGCCTGACCCCGACCATTCTCTGAGGCTGGAAACCACGTGGCCATCCAGCCACTCTCGCCCCTGCTCTTCCCCAGACAGCAGTCACCAAGCGCAGCTCCTTCTCATGTCTCAAGGCCCTGTACCTCCGGCTCCCACCCCTGCTCCTCATGCAGCCACCAGAATGATGCTCCAAAAAAGGAACACACCTGTCAACACTCACTGAGAACATTCCTGATCAGCGCCTGGGTGAAGCCCACTCCCAAGGGCGCTGTGTGCCTCCCAGCCCACCCCTCCCTGCAGTATCCTGGGCACTCTCCACAGGGCCCTCCGCTCTACACCCTCAGACACTCCAGTGCACAAGCTCAGCTCCAACACCCTCCTACTCCAGTGTCGAAGTGCTCCTTGACCTGGAGACCAGACTCCCAGCCACCATTTCCCGCAGCTCTATGCCCCACTTCCCCATTTTCCAGGTCTACCCCAACTTCAAGCACACAGCCTGCTGTCTCCCCAAGTGCCTCCATCAGACAGCCCCTGAAAGGCAAGTGACGCTTCCTTCCTCACCATGGCCCAGTCCTTTGGGGTGCCTGGACAAAGGAGGCACCAACGGAATCTGGACATAGGAGGCACCAACAGACTTCTGCCCCATGATTCTTGGTCCACCAGCTAAACCGCGTTTAGCTCAGTAAACTGCACGAGCAAAGCTGCAATTCCCTAAGTAAAATAGCCTAACCTAGAACAGCGTTCTCACATACTCTAAAGTAAGAAATAACATTTTGTTGTAACTTGACCCTGAAATGTGAAGGTGAGTTCCACCTGCTGCCTGAAAAGAAGCGCCAGCTGCCTGGGAATCACAGCAGAGTAAAAGCAGCAGGAAGGGTCCTGCCGGAGTCATCTGCCAGCATGAGCCGAGCACTTAAACCACGAACTTTTCTCTGCAGGAATAGAGTGACTTCAATCCCTGGTGAGAGGGTTTCCATGAGAACACAGAGCAACTCCACATTTGTATTTCCACGCGCTAAGGCCTGCAGTGGTCGAAGGTCATTACCAGAGAGCGCTGTCCTGCTCTGGCAGAGTCTGGAAAGCCCATTCCTTCTGCTCAGGTGTCTGTGGGCTGAGGAAAACGACCTGCTGGGCTCAGCAGTGGTCTGTGCAGCTGGGCCCTCTGCTGACACTGGCAAGGGGAGGCTCTGGGAAAGGCATCTCTGGTCCTCTTCAAAGGCTGTTAAGCCCCCGTCCTCCATGGGAAGAAGGGAGGCCAACTGCCAAGCTTCCAACTCTAACAACTAGAAAACAACATGAAGCTGATTAACATCTGCAATGCAAAAACACAAAGACAGTTTAACCAACTAATTTATAATGCTGAGTTCAGCTCGGCCCCAAAAGACATACACCACCAACCGCCATCCTGGGTCAGAACCCGCAATGGGAGAATGGTCCACCCAAAGTGGTGCTAAAAGAAGCTCTTTCCGGGCCAGGCACGGTGGCGCACGCCTGTCATCCCAGCACTTTGGGAGGCTGAGGAGGGCGGATCACGAGGTCAGGAGATCGAGGAGATCGAGACCATCCTGACTAACACTGTGAAACTCCGTCTCCACTAAAAATACAAAAAATTAGCCGGGCATGGTGGCGGGTGCCTGTAGTCCCAGCTACTCGGGAGGCTGAGGCAGAAGAATGGTGTGAACCCGGGAGGCAGAGCTTGCAGTGAGCCGAGATCACACCACTGCACTCCAGCCTGGGCGATAGAGAGAGACTCCATGTCAAAAAAAAAGAAAAAAAAAAAGAAGCTCTTTCCAAGAAAAATACATAGGAAGATATGGGAAAGAGGGAAGGAGAGAGAGAGGAAAACAAAGAACAGGGTGGGAAGGAGCCATGAGGGAAGGCAGGGACTGCAGGTACACACCAACTGAAAATACTCCCAGGTCATGATGAACCCATCAGCACGTGGGGGCTGCACAGCTCCCATGGTCTCAGCTTTCCCCTAAACAGTGAGTCCTGACCATCCGACCAGCTGTGCACAGAATCACCTGGGTGCTGCCAACAAGTGAGGTCGCGGGGGCCATGGCCAAGAGGCCATGTCTCCTAGAGACAGGCCTGGCACCAGAGATTTGTATTTTTAGCTTTTCTCTTATACATGATTCAAATGCTGATACAGGGTGGAAATACAGGAAAATCTCACATACTCTTCCGAGTTCCCTCTCATGGTGACATCTTACAGGAGAGTGTCACAGCCAGGAAACTGACTTGATACCATCCATCAGCCTCGTCCAGATTTCAAGGCATTTACCTGCAGGTGTGTGTGTGTGTGGGTGTGCGTGTGTGTCCGTGCGTGTGTGTGCGTGTGCACATGTGTACATGAGCGTGTGTGTGTGCGCGCATGTGAGCACGTGTTCCATGCAGTCTTGTCACATGTATACATTCATGTGACCACCCTGCAGAGTGGAGATACTTAAGAGTTCCATCCTGCATATTGGCAAGCACTTGAAACACAAGTACACATTTACCAATACCCTGTCCTCATGGCCAAACTCAACAAAAAGAGCCCTTAAAGCAAGAAGATTTCCTCTACTGGCAGGAAGCCCCCACCTGGTCATCCAGGCTTTAGATAAACAGCAAGAGGAGGCTGTGGCCAATACCAGAACCATGGCTGGAGTTTCCCCCACGAAATGAGGAGACCCTGGGGCCAAGGCAAGCCCAACCACACCCCATATACCCTCTTCTGGACCACCTTCTGGGTATCCAGAACCCCAGAGTTCCCAGCCAAAGGGTCTGGTGCCCACTTCTAAGACACACACAGGCCTCTTTCCACCCAGGTCCTCCCACACTGGCACACCTATAGCCGTGAACTGGCTGAGGAGCAGCCTTCCAGGAATAGCGAGCTTGGACAAGCTAGCAGGATGCCCACACGAGGCCCTTCCAAGACAAGGCAGGCCTGGGGTGAAGAGGAAAGGGGAGGTGGCCCTCCCAACACCACCTCTTCCAATATGGAACTCCAAGGAGTCCCCCCTCCTTGCCTTATCCTAGCATCTGGTGGCTACTGGCCATACTGGCCATCTTTGGTGTTCTTGACCTGCAGCTGCGTCACTCCAGTCTCCGCCTTCGCCATCACAGAGCTTCTCCCTGTTTGTTTGTTTCTTTTTTTTGAGACAGAGTCTCGCTGTGTCGCCCAGGGTGGAGTGCAGTGGCGCGACTTCGGCTCACTGCAACCTCCGCCTCCCGGGTTCACGCCATTCTCCTGCCTCAGCCTCCCGAGTAGCTGGGACTACAGGCAGCCGCCACCACGCCTGGCTAATTTTTGGTATTTTTAGTAGAGTCAGGGTTTCACCGTGTTAGCCAAGATGGTCTCGATCTCCTGACCTCGTGATCCACCTGCTGCGGCCTCCCAAACTGCTGGGATTACAGGCGTGAGCCACCGCGCCCGGCCGACTTCTCCCTGTTTGTATGTATCTTCACATGGCCATCTTTTTTTTTAACTAGGAGATGAGGTCTCACTATGGTGCCCAGGGCATAAAAGATCTGATCTGTGGAAGTCAAAACACTAAACTTTTTAGCCAGGCAGGTCTCGTGGCCTGCACCTATAGTCCGAGCCACTCTAGAAGCTAAGGCAGGATAATTGCTTGAGCCCAGGGAGATGGAGGCCAGCCTAGGCAACAAAGCGAGACCTGTCAAACCAAATAAAATATAAAATAAAATCACTAAGTTTTTAGGAGAAAAGAGGCTATCTGTAAGACTTTGGGGTAGGGAAAGTTTTCTTAAACAAGGCACAAAAAACTCTAGCTATAAAATAAGATTAATAAGTTTAACGTTAAAATTGAGAACACATCACACCTGTAATCCCAGCACTTTGGGAGGCCGAGGCAAGCAGATCACGAGGTCAAGAGATCAAGACCATCCTGACCAATGTGGTGAAACCCCATCTCTACTAAAAAAAAAAAAATTAGCTGAGCATGGTGGCACACACCTGTATTCCCAGCTACTCTGGAGGCAGAGGCAGGAGAATCGCTTGAACCTGGGAGGTGGAGGTTGTAATGAGCCGAGATGACACCACTGCCCTCCAGCCTGGCGACACAACCTGGCAGGTGGAGGTTGCAATGAGCTGAGATCACGCCACTGCACTCCAGCCTGGCGACACAGCGAGACTCCGTCCCCCCCAAAAAAAAGAAAAAAAAAAATGAGAACACAGCTTCACAAAGAATACCATAAAGAAAACGAAAGAACAAGCCACAATTTGGGAGAAGATATTTGCCACATACATAACCAACAGAAAATTAATATCCAGAATAGCTTTAAAAGATCAACTATTTAAAATTTAAACATTTTTAAAAGACACATGGCCCAATAAAAAATGTCAAGAAATAGGAACAAGCGTTTTACAGGAGAGGAAATCCTAATCATGATGATGTTATACCTACTAAGTCAGCAGAAATGAAGAATCTAGTAATACCCAATGTCAAAAAGGATTTGGATCAACAGGAACTCTTAATACATTAATATAATCTCTTTAGAAAACAATTCAAGTGAAACATTTGTCTATATGGATACAGCACTTTTCACTTAGATTTATATTTCAGAGAAATTTTTGCAAACAGATAAGAAGACACCAGAATGTTCGGGACAATATGGTTCTCAATGGCAAAGAGACAGGCAGAAAAAAGGGAGGGAAGAAAGGGAGGGAGTGCGGGAGAGAGGGAGGAAAAAAGGAAATGAAACCCAAACACTCTTTAACAAGAAGATAGATTTTAAATTCTGGTATATTCATACCACTAATTACAGCAGTGAAAACAAATAAACTACACACAAGGGTGAATCTTAGCCATATACGAGTGGAAAAAATCAAGTTACGGAAGACAATCAGCAGGAGGATTCCTTTGTCATGAAATAATCTAAATAAGTAGTTCAGGGAAACACACCTATGTAATTAAACTACTTCTTAAATAAGAGACTGGTAAACCTAAATTTCAGGCAGGTGGTTCCCTCTGGGTCAGGCAGGTGCAAGAGTGGGGAAGAGGCACAAGGGCACAGGTCCCCTGATTTCCTAGGGTGATGGGTTCAAATGCATCCACTCTGCTGGTACAATTCATGACTAACACTGCCTTTATTCTTTTGTATGAATAAACTGATACGGCCAAAAAATTCAGAGACATTCACACACAAACCCAGCCTAGGACCCTGGAAGGCAAAGGCTCTGCAAACCTGCAGATGTGTAGGAAGCTATTACATATAGGGTTTGGGGTTCGAGTGTGCAGCTTTCCTACAAGCAGCAACAATGAATGGGACCTTTAGTTACAGGTTTACATCTCCTTCTCTAAGCATCCAAATGCACTAATTATTGCCATAATAAATAACAATGACATGATTATAGTGTGAGGCAGTTTTTTCTACTTTTAGAACCAACCTATAGACAAAGCTCAGGACACTTAATTATAGCTTCAGAATACATTGTAAATGTTGTAAAACCTTACTTTCTTAAAAAAGTAATATAACTCTTCAGAATACATTGTTAGAAAACTTTAATTCCTAAAAAATATAACTCTTCAGACTGCAATGTCAATGTTACAAAACTATTTTAAAAAGTCATATACCCAGTACTTTGGGAGGCCAGGCAGATTACTTGAGCCCAGGAGTTCGAGATCAGCCTGGGCAACATAGGGAGACCCCATCTCTACAAAAAAAAAATTAAAAATTAGCAAGGTGTGGTGGCACATGCTGGTAGTCCCAGCTGCTTGGGAGGTTGAGGTGGGAGAATCGCTTCAGCCCAGGAGGCGGAGGCTGCAGTGAGAGGACACAGCACCACTGCACTCCAGCCTGGGCCACAGAGCAAGACCCTGTCTCAAAAAATAAAATAATAAAAAAGTAATATAACTATTCAGAATATATTGTAAATGTTACAGAAGTTTCTTTGTAAAAGTAACTAACATGAAATGGAAAGGGGGAAAAAAAGCAAAGGGAGGGTAAGGGCATGCAATTTTTTGTCCTTCATGGGAGAAAGTAAATAAATACCAACTAAAGTTGTGGAAGTTTAATTAGGTTACTGAGAGTTACAAGCCTATCCAGGAGGGAAACTGATGGGACCCTCTGCGGGAGCGGGGAGGACAGCAGGAAAGATGCATCCTTTTTCCCGCTGTGCCTCCTGGGCATCTGAAGTCCACGTGGGCCAGTTTGTCACTGAACAGCATAGGCCCCTGGAGCCTCCCGTGCACTCCACAGCCACAGCCTGGCCTCAAGAAAGAACAGAGTCTGGCTTCACATGACCTTAGATCACTAAATTTTGACTCAGACGTTAACCAGAAATACCTGCACGTCCAGGCCCAAATTTTTAAAATTGTCCTTTGTATCCACTGTGAGCTGCAGACACGGGAACCCAAACCCAGCAGACAGCACCTAATGGTGCCACCGAGTAACCATATTCCCATTGCTAGTTTTGATTCCAGAAGACACAAGTGACCCCACCTCAGACCAAACAGAAGCAAGGACAACTTTGCAGGGAGCATCTCGGCGAACTTCTAGAAGCAACTGTCCCCCTCCCACCAGAACATAAGCTAAGAAGCAAACAGCTCCCATTGCTGTCAGCACAGCTGTACAACAAAAAGGAGAACCAGTTTCAGGATGAGGCCAACAAGGTGAACAGTGCAGTAGAACACAGCAAGGATGTCAGTCCTGGAGGAGGCACCTGCAGAGCCGGGCCCTACCAAGCAGAGTGAAGAAGTCTTTCAGAGGCAAAGCCTCCCAGAGAGGAGTTCAGTACCCAGAAGAGTAGGTGGACGTGGGCCTGGAAGGGCCAAGCATGAGCCCAGAGCCTCCTATGCCTGCCCAAAGTCTTAATTTTATCCCCAAAATGAACTTTTAAGGATTCAATGCTTAGGAGTAACATGGCCAGATATGCATTTTACAAAGATTACTCCAGGGACCATGTCGGTGCAAGGCTGGAAAGCAGGAGAAAGGCTACAGTAATCCAGGCAAGAAATTATAAAGTCTTAAATTAAGGTAGCAGCAGAAAGATGAAGAGAGGGAACCCCTAAGAGAAAAATGGACATCGAATGGTACTGAGATGCGGAAGGTAAGGACGAGAAAGGCCTCAAGACGGCAGCGCAGGCCCCTGCCGTACTCTGGGAAAGAAAAATTAGTGAAAAAATTAAGGCTCAAGTCCAGGTCTTTGCTGTAACCACGAGCGCCGGCGGCGCGCGCCCCCGACCCCGCGGCGCCGGCTGAGCCCGCAGGGACCCACACGCCCAGTGCAGGAGGCTGGCGGGATCCGGGCTGGTTCTCCTGGAGCTCGCCCCGCAGGGCCGGCTGCGGTGAAGAGAGCGCAGGGTCCCGAGGCGACCCGAGGCGCGGGGCCTCGGCGCCCACCGGGCAGGCTACACTGAAGGGCACCCCGAAGACGCTGGGGGCGCGGGGCCCAGGGCCAACGGCCGCAACCCCGCCGCGATTTGGGCACGGAGAGGACGCGGGCTCGGCGGTGCGCGAAGGGCGACGGGCGCAGGGGCGGGAGACCCGGGGTCGGGCTGGTCTAAGAGTCGGGCGGCGGATCCTCCTGGGCCAGGGGCGCGGAGCCGCGCAGGCCCCACAGCCGCCCTGGGGAGATGGCGGAGCCCGGCCCGCTCTCCCGAGCGCAGGTATCTCACCTGGATCAGGCGAGGGTCACGCCAAGCCGGCTACACACCACGGAAAGGAGCCCTTCCGCGCTTTTATCCCACCGACCAATCGCACAGCGACTAGCACCGATTGACAAGCTCCACGGACCAGCCACTTGCGCGTATGGGCGGGACTAAGCTAGCCAGAGTCTAGAAGCCCGCGCTAAGGGTTGCTAGGGACGCACCAAACACCCCTACGGCGCTTCGGAGGAGCCAAAGGAATAATGGGCGCCTCCGCCCCCGGGCCGGGCAGATGCGGTTTCCTCCCGACTCGCGATCAAAATGGGTGAGTAGCGCAGAGCTCGCCTCTTGGAGGCCTCTTTCTGAAGGCGGAGGACGCGGGGCGGCTCGTTCATGGGCCGGGTGGCTCCGCAGGGTAGACGAAGGCTGCAGCGTCCGCACTGGGCTGGGAACGACTTGCAAGGGGAGCCCAGCTGGCGCCCCGGAGCCAGCCAGCTGGCTAGCGGCCCCACCAGCGCAAGTGCCCCGCACCTGCCCGCCTGCTCCGAGCGTCAAGAGAAGGCGGCATTTCGCATGGGTAAAATCCGCGCGGGGACGCCGGGAGAATGTTGTTGCTCTTGCCGTTCGGCCCATTGTACAGACGCAGCCAGCGAGGCTCGCAGAGGTCAGGGATGCACGTAGGACTGGCCCGCACCTTGCAGCCACGGAAAGATCCGCCTGGCCCGCGGCCCCTCCACGCCTCCGAGGTCGAGACAGTGACATAAGTCAACTCTCAAGCCCAGGGCGTCTCTCCACTCTGCCTAGACGTCCACTCCGTCTGCCTGCAGCTACGGCTCTGTGCGTCCCGCTTCGACTCCCTCTGCTTTCCTTCCCAGCTTCTCGCCTCCAGACTGTTCCGGCTCCGCCGCCTGAAATTACCTGCTCTGGGGGAGGCGCGGCGCGCGGCCTCATGACGGAACTACAACTCCCATGAGGCGCTGGGCCCACGCAGGCGCGGCGCGGCTGAAGTCGCCGCGCCGGAATCCCATTGGCAGGGCCGGCTCTGAGGCGGGAGCCCTGATTGGCTGAGGGGTCTGAGGCGACAGATTCCGGAAAGGGGAAGAGCAGCCAACATGGCGGCGGAACGCGGCGCGGGGCAGCAACAGTCGCAGGAGATGATGGAGGGTGAGCGGCCCCTGCGGGCGGCGGCCCAAGGGCCCAGCGGGCGGGGGGAGCTGCGGGCTGGAACTGCTCCGTGCCTGAGAGAAACTCCACGTCCTGCCTCTGGCCGCCGCCGCGCGGCCCCCTGACAGCTGACAGCCGGACCCGGGGGAGCGGGGGAGGCGCTGGACCTCGGGGGAGCCCCGGCCCGGGGGCGGCAGCGGCCGGGAAGGACCCAGAGCTAGGGGGAGAGCGGCGGCGCGAGGCCAGGCCGGGGGTGGGGCTGAATGGGACGCGGTGGCTCCATTCAGTCCAGTTGGAGCCTCGCCCCGAGCCTCTGAGATTGACGGGCGGGGGAGCCTCCTCGGTCAGCTGACGAGGAAACTGAGGCGCTGGGATCTACCAGAGTCTGCTCCTTGGTTCACGTGGTGAGGGTGGAGAAGGGTCTTCTCTTGAAATCGAATGGACTGTTGGGAAGGGGTAACAAGGAACCGGAAGATTGAGTTACACAAGGTGATACCTGTTTTCAAAGCTGTCATAGTTCCAAAAAGTCTGAATTCAACTTTCTTCCTCCTCATTCACTTTGTTGGAAAAAAAAACCACATGCATATATGTATATGTTATACGTACACATGTGTTTATAATTTTCTGCATATCTGTAGGTACAGTCATATACGTGCACGTACAGTATGTGTGTAAAAATGCGTGCACACACCCACTTAGCAACTGGGGAATCAGTTGTGTCATCAGCTTAAGTACTTTTGGGTCCCATGGTTTGGTGAGGGGTACAGACCTCCCAGAAGAGCAGTCACTGCCTTATGTGAAAGGGGTAGGGAAGAGGAATGTGGAGCTGGGGAAGGAGGGCGGGTGCAGCAGGAAGGCCTGACATGTTAGGGAGTGGTGACAGCTGCAGAAGCAGGGCGAGCTCTGAGCTGGAGCCTGAAGAATAACTCGAAGGCAACGAGGTTGGGGATAGGGTGAGGGAAAAGAGCAAGAATCACTCAAGACGGAGAAAACTGCTGTCAAAAGGTGTGGAGGAGAGTTTGACCAAATCGTATGTGGTGGGGATGGGGGCGGTAGTGTTAAGGGTCTTGGACTTCATACCCTTTGAGTCTTTTTAAGAAGCGCCTCTTCATATCCTCCCACTCCCTCTTCAGCTGTTTCCATGTCTTGGTAAATGACAGATATAAAAGCCCGGCTTTTCTCACTGTCCCACTCCCACCCATGTCCTGTTAGTCAAGGAGCTCTGACTTTTACTTTTGAAAGTATCTCCAAATCTCCGATACGTCCTCCATTCCCATTGCCAGTACCTTAACTCAGACCTTCATCATCTCTAGGCTAGATTGATTGTCCCTGTTCACCAGCCCATCATCCCCAGTACACCAAAGTCATTTTCTTACATGCAGAGCCACTGTCCCATGTTCCAGACCCTCTCTGCTGCCCTCAGGCTTCACTTTGGCCAACCTTCGTTAGCTAAGCCTTTGCTAACCTCACACCACTCCTCCTCTTACTGGGGTTTTTGTGCCAGATTGTCATGCAGTAGAACTTTCTCTCCCTGAGCCTGGACCACCAAGTGACCTGTGCCTGGTGGTGACTAATTTGTTATATATCTACTGCATGTCATGCACGTGCTAACTGCTCTTGTGCCTTTTCTAATTTAACCGTGACAGCAACTTGCTGAGGCATAGGTGCTATACTAGCTCCCTTCCACAGACTAGGAGATTGAGGCTTTCAAATGGAAACGATTTGCCAAAGCTGCATCTCTAGCAGCAAGATGCAAACTCAGGAAGAGCATTCCAGAAATACTTTTGGACTCAAAAGATCAGATTTGGATTTTAGAATTAGATCAGACTCTCTGGCAGGGGAGAATAGGTTAAGCAGGGCAAGACAAGTCACAGAGACGAGTTAGGAGGCAGGGCAGGAGCCCAGGCTGCAGCTAATAAGTAAGTGAGCCACCGTCATTGCGGGGGTAGGGAAGAAGAGATGGATTTGGAGGTTTTGGAGGTGGGTTTTATAAGGACTTGTTTTCTACAGCAATCCTTTCTTGGGTTTTACTTTGCTAGGCTAAGCGGGAAGTACAAAGATGAAGTTGAACTTTTTCCCTCAAAGAGCACATCTCTTTGTAGATAAACCATAGTCAGGAAAGAGTATTTTCAGTATGGTTGATAATTCCAAGTAATGTGTTAGTGCCTCATGTTTTCCAGACAGACTTCCAAAAGAGGTCATGAGTAAAGTTATAAAAAAGAAAAATGATTTGACAACCTTACCAAAGAATTTTTACCTGACACATTGAATTGCCTTATTCTTTAATTCAAAAAATATTTATGAACCTTTAAAAGCCTTAAGTTGCTAACACTCTGTCCAGTGTCCAGTGTGAAAGCTCATTTCACACCAATGAGCTTTCTGTGGGCGGTCAGCACTATTGGCTGTATTCTCCTTTTCCTTAGTGATCCTCCCTGCCCACAGTCTGATTTGAGTTAGTCTTGATTTCTTTCAGAACGTGGGCCTGTGAACTTGGCTGGTTTTCTTAGCCAGATAAATAGTGGAGCATGGATGGAGGTATGTGGCAGAAGGGTCACAGTGGTGATCCCCCAGCCCAAAAGTGAAAGGCACTCAGGAGGTGCTTCACTACCGGGTTCCATTAGTGGATTTAATCACAGGTGATCCAAGGCTTTCAGAACACTGGGCAATTCTTCACAAGCTCCTTGAGGGCAGAAGTAGTGTGTTCCTCACCTAAGTATCCATGTGGGCTCCACACTCTGCTCCCCATTCTCCCCGCGGCCATATGCCTCAAATGGTGCTGGGACATGGGAGACACTCAGATGTTCGTTGAACTGGATTCAACAAACATGTTTAAATGAAATCCTTTTGACTTACAACCGGGTGTTTATTATATGTTCCTCAAAGTCCCATAAAGTGGATGTGAATTCTCATTGACATGTGTGGGTTCAGTTGACAGGCGGGTCGAGTCTGAAGAATCCGGCGATGAAGAAGGGAAGAAACACAGCAGTGGCATCGTGGCCGACCTCAGTGAACAGAGCCTGAAGGATGGGGAGGAGCGGGGGGAGGAGGACCCAGAAGGTACCAGGCCCAGCTCCCTTGGGGACATCTGCTGGTTGGGGGATGTGGGCTGTGCTGCACGTGGTCTGGCCCTGGGTGTGGGTGCTGTGTCGGTCTGGAGAAGGACTGCCGTGCTCCTTAGGGGTCCTCAGTGGCCCAGGGCAGGTGGATATGCTCTTTGAGGTGCTCCTTCAGCAGGCTGACTCATTGATGGCGTTTGCAAAAAGGATGTGGTTTTTTCCAATTCCACTGAAGGCAAATCCTAGCACAAATATGGGTACTAGTATGCCGTCTGAGACAGAACCATGACATTGTTGGCCAGATGCAGTGGCTCATGCCTGTAATCCCAGCACTTTGGAAGGCCAAGGCGGGTGGATCACGAGGTCAGGAGATCAAGCCCATCCTGGCCAACATGGTGAAACCCTGTCTCTACAAAAAATACAAAAATTAGCTGGGCGTGGCAGCGTGTGCCTGTAATCCCAGTTACTCAGGAGGCTGAGGCAGGAGAACCGCTTGAACCCAGGAGGTGGAGGTTGCAGTGAGCCGAGAACACACCACTGCACTCCAGCCTAGGTGACAGAGGGATACTCCTTCTCAAAAAAAAAAAAAAAAAAAAAAAAAGGAAAAAGAAAAGAACCGCAATATTGTTATATTAACCATATGTTTAGGAAATGAGATTCGAAATAAATGTTATGGCTGACTGCTGTGTTTCTATGTCCTACCATAGCAATAGAAACCTTTAATCTCTGAGAGAAATTATTTCTGAGTCTTGCCTTACCATTTTTATAGGCCTGAGGATTGACTTCTAAAGTGCCTAGATGTGGCCGGGCGTAATGGCTTACGCCTGTAATCCTAGCACTTTGGAAGGCCAAGGCGGGTGGATCACTTGAGGTCAGGAGTTCGAGACCAGCCTGGCCAACATGGTGAAACCCTGTCTCTACTAAAAATACAAAAAAAAGAAAAAAAGAAAAATTAGCCAGGCATGGTGGTGTGCACCTGTAGTCCCAGCTACTCAGGAGGCTGAGGCAGGAGAATCGCTTGAACCAGGGAGGCAGAGGTTGCAGTAAGCTGAGATCACACCACTGCACTCCAGCCGGGGTCAGAATGAGACTCCATCTCAAAACAAAAAAGTTTCTGAACAGTATGCATGCATGTATGTACTTTTACCTGCTAAAGAAAGAAAACACATCAAACGGGCTGAGTCTGTCCAAACAGCAGGTTTAAGAAGGATCTATACATTTTGTGTTTTCTAGATTTGTATACAGTGTATGAATAATCATGCATCCCTTATGAAAATAAATTTATGAAGAAACAAACCTAATTTTTAAAATAACATTGTGCTCTCTGTGCCAGCAAAGATGATTGGTAACTATGGCAACCTACTTTTAAGTCACAAGGAGATTACCACAAAAGTACCAGTCACATTCACTTTGGAACTTTGAGGCTGATGTTCTGGAAGTGATGTGGGTGGAATAAAGTGCATGGGAGTGATAGATGGAAGCTTCCGTCATCGCCTGACTTAGTCACCAACAGTGGAGCGGTAGGAGCCCCCGCTATCCTCAGATGGGTGCTGCTGAGACATTGGGTGTTTATGGAGGACTTGAGAGTTGGCAGAGCAAGCCTTGTGTGCTTTCTTTCCCTGGCTCACTAGCACAGGCTAATCATGTTGTCATCATGTTCTGTAAGTACACCAGTGTGGTAATGTGTTATAGATGAGGAAAATGAGACTCTCTGCAGCTTGTCCAAGGGCACACGGCTACAAGGCAGACCAGCTGGCCTGGCCTGGAAAAATCCAAGTTTTTTCTTCGAGATGATTAGCTGATTATGAATTTTCTGGGAATATGCATTTCTAGCCCTTAGAGGAGCCAAGACTTGCTCCTACCTGTATTTATTTAAGTCTTAAATTCAATTAAAACAAATTTAATCATGTCAACTGTTACCTTCTACCTATTTTCCTTAAATTATTTTTAAAATATGATGAATATATAATACACTCAGAAGGGCATTCTAGGCTGGAAACCTTGTTTCAGAGGTTAGCTGACATTTTGAGTGGTGAGCGGCCAGCCCTGCTGGCTGTATTACAAACAAGACCCCTTAAAGCCATGCGACCGTGTGTCCTGAGGAGCCTGGCACAGCCCGTTTCTGCCTGCTGGCCCAGCATAACTGTGCCCTTCTGCTCTCAAAGGGTCCTGGTTTGGACTACATGACCTGGGCGCCCTGCCTTAATTGTAGCACCTCTTCCAGTGCAACTTCCTGAGTTTATGAACGGTGACTTGACACTGTCTTTTGAGGTGATTTGTTATCTATCTCTTGGTTTTGCCCAGTTCCTTTTATTTAATTCTTAGGTTGGTATCCTTTACAGTTGTGGATAAACTATAGTAAACTTTTTTTTTTAACTAACCACAGTTGATGGTTATAGAAAAGGCATAGTGGAAAACAATGAAGTGAATGCAACCATGTGGGATCATGACTTTGTTAAGCTGGTCTGATGTCAGGTGCTCCTCTCAGAGGCCTCCAGGTGAGAGGAGGAGCCAGGCTGGAGGAGCCAGCCCTTGGCATGGGGTCCAGGGCTGTGTGAGCTCACTCCCCTGCAGAAGCAAGTGCACGTTTGCTCTAGGAAGAGCCACAGTAACAGCACTGACAGCCCTGTAAGGTAGTGACAATGACAATCTGTTTACAGGAGAAAGAACATCCTATGCATATAATTCACAGACTCCAGACTGGGAGAAGCACTACAAGACAAACAGCTTGTTTTCCTACAACAGAAAACTGCAAGGGGAAAAAAGAAATTTAAGAAAAATGCTGGGCTGGGTGCAGTGGCTCGTGCCTATAATCCTGGCACTTTGGGAGGCCAAGGTGGGAGGATCACTTGAGGCTAGGAGTTCCAGACCAGCCTGGGCAACATAGCGAGACCCTGATTGTACAAAACATGGTTTTAAAAAATTAGCCAGGCATGGTAGCACACACCCGTAGTCTCAGCTTCCTGGGAGCCTAAGACAAGGATTGCTTGAGCCCACAAGTTCAAGGCTGCAGTGAGCTATGATCACACCACTATACTCCAGCCTGAACAGCAGAGTGAGACCCTGTCTCTTAAAAAAAAATTAATTTAAAAAAGTTTTTTAAAAGAGAAATACCATCTAGTCACAATATACAGCCTTATTTGGATCATAATGCAAGTAAACTAAGGAAAGAAATGTTAAGACAGTTGAGGAAATACGAACACTGACAATCTTTGGTGATATTGAGGAATTACTGTTAATTTTTTTAAGTGTTTTGAGGGGTGAGTGTGCGTGTTTGTGTGTCTGCATGAGTCTGTGTATACCACTGTTGTGCATGCGTGTGTCTGTGTAGTGTGCATACGTGCCTGTGTGTCTTTGTGCATGCGTGTGTGTGTGCATCTGTGTGTGTCTTAGTCCTTTTCAGCACACATGCTGAAGTAGGTTCCAATGAAATGAAATGAGGAAGTGCTTAACAGGGAAGCTGTCGCCTCAGCAGGGAGAGCAGCTCTCTCCCTCCTCCGCACAGAGGATGCCGGCTCCGGGGTAGAGAGTCCTCGTGAAATCCAATGGGCTTCTCTGCTGGAGTGAGTTCACCAGTCTCCCCACTGAGAAGTGTGTTTAAATTATTCAGTGAGCTTCTTTGATCCTATCTGTTGAACTATGTTTTGTTTTGTTTTGCTCTTTGCAGAGGGAAGTGTTTGTAGATGCTGGGCCACCTTCCAAAGCAATAAAAGGCCCATCCTAGAGCATCTGATGTGCCCAGCATGGTCTAGATTCTAATGGCCTGGTTTATTGCCACAAACAAAAAGAGAAAAGCTACATGGGAGGCAGGCTGCTGCCAGTTCTGCAGCTCTGGGAGTCACGGAAAGGCAGTAGTGCTACCCTGCTCACCTGCACTCAGCTACTTCCTCCCCTCCTTCCCACTAACAGGTTCAAAACACATTTCCTTTCTCAGGAAGTTCAAAGGCACAGATGGATGTTTGGTGACCTTTGCCAATATCTGAATTCAGGAAATTCAGAATGCTTAAAACATCACTATTGTTGGAGCAGGGTCTAACCCTGCCACATTCTCCAGGTCCTCAGCAAACCTTCCCATTGGTTCCTCCTCGGGGTTTGAGCTGGCTCTGGGCACCAAACAGCCCCAGACCTCAGCCAGAAGCAGCTCTTCACCAGTGCCTCCTGTTAATGGGGTTCTGAACAAATCTCTTTTTCTTATTTTTTCAGAAGAACATGAGCTGCCTGTGGACATGGAAACCATCAACCTGGACAGAGATGCAGAGGTAATGCCGCCTGCTCAGCCCAGCCTTGGGCGTGGTGATGGACCACCCTGTCAGGTTATCTTGTATGAGATTAGTAAGTTATTTCCCTAGAGAGGTGGCCTAAGCCTCCCTTGGTTGAGTCAGAGTCCCGTGTTCATGTTTTTCTTACCAGTGATTGTTATCCCCATGTCTATTCGACCCTTGAGGATTGTGTGGCAGATGAGATGCCTTTGACTCATACATTGTCTGGGTCTGATGATTACATTATACATGAGGGTCCCAATGGCCCCAGGCTGTGTATGACTGGCCACTGGGCCTCCTGAGCCCACAGCGTGTCTCTGATGGTGATGGGATGGGGTGCATATCCTCAGAACCTGAGCTTATGTTTTGTGCATACAGGATCTAAGGAATGAGAAAAAGATGTCATGTACCAATCATTTTAAGGGCCAGTTTTACATAAAACTTAGTCATCACTAAGCCAAAGAGCCCCCGCAGCACACCTTGTCACTGACATCTGTCTGCTGCAGACCCACCTGGCACTGCCTCCCCCACTGCTGCCCACTTCCAGGCCGCCTCTTCTAGGACGACACAGGTCTCCAGCCACTTTGCTATAGCTGAGTATAGATTTCTGCTTTGTTTCAGGATGTTGATTTGAATCACTATCGCATAGGGAAGATTGAAGGATTTGAGGTACTGAAGAAAGTGAAGGTGAGAGGGACTCTTATGAGGGGACTATGACGCTCACCCATAGGATGTGGATAAGTCCAGAATCGAGCAGTCAGTCCTGAGTTGTGGTCCTTGTCCCAGCCTGTGGGCGGCGTGGCTGCCTCCACCTTGTAGCAGGCCTTTCTTTACTGGGAGCACAGCAGGTGTGAGACAGCAGTCGAGGGACTTGAGGCACAGCCCTGGGGCTGGCTCTCCTGAGCCCAGGCAGCCAGTGACCTGTGACTCTGGCCTGCCTCGGTTTCTGTGCCTGTGTTCAATTAGGCACTCGCTGACTTTTACAGTCCTCCGTGCCTCTCATTGGAATTTGTCAAAATTGAGCCCACCAAAGGTTCTTATGTTCTGCCAGGAAGTGGCAGACACCCACACCCCAGGCCAACGCCTCCCTCCCCAACTGGCCTGCTTGGTGGGGAGCCTGCCTCCTGCCTCCCTTTGGGTTCCCGCCCTTCCTCAGGTGTGTTAAGGAATTATAGCTTAGTGCCCTTGCCCACCTGCCTCTCAAAGGTCAGCACCTTTCTAGGAAACAGCAGGAGAATGAAGACATGTCCTTCTACCAGAAAGGCCTTTCTTGTGTCCTCCAGTATCAGCTGAGGCCTTCTCGTGGCCTCCCCCTTGCCTGTGTCAATTGTCCCTTTTCCCATCCCCCAGACTCTCTGCCTCCGCCAAAATTTAATTAAATGCATTGAGAATCTGGAGGAGCTACAGAGTCTTCGAGAGCTGGATCTTTACGACAACCAGATCAAGAAGATTGAGAATCTGGAGGCGCTAACAGAGCTGGAGTGAGTCATGAGACCCACAGGAGAACAGCATGGTGGGAAGGCCACTGGGTGGGGGGTGTCCAGTCTCCAGAGCCAACCTCCTGCTGGCTCTTAGCCCTTGAGAGGCTGCCTCTGCCACAGGGTCCTGCCCTGCATCTGAATCCCAAGTCTCTGCCTCCTGTTTTCAGGGCTCCAGGAGGCCTCATCGGCTTCATGCATGTCTTTGGCTTCCTGAACAATCCTGACTTCCAAAGTAAATCTTTGATGGGAAGGCTGCAGTGGGGACTTCTGGAAAGCCTCCATTCAGGGATGATACTGAGATCGGTAGAGAGGAAAGTTAATCCAGAATTGCCTCTTGCCTTTTGAATACTCTTTTTTTTAATTACAAAAAAAAGTGACATTTCTAATTTAAGGAGTCAGGTCCTAGGCCAGGTGCAGTGGTGCATACCTGTAATCTCAGTGCTTTGGGAGGCCAAATTGGGAGGATCACTTGAGCCTAGAAGTTCGAGATAGCCTGGGCAACATAACAAGACCCTGTCTACAAAAATTAAAATTAAAATTAAAAAAGAAGGAGCCAGGTCCTAGTTATAACTTTACCTGGATTTCTGCCCTTTGTCGCTCATTCATTTTTGCTTGTTTTGTTTCTGTTTCTAATTCAATACTTCTCAGGCCCCTTCTGTGTGCAGAGCCTGGTGTGAGGTCCTGTCATGGGCACAAGTGTGAACAAAACATAGTTTCTGCCTCAAATACCATACTGGGAGCCAGGGCATCAGGAGCCTGTAGGCTGCCTCTGGCTTGCTCCGGGCTCCTGGGCAGCCTCCAAATCCCTCATGACAGCATCAGTGTGAGCCAGGCGGCAGCAGGGGCACAGTCAGAACCCCCCACCCTCTCCCACCCGGTAGTGACTGCCGTCCCCTGATGGGGACGCCACCTTTAGTGGTTAAATTGTGAGTTCTATGCAACCTATGCTCGTGAAATTTTTTTAAAAAACTGTTTTGGTTGTTCTCAGGATTCTAGATATTTCTTTTAATCTGCTGAGAAACATCGAAGGGGTTGACAAGTTGACACGACTGAAAAAACTCTTCTTGGTCAACAATAAAATCAGTAAAATTGAGAACTTAAGCAACTTACATCAACTACAGATGCTAGAGCTGGGATCTAACCGCATCCGGGTAGGTGCAGACAGCCCTGACTAGTATATTCAGGGAGAGGCAGCTAGCGGGCTGTGTGTGGACTCAGTGGGTGTATGTAGAATGCATGGTGAGTCTGCATTTCTTACAATGCTGTGATTTTTTTCATGAACAAGGAAATTACTATTTTTTTAAGAAAAAATGCTAACTGAAAGTCAGTATCAGTAAGTCCTGAGTGGTCTAGCCTTTCTTCCGCACGTAGATTTCAGTTGCTCTTCATCCAGATCATGACCCTGAATCACACTGTTCCCAGTTACATTCTGCCTGAGATGAACCAACCAACCTGAATGCCTTGCTCTTGAACTTCCTCATGGTCATCTTCTCTGGCATGCTTCTTCGAGATGAAAGTTTCCCAAGCCCAGCAAAGTGGTCACTTGGAGTGAACTGATGTACATACCGGGGCTTTAGAAAGCCTCTTGATCATGGTCATCTTCTCTGGCATACTTCTTCGAGATGAAAGTTTCCCAAGCCCAGCAAAGTGGTCACTTGGAGTGAATTGATGTACATACCGGGGCTTTAGAAAGCCTCTTGATCATGGTCATCTTCTCTGGCATGCTTCTTCGAGATGAAAGTTTCCCAAGCCCAGCAAAGTGGTCACTTGGAGTGAATTGATGTACATACCGGGGCTTTAGAAAGCCTCTTGATCATGGTCATCTTCTCTGGCATACTTCTTCGAGATGAAAGTTTCCCAAGCCCAGCAAAGTGGTCACTTGGAGTGAACTGATGTACATACCGGGGCTTTAGAAAGCCTCTTGATCATGGTCATCTTCTCTGGCATGCTTCTTCGAGATGAAAGTTTCCCAAGCCCAGCAAAGTGGTCACTTGGAGTGAACTGATGTACATACCGGGGCTTTAGAAAGCCTCTTGATCATGGTCATCTTCTCTGGCATGCTTCTTCGAGATGAAAGTTTCCCAAGCCCAGCAAAGTGGTCACTTGGAGTGAACTGATGTACATACCGGGGGCTTTAGAAAACCTCTTGATGCTGACACACTCCCAAAGGCAGTGCTGAGTTGGGCCTTCCTCCCTGGACAGCTTTATACTCCTGGACACCGTCCCCAGCAGGATTAGATCTGTTCTCCAGGATCCATTTGACCTTGAAAACGTGGGACAGAATGGAAATAAAAGAATTTTGAAAAGTGATCTGGTGTTCCACAGAAGCAGGATCAAGTCTTCACCAGCTGACTCATAACCACCGTCATGTGCTGGAGGGGAACTTGGGAGGGCGTCCCAGGAGGACTGACATTGGAGGTGGATCTGCCAGGCAGGGAGGAGGGAGGGTTCCCGTGGGCAGGAAGGAGGACTTCTCTCAGCCAGAAGAACACTTGAGCCCCGTGCCTGGCTCCTAATCAGGGTCATGGCACGGAGCCTTTGCTCCCCCGGCCTGGCTTAGTGGCTTTGGCAGCTGTGTCTAAGCACATCCGCCCCTGCCCATGTTCAGAATGCCCCTCTACTTGGCTTCTGGAAGTATTACAGCATTCTCTGTCTGTCCTGGGCCCTTGAGAGCTTGGACAGGATACAAACCAAGGGAGGGTGGTTTTGGCAACAGTCTCTTGACAGTTATTGTTAGAGATGTCATGGCCACAAATAGCAAAGCAGCACATTTAAAACTAGAGAGCAGCCCAGATGTCCGCATTTTACCAAGTGTCTCACTATGGAACTTTCTAGGGCAACAGTGGCTCATCACAAATTAATGCAGGCTACAGCATGTGAGGATGCCCCTGCCCCCGCCAAGTCCTGCAGTGGTGTGTGGATTAGCACACCATCTCCCCTCCTAGAGTCCCCACCTGGTTAGCATGCACCTTATCTGGTTATTTTGTGTCTGCTGAAATATTTAAAGAATGACTTGTTCTGAGAGAGAGTGAACTGACAGAGGAGGGAAACTGAAGTCAAATCAATAAACAGTCATTAAACATCCTGCTGTAGGCAAGTCACCATGGGGAGACCAGACAGGGCAGCGTGGTCACTGCCTCTGGAGGTTTATGGTTGAATAGAGGAGCACACGATCACAGCAAGAGTGATGTAGGAGGGTGTGGAAACTGGGCAAGAGGGGCAGAGTGCTGTGGTGTGAGGGCCCCCCAGGAATCCTAAGTGAGGGTCCCAGGATTTCAAAGACTTGAGGTCAGAGTGCCCCGTACCTCTCTTCTGTAGAGACTGAGGCTCTTGGGAGGACTTTTTTTTTTTTTTTTTGAGACGGAGTCTCGTGCTGTTGCCCAGGCTAGAGTGCAGTGGCACAATCTCGGCTCACTGCAAGCTCTGCCTCCTGGGTTCACGCCATTCTCCTGCCTCAGCCTCCGGAGTAGCTGGAACTACAGGCACCCGCCGCCACGCCCAGCTAATTTTTTTGTATTTTTAATAAAGACAGGGTTTCACCGTGTTAGCCAGGATGGTCTCTATCTGACCTTGTGATCCACCTGCCTCAGCTTCTCAAAGTGCTGGGATTTCCACGCCCGACAGGGGGACATTTTAATGTGTCAGCTCACAAATTTAGAACTGGAAGGGACTTGGGAATCTACTGGTCCTTGGGTTCTGAGACTGTTCCTCAGCACCCCAGGAAATCTGAGGGTTGGGAATGAGCTCAAGACAGTCTTGGACTCGCCACTATTGTATTCTACCTTCAAGTAGGATTTCCACTGGAAGTCTTAGCAGATACGTCACTAGCCCCACATCGCAGAGCTGAAGCCCACATAGCTCTGCCCCGGTCCAGGCACCTGCTGGCTGCCTGGGGCAGCCTGTCAACTGCAGTACTCATTGCTGTTCTGTCCTTTCCACAGGCAATCGAAAATATCGACACCTTAACCAACCTGGAGAGTTTGTTTTTGGGGAAAAACAAAATTACTAAACTTCAGAACCTGGATGCGCTCACCAACCTGACAGTCCTCAGTATGCAGGTACGGAGCTTCCTGAGCCGCCCTTCCCTGCGAGCCCTGGCAGGGCCAGCGCTGCTGGACACAATCTTAGTTTTTATCCTTCACTGCCTTCACAATTGGCACTTCGTTGCACTATTAGTAAGCAATTGAAACATTAGATGCCATAGACTTTATACACACATGTGCCAAGCAAAAACTTGATTCTCTTTTTTATTTTTTATTTATTTTTTTCACTTTTTTAGAAACAGGGTCTTTATCTGTCACTCAGGCTGCAGTGCAGTGGTGCTGTCATAGCTCACTGCAGCCTCCAACTCCTGGGCTCAAGCCAGCTTCCCACCTCAGCCTACCAAGTCGGTAGGACTACAGGCATGCACCACGACCTTCAGCTAATATTTTGTCAAGGGGGTGAGGAATGGAAGAGATGAGGTCTCACTATGTTGCCTAGGCTGGTCTTGAACTCTTGACCTCAAGTGATCTTCCTGCCTTGGCCACCCAAAATGCTGGGTTTACAAGCATGAGTCACCACTCGTGGCCTTTCTTTTTTTTTTAAGAGACAAGGTCTCACTCTGTCATCCAGGCAGGAGTGCAGTGACAAGTGCATTCATAGCTCACTATAGCCTCACACTCCTAGGCTCAAGCAATCTTCCCTCCTCAGCCTCCCAAGTAGCTGGGACTGCAGGTACACAGCACCATGCCTGGCTAATTTTTGTATTTTATGTAGAGAAGGGGTTTCCCTATGTTGCCCAGGGTGGTCTTGAACTCCTGGACTCAAGCAAACCTCCTGCCTTGGCCTCCCAAAAAATTTCTTTCTTAAGTGCCATGTTTTTGGCTTTTTCCACCCACCCACCTCCCCCTTCTGCCCCAGTAGCAGTCATAGATGGTTTTTAGCCAAAGGGGACTTCTTCAGAAGGTGGAGCTTATTCTAAATTCTAAAGTGTTTGGCTCAATGGTAAAAGCAATTCCTTCCATTGCACAGAGAATATCAACCCTGTTAGACTTCTGCATTTGGGAGTTGGTAAGCACTTGGGTGTGCCTAGGCTCCTGTTTACCTTTTGTGTTGGAAGCAAATTAGCAGAATTGGACCCTTGAAGCGAGATGGAACAGAGTGCTCTGGGGACGAGGCCCGGTATGGTTAGTTGATCCCTGATCCCTTCGACTGATACTGAGGGGCATGTGGAAACCGCTCTTAACCCTTGGTGAAGCAGAAGTTTGTCAGGCTTCTTTAAGAAAGTTCTTGGCCTGGTACAGTGGCTCATGCCTGTAACCTCAGCACTTCGGGAGATCTAGGCGGTCAGATCGCTTGAGCCCAGGAGTTCAAGACCAGCCTGGGCAACATAGTGAGAGCCCATCTCTAAAAAAATTAAAAATATAAAAAAAAGCTCTTAGGCCAGGCGTGGTGGCTCACGCCTGTAATCCCAGCCCTTTGGGAGGCCAAGGCAGGCGGTTCATTTGAGGTCAGGAGTTTGAGACCAGCCTGGCCAACATGGTGAAATCTCATCTCTACTGAAAATACAAAAATTAGCCAGGCATGGTGGCGGGCGCCTGTAATCCCAGCTACTCAAGAGGATGAGGCAGGAGAAATGCTTGAATCCAGGAGGAGGACATTGCAGTGAGCCAAGGTTGTGCCACTGCACTCCAGCCTGGGTGACAGAGCGAGAGTCCATCTCAAAAAAAAGAAAGAAAGAAATTATAATTAATTTACTTTAAAATATTCAGTAATTTTTACACTTTAAAATTATTAAATCAGGTAAACCTTCACCAAATGTATCTTTTAACAATGAGTTCTTTTTTTTGGTTTTTTTTTGAGATGGAATTTCGCTCTTATTGCCCAGGCTGGAGCACAGGGGTGCAATCTCGGCTCACTGCAACCTCAGCTTCTGGGTTCAAGCGATTCTCCTGCCTCAGTCTCCCAAGGAGCTGAGATTACAGGTGTGCACCACCACGCCCGGCTAATTTTTTGTATTTTTAGTGGAGACAGGTTTCACCATGTTGGCCAGGCTGGTCTCAAACTCCTGACCTCAGGTGATCCTCCTGCCTTGGCCTCCCAAAGTGCTGGGATTATAGGTGAGAGCCACTGCACCTGGCCTAACAATGAATTCTTTATATAAAAAACATGTAATTCCCATGCATGAATTTTAGCTCAGTACAGCAGGCTCAAAATTTTGATCCTCTTTTTCTCTCTACATGAGTCCCATTCTAGCATGTTTTTTGTTTGTTTGTTTGTTCGTTTTGAGACGGAGTCTCGCTCTGTCACCCAGGCTGGAGTGCAATGGTGCAATCTCGGCTCACTGCAAGCTCCACCTCCCAGGTTTACGCCATTCTCCTGCCTCAGCCTCCCAAGTAGCTGGGACTACAGGCACCCGCCACCACGCCCGGCTAATTTTTTTTGTATTTTTTTCGTAGAGACGGGGTTTCACCGTGTTAGCCAGGATGGTCTCGATCTCATAACCTCATGATCCTCTCGCCTCGGCCTCCCAAAGTGCTGGGATTACAGGCGTGAGCCACCGTGCCCAGCCCTTTATATATATATATTTTTTTTTGAGATGGAGTCTCGCTCTGTTGCCCAGGCTGGAGTGCAGTGGCATGATCTTGGCTCACTGCAATCTCCGCCTCCCGGGTTCACGCCGTTCTCCTGCCTCAGCCTCCCGAGTAGCTGGGACTACAGGCGCCCATCATCACACCTGGCTAATTTTTTGTATTTTTAGTAGAGATGGAGTTTCACCACGTTAGCCAGGATGGTCTCGATCTCCTGACCTCGTGATCTGCCCCACTCGGCCTCCCAAAGTGCTGGGATTACAGGCATGAGCCACCGCGCCCGGCCCCATTCTAGCATGTTTTAAGTGAAATTCTCTGTTCTTAGAATTCTTCAAGATAACACAAAACCTCGTTTCCTAAAAACCGTTTCATTTCATACCTTCTGTACTGTTCTGACAGCTGTGTGCTCTCCCTCTTGCAGAGCAACCGGCTGACCAAGATCGAGGGTCTGCAGAACCTGGTGAACCTGCGGGAGCTGTACCTTAGCCACAATGGCATCGAGGTCATCGAGGGCCTGGAGAACAATGTAAGACACCCACTGTCTGTCTGGGGCTGTGTGGGCGGTGGGCACCAGGCGGGCAGGCACCTGGCCAGCCAGCACACACTGGCCTCTCGGGCCGGTGTCAGGAAGATGCCCTGCCTCTGGAGGTTTATCAGAAAGACCTTCCCATCCTAAAAACTAAGGGACCCTTTCCTCATACTGAAAAGTGCAGGAGCTGTGTGTGCCTGTTGGCCCTCTGCCCTGAGTGTGCCTTGAAGGGCTGACGCTTTATGTGGGATTTCAGCACAGGCTTCCCTAGGCTTCCTCAATGGGGCAGCATCCATTGCACACCCACTGTGCACTGCAGGCATTTTGCAAGATTTGAAAAAAACAAACCCAACCTGCTCGTAAAGGGCCCTGTATGAGGGTGACTGGCATCCCTTTAGGCCACTGACCTGTCCATGGGTCCACTGGCCTCAGCCCCTACTTCCCAGCCCACAGAGAGCACAGGACCAGCTCTCAGTCCCAGCCCCTTCCTCTTCTTACAGTATGAGCAGCTTCCTCCTCCCCCATTCCTCCCTGCCTGCTTTCCACACCTGTCCTCACCTGTTCATGCTCCTCCCTCCCTCCCCGGCCCTTCTCACTCAGGTGCAGGACAGCCTCACGTACTGAGGGGAAGTGTGCTCACAGAGCCCCCACCCTCCTCAGCTGCCTCCAGCTCACCCTGCTCTGCCCCAGTGCGGTGTTCAAGACAAATAAAAGACTTTTTCTCATTCAATTTTACTTGTTTTTTTCTGTTTTGTTAAATTGCCAGCAAATACAACCAGATTGGTCTATAAACATAGTGTTTCAATCTCATTAAAGGCCTTTGTGCCTCAACCCCAGGGCCTAGTTGGCAGCAGTAAATTTCACCAACACCTGCATAAAATTTTGGAAAAATTCAAATTTGCCTGTGGAAAGTTTGGTCACCTTCCTTTGACTTTGCATTGAAATTAAAAGTTTATAAAACTAGCATGCAAACCAAGTGTTCACCTGTGTAGTTTAGAGTGGTAAGTCGAGACGTGCCTGCAGTGGAATGGCGCTGAGGACTGTGTGGCAGGGGCTGGGGTTGGGGCCGGGTGGGGTGCGCAGCAGGGAGCCCTGGTGCCCTCCTGCACCCTGGCCTCCCTGAGCCAAGGCCCTGCAGTCACCACCAAGCATCCACCGGGAGACAGACAATCTGCAGCACAGTTCACATAAGCAGCCAGTCCCAGGAAAACTGGAAAGAAGTGTGGTTCAGAATTTTACCAGTAGAAGTGCTACACTGTGATCTTGGTTAAACACCAGATTATTCTTGGGCCTCTGAAACAAAACAGAAAAAAAAAAATTGTTGTATTAAAGGTAATTACGTTATTGTAATCTTCATCATGATCAAATGTGACAGTCTTTCTTCTGCCATTTTTTTCAACTAAAGATCAGACAAATATTTTCTCCTAAGTTTTGTTTCTTAATTTATCTGGAATTTATTTTTATGGTGGGAAATAAGAAAGTAAATGTAGTTTTGTCCCAGGTGGGAACTTAGACGACACCCCCCATCCCAGTGTCTCACGACTCCTGTCTTGTTCTTCGTGTCTTCTCCAGCTCTGGGCTCTCCCGTTGGTCTAGAATATGTTTGCAGTGGTCCCTGACAGGTGTAGTTTCTGTGGCGTTGTGTCATGCCCTTTGGTGTGCCTGCTCTCCTCACCCTGTTCCATTCTTTTTTTCTGTTTCTTAAGCAGTTCTTACTAGTTTGCTTTTGGATGAGTTTTCACAACATTGTCCAGCTCCTGTAGAAAAACGTGAAATAGTGTTGAGTGCCTACATGGATCCCTGAGCTCAGAGGTGATGGACCGGTTCTGACAGCCAGAGCCCACCACCGGCTCTGCCCCTCGTGCTGAGCCTTGGTGCTTGGACCTCACGAGGCTCAAATCCTGCGTGTGTTCCAGGCCACTTTCATTTTGCCAGTTTCTGGGCTTGCATACCAGATGACCATGAGCATCTCAGAATGGTGCAGAGTGCGGGGGAGAGCTGCCGTCCGTGCTAGAGAGGCCTGTTCCAGCCCCACCGCCAGGCGGTGTGTCGTTGGATTACCCACAGTCGCGTCTTCTGCAACATTTTCCTGCAGTCCTTTTTGCTCTGAACCCGCCCCACTGAGCTCCCTCGCACACTGTTGAGCCTGATACTCTGTGAGCAGACCTGACCAGGGCACCGAGATGGGGTGGTTTGAAGGCACCTCCTAGGCAGCATGCCACGTATAGCCTGCTGGAGAGTGGCGTCAGACTTGACACACGCAGCTGGTGCCAGCTGGGGTGCTGGGCGCCAAGGCAGCAAGGGTGGTACAGCCAGAGGAGCTCCCAGGCCACAGCCATAGCGCTTTCGAATTGGGAAAGCTACTGGCTGGGTACATTTCAGGGGAGATGGGGGGAGGAGTATTTGCTTTTGAGAAATTTTTTAACTTTCCCTTAAAACTTAGAAGGCTTTGGAATTGGAATACCAAAAATGCAGTAGAAAACCAAGGAAGGGACTCAGGAGGGAGCAGAGCGTGAGGGCAGAGAAGGGAATGAACTTTGTCAGAGGTTCTCAGACAGCTTGTAAATGTTTTCCTTTTGATGAGAAACAAAATTATTACTCAGGCTTAGCTAACATGTATTGGAAAGTGAGTAACTGATGTGCATTTTCAGAGTAGAAGATCCTAAAAACACACTCTTGTCTCCCAGTGGGGGCACACACCCTGCAGCAGGTGCTCAGCAGGCCCAGCACCCAGTCCTCAGCATGGGTCCCTTCTCTGCACTTATGCTCCCGGGACCCTTTTCCCAGACAAGAGTGTAGGCCTGGGGTCTGAGAGTCCTGCCTCTCCCACTGCTACTGTGCGCCTGGGCAGATTCTTAGCCCCACTGAGCCCCAAGTTCCTCATCCCTAAATGAAGAGAGGAACTTTGTTTTGAAGATTACTTGGTCGTACATTTCCTCGTGATGAGCACTAAGTAAATGTTTCTACAATTGTCAGCCTTTCTTCAGAGCGTCAGGGGGTTACTCGGTTCTTCCTGGGACCATCAGTCTCACTAGGTCTGTCTCAATGGACAGGGATCTGGGAGGACTGGGCTTGGAGTCTGACACAGTCTCAAATTCCAGCGATCAGGAGAGCTCAGGGAGATAGCTGGGCAGGCTCTGATGGAAACACTGTCCCAGGGAGGGCTGCAGGAAGCAAGCAGGTCTCGTCACCCTCCATAGCATGCCCTTACCCTGTGAGGGCAGAGAGGGCAGTGCACCTGCAGCCCTAAGGTCAGCACTTGACACTGCCTGCGTGGTCATGCAAATCACTGTTGATCAGAGGTAATCCAGGAAACATTTTATTTCCTTCTTTTAGAACAAACTCACGATGTTGGACATTGCATCAAATAGAATCAAAAAGATTGAAAATATCAGCCATCTAACAGAGCTGCAAGAGTTCTGGGTAAGTTTAATACACGCTGGGGTTGATGACACTTTGACTAAACTGGTCTCACTGATTAAAATGTCTTATGAATGAATACAAGAATCTCCTGTAAGCCTTCATGCTGAGTGACTCCGCACATCATGAGATTTGGGGTGGGCGCTCTTGTAGACTTGTATTGGGTGTTGTCTGTGCTCCTCAGCGTGAGCCACAGATCAGCAGCATTGACATAGCTTGTTAGAAATGCAAAATCTTGGGCCCCACCATAGCCCAGATGAAAACTGAGTCAAAATCTTTGCTTTACAAGACTCCGGGTGATTGCAGTACACACAAAGGTTGGAGAAGCCCTGATCTAGGTATGGGTAGAACCTACAATTGTCATTTGACCAAATGGTTTGCAAACCTCAGCAGAGAGGCAGACGCATTCCCTACAGATATATTCCAGCACAACAGAAGGAAATGTTGGATGGGTTTCTGCAGTTAGTCATCTTGGAATTTGCCTTGTATTTGTCTTGTCACAGGTATGGTTTCAGGAGTAGTGTTGTGGAGTCAGCAGGAAGAGAAACAGAATATAAGAAGTTTTTGCAGTTCCTCTAAAGGGGTTGGGAAATGATCCCCGAGTGGAAGTCTTCAGTGCTAGGATTCCCTTAGAGAAATCTCCTAAGGTTTATTGCCTTTCCGCTAGCACGTGGCCCTGCAGAGACTGCGGCACAGGTGTCACCCTGTGATGCTGGGAATGTAGTAGTGTCCTCAGATACATTCAGTCTAATCCAGGATTCATGCTGAGTGTAAGGCATCATTCTTCCTTGTCTCTCCTCTAGCCGTGCTGCTGACCCTGCTTATGTCCTGTGCTTTCTCCTTTCCCCACTTTAAAAGGTCATCCAAGTTTCCCTAGAACACAGGTGGCCTGCTGCAAATGTTCCTTGCCCCTTATTAGTGGCACTGGGTCTTGAGTAGTGTCATGATGGGATACCAGAGCATGTCTGGGAAGATCAGAGCCAGAATTTGGCAGGTGATAAAGATGTACCAGGCCAGGGGGAGCCTCAATGAGTCCAGGTGGGTCTATGTGCAGCCCACCCTTGAAGGAAGGTGTGGCTGGTGGTAGGCTGGTTGAATTAGTGCATAGGGAGTTGGCAAAGAAGCCAGGGAACAACACAAAGAAACCAAACAACAGGAATAAGGAGTCCAGAGACAGAGGACCAGGTGATAGGGAAAGGGCACCTGGCAAAAAATTAGGGAGCAGGTTTGGGAAACGAGCTGATACTGAAGCAATGTTCCTGAAGCGTAACGATTCCTTCTGCATGCCCTGCCTAGGAACAGAGCATGGGGCACAGAGTGCTGAGACCACAGGCAGGGGCCAACCTGGGTACCACAGCTAGCAGGGAGGCAGGCAGGCTGGTGATCAATCACTAGGGGCCAGGTAGTGCCTGACCCTGTAACACAGAAGAATCCTGTTCCTTAGGCCACCAAAGATAGTAAAAAATAGCCAGAATTTGCACAGCGCTTTATGGTGTCCATACCTCTCTCCATTCTGATCCAATTATCACAGCAACCATGTGGATAAGGTCATATTACCCCATTTTACAGGTAAAGAATTGCATTCCAGGAAGGAAAGCTGCAAACCAGGAATTCTCAAACTCAGTTCCATGCTCATATCACATTTGAGAGGCACATCATTCATCTCTAAGGCAGAAATAGAAAACCAGTCTTAACAAGTTTCTGATAACCCACATACTATGTTTGTTGATTTTTCTGCCTATTTGTTCCAATTACTGAGAGGAGAATGTTGAAACCTTCCAACTATAATTGTCAATGGATCCATTTCTCCTTTCAGTTCCATCAGTTTTTGTTTCTTGTATTTTGAAAGTCTGTTATCAGGTGCATACATATTTAGAATTGAGGAATTCTTGATGAATTGATCCATTTATCATATGAAATGTTCTTCTTTCTTGCTTATCCTCTTTATCCTTGTCCTGGAAGGGTATCTTGTCTGTTATTAACACAGCCCCTTCATCTGTCTTATGATTAGCGCTCTCATGGAATCTTTCTCCATCCATTTCCTCTTAACCCATGCCTTTATAATTAAAATGTGTTTTTCATAAAAAGTATGTAACTAGATCTTGCTTTCTTCTCCAGTCTGAGAATCTCTGCCTTTTAAGTGGTGTCTTTAGACTGCTTACATTTAATATAATTACATTTAATTACATTTTGTGTAATGGTTGAGTTTAAGTCTATCATCTTAGTATTTGTTTTTTATTTGTCTCATCTATTCTTTGTTTACTCTTTCCTACCTACTTTTTGGAGTGACTTTTTTTTTTTTGCAGTCTATTTTAACTCTATTATTGGCTTATTTGCTATACCTCTGTATTAGTGTTTTCTTGTTGATTGTTTGGAGGGAGGGTTGTTTTAGCGATTAGAATTTAAAAATACATTTTTAATTTTCACCATCTATATATTTTACATTTAAATATCTTACGATCCCCATGATACCTTATCTTTTAAAGAAATTTAAAAATGGCCAGGCGCAGTGGCTCATGCCTGTAATCCTAGCACTTTGGGAGGCCAAGGCAGGTGGATCACCTGAGATCAGGAGTTTGAGACCAGCCTGGCCAACGTGGTGAAACCCTGTCTCTACTAAAAATGCAAAACTTAGCTGGGCATGGTGGCACATGCTGTAGTCCAAGCTACTCAGGAGGCTAAGGCACGACAATCACTTGAACCTGGCAAGTGGAGATTGCAGTGGGCCAAGATCGTGCCACTGCACTCCAGCCTGGGCAAAAAAGTGAAACTCCGTCTCAAAAAAAAAAAAAAAGAAATTTAAAAACAAGAAAACTCACTTATTTTACCTTTTCTGGCATTGTTTATTCTTTCGTGTGGATCTGAGTTTCCACTTGGTATTTCCCTTCCACCTGAAGAATTCTATTGTTTTGTCGTGCATTCTGCAGTAAACCAATCCTTCACTTTGATTTGTTTGAAAAATCTATTTAATTTGCCTGCATTTTTGGAATTTAATATTATGGATACACAATTCTAGCTTGAGAGATTTTTTTTTCCTTTTTAAGTACATTAAATACTTTGTTCTTTCATCCTCTGGTTTGCATTATTTCTCCTTTATAAAATTTTTATTATTTTAAAAATATTTTTTAAAAATAAATAGAGATGGGGCCAGACACGGTGGCTCACACCTGTAATCCCAAGGTGGATCACTTCAGGTCAGGAGTTTGAGACCAACCTGACCAACATGGCGAAACCCCGTCTCAACTAAAAATTCAAAAATTAGCTGGGCGTGGTGGCACGTGCCTGTAGTCCCAGCTACTGGGGAGGCTGAGACAGGAGAATCGCTTGAATCCAGGAGGCAGAGGTTGCAGTGAGCCAAGATCATGCCACTGTAGTCCAACTTGGGCAACAGAGCAAGACTTTCTCAAAAAAAAAAAAAAAAAAAAAAAAGGACGGGATCTTGCCATGTTGCCCAGACTGGTCTCGAACTCCTGAGCTCAGACAGTCCTCCTGCCTCAGCCTCCCAAAGGGCTGGGAGTACAGGTGTGAGCCACCACACACGGCCCTGGTTTGCATTATTTCTAATAAGAAGCCAGCAGTCATTTTTATCTTTTTTCCTCTGGCTGCTTTTTAATGTTCTTTTTAATCATTGTTTCTTATTTTGTTTTGTTTTTTGCAACTTGAATATAGCGTGCCATGGTGTAGTTTATTTTCTGTGATGTGTCAGGGTTAACTGGGTCTGTGAATCTATGGTCTTCATCAAATGTGGAAAGCTTCTGGAGACTATTTTCTCTAAAACTGCTTCTGCCCTTGCTCCTCACCCCGGTTTCTCTCTGAAAACCCAGTTATGCATGTTCCCCTGGCACTAGCGAGGCCCCTGAGGCCATTGCCTCCACCCTGCTCCACCCCTTGGGCTTTCATCTTGCTGTGCTTGTTTGTATAATTTCTGTTGTTAAATCTTCAAGATCATGATCTTATCATCTGTAGTAGCCTATCTGCTGTTAAGCCCATGTCATGAATTTTTTATTTCAGATACTGTATTTTTCTCAACTCTAAAAGAACATTTGGCTTTATTTTTTTTTTTTTGGTAGATTATTTTTCTCTCTTCATTAGATTCATGTTTTCCTTTAAGTCCTTCCTTCTTCACGTCTTGTAATTTTTTATTAGATCCTGGGCTTTATGGTGTTCAATTGTTGAATGTCTGGAATTTATGTTGTTTTCCTTCAAAACATACTGAACTTTATCTGACAGGCAATTAAGTTACAGCTTGATCCTTTTGAGGCTTGTTTTTAAGCTTTATTAGAGTACATCTAAATAGTCTACTCCGTAAGATTAATCTAGCACTGTTTTGAAGCTGTGGCCCTCCTAGGATCTCTGGTGAATATCCTGTGTATTTAAGTTCTCTCCACTGTGGTTGACGGGAACACAAACATGGACCTGCTATGGGTGAGCTCTGGGCATTCTGCATCTTGGGGCTGCTTAGTAGTTCTTCGACCAGCCTTTAGCTTTTCACTCTGCCTAGCACAGCTTCATCTTCAGTCCAGGATTCCACAGGATACCATGTGGATTTCTGGAGGCTTTTTCCCTACATAGCTCACTCCTATCTATACATTCCAGCTCCCTTTGCCTCCCCAAACTACAATCACCATCTCAACTCTGTGTGGCCACCAGGCTCTGCTTGGGTTCCGCCTCCTTGTGGTCCTGAAAGTTCCTCCAGGCAGAAGGCCGGGATGATCACACCACCCACCTCATTTGTTTCCTGTCTCTCAAGAATCACTATCTGTGTTGCCTGTTGTCTGATGTATAAAAACAATTATTTCATATATTTTATCCTCTTTTTTTTTTTTTTGAGATAGAGTCTTGCTCTGTCGCCCAGGCTGGAGTGCAGTGGCGCGATCTCAGCTCACTGCAAGCTCCGCCTCCTGGGTTCACACCATTCTCCTGCCTCAGTCTCCTGAGTAGCTGGGACTACCGGTGCCCGCCACCACGCCTGGCTAATTTTTTTTGTATTTTAGTAGAGACAGGGTTTCACTGTGTTAGCCAGGACAGTCTCCATCTCCTGACCTCATGATCCGCCCGCCTTGGCCTCCCCAGGTGCTGGGATTACAGGTGTGAGCCACCGCGCCCGGCCTATTCTATCCTATTTTCTAGTAGCTTGTGACAAAGGCAGGAGCTCAGCACCAGCTATTCTGTCATGGCTTGAAACAGAAGTCCTACTTATTTATCTTACTTTTGTGTCTGTCTCCCCCACTGTATAATACAAACCTCATAAGGGCAGGGAAATTAGTGTTTGGTTTACTTTGTTTTCCCTCCCAATTTCTTTATTGTGGTAAAACATGCATAAAATAAAACTCACCATCTTAACCATGTGGAAGTGTACAGTGAGTGGTATTCAGCACATTCGTAATGGTGCACAGCCATCACCACCGTCCATCTCCAGGACTCTTTTCAACTTATAAAACTGGAACTCTGTACCCATTAAACAATAACTCCCTATTTTCCCCTTCCCAGACCTTGACAATGACCCTTCTACTTTCTGTCTCTATGAATTTAACTACAGACCTCATATCACTGGAATCATGCAGTATTTATTTTTGTGACTGGCTTACTTCACTCAGCATATTGACCTGAAGATTCACCCATTCTGTAAGCATGTGTCAGAATTGCCTTTCTTTTTAGGGCCAAATAATATTCCGCAGTATGGATATTGTTTTGTTCACTCTTATCTCACCAGCATCTGGAATAGTGCCTGATACACTTTTTTCTTTTGAGACAGAGTCTTGTTCTGTCACCCAGGCTAGAGTGCAGTAGCATGATCATGGCTCACTGAAGCCTTGGCCTCCTGAGTTCAAGTGATCCTCCCACCTCAGCCTCCCAAGTAGCTGGGACTGCAGGTGTGCACCAATGACCTGGCTACATTTGTGGGTTTTTTGTTTTGTTTCGTTTTTTGTTTTTTTGAGATGGAGTTTTGCTCTTGTCACCCAGGCTGGAGTGCAATGGCACAATCTCACTGCAGCCTCCGCTTTCCAGGTTCAAACGATTCTCCTGCCTCAGCCTCTCAGTAGCTGGGATTACAGGTGAATGCCACCACGCCTGGCTAATTTTTGCATTTTTAGCAGAGACGGGGTTTCACCATGTTGGCCAGGATGGTCTCAAACTCCTGACCTCAGGTAATCCGCCCACCTCGGCTTCCCAAAGTGCTGGGATTACAGGAGTGAGCCACTATGTCTGGACCATTTTAAAATCTTTTGTAGAGACAAGGTCTCACTGTGGTGTCCAGGCTGGTCTCAAACTCCTGAACTCAAGCAATCCTCCTGCCTGGGCCTCCCAAAGTGCTGGGATTACAGGTGTGAGCCACCATGCCCAGTCAGTGCCTGAAACATATTTGAATGAGCAGAAGGAACATAGAAAAGGCTGGCCAACTGGGTGGAGGCCAGCTACAGATAACATTGGAAAATATGTTATCCACATGTGTCAGATGCAGGGCTAACATCCTTACATTAAAAACAGCTCACACCCAGGTACCACTTGAAAACTAGGGTGTTCACAGAGCAAGAAGTAACAGTTGCTTGTAAATACATAAAGCATTTCCTATCTCATTAATTTTTTTTTCTTTCTTTTTTTTTTTTTTGAGATGGAGCTTTGCTCCTGTCGTCCAGGCTAGAGTGTAGTGGCACGATCTCGGCTCACTGCAACCTCCACCTCCCGGGTTCAAGTGATTCTCCTGCCTCAGCCTCCCAAGTAGTTGGGATTACAGGTGGCTGCCACCACCATGCCTGGCTAATTTTTGTATTTTTAGTAGAGACGGGGTTTTGCCATGTTGGCCAGGCTGGTCTTGAACTCCTGGCCTCCAGTGATCTGCCTGCCTCGGCTTCCCAAAGTGTTGGGATTACAGGCGTGAGCCACTGTGCCTGGCCATATCTCATTAACTTTTAAAATCTACTAAAACAGTGAGATACAGTGTTATCTGTCAGGTTGGTGAAGACTCATAGAATGCAGCTGCAACCAGCCTGTGATGGCAGCAGGCACTCTCGTGACTACGGAGATAGCTGTGTTTCATACAAGTTTTCTGTAGGGCATTTAGAGCCTTAAAAATACCACATGCAGCTGGGCACGGTGGCTCACACCTGTCATCCCAGCACTTTGGGAGGCTGAGACGGGTGGGTCACCTAAGGTCAGGAGTTTGAGACTAGTCTAACCAATATGGTGAAACCCCATCTCTACTAAAAATACAAAAATGAGCCAGGCGTGGCGGCATGCACCTATAGTCTCAGCTACTGGAGAGGCTGAGACAGGAGAATTGCTTGAACCCAGGAGGCGGAGGTTGCAGTGAGCCAAGATCGTGCCACTGCACGATCAGGTCAGGAGATCGAGACCATCCTAGCCAACATGGTGAAACCCTGTCTCTACTAAAATACAAAAATTTAGCTGGATGTGGTGGCACGCGCCTGTAGTCACCACTACTCGGGAGGCTGAGGCAGGAGAATCGCTTGAACCTGGGAGGCAGAGGTTGCAGTGAGCCAAGATTGTGCCACTGCACTCTAGCCTGGCGACAAAGCTAGACTCCACCTTAAAAAAAAAAAAATCATAGAGAGCTTCCTAACCAAGATTTAAAAATCAGTGAAAAAAGAAAGAATAGGTATATCTAATTTTATAAAGCGTATGTATTTTGCATGATGAAAGAGTCCATTGGTCGCCTGAGAGGTTAAGGTTAAGGTTATTTTCTATGACATACAAAAAGTTCTTTAAAGTGAAAGAAAGCGATTCAATAGAAAAATAGGTGGAGGATAGCAATACACAGTTCACCAATATGATGCATCCCGCCCCTGCCATACGCGACTTGTTTCAAGCTGACATCCAGGGCCTGGAGGGTGGGCTGAGACCAGCACTGCCCTGCTCAGGCCCCCACCCTCTTCCCAGTAATCCAGGGGAAAGGTAGCATCACAGTGACCAAAGGCAGTAGCCAGGGGAGGAGAAACATTTGGCAGGAAAGTTTCCACCCTCATGGTGTCTGATGCCGGCATGGAGCCCATCTGCCCACTGCCCTGCTGGCACAGGGGCTTCCCCAGGACCCTCCCAGATGCTCTGTTGGCAGATGCTGCCCGCTCGTTTAAGCCAAGTGATGCCATTTAAATTACATTGCAGGCCTGCTCCATGCCACAGCTGTGCTTCCTCAGCCCTCTTGATGGAATGCTTTCCTGTAGGCAGCGCCCTGCACAAGCAGCCTGTGCCAGCTTGGCACCCCTGACCCAGGGCTGTCTGGGTGTGAGCTGCAAGGAGCGGGGGGCACAGGTAGGGGCTGCTCGAGGAGAGGCTGTGTGCCTCCCTCCCAGCATGTGTGCCTGGCCTGGGCCCACTTTCTGCTCCCCTTCAGTCTAGTGATGGCCATTTCATTAGGTTTCAGTTGCATTCCTTTAATTACAGATGAGTCTAACCCTGGCGCCTCTGTTTTCAACCACTTTGTCCTTTTGTTCCCTCTTGATACTTTCTGCTAGCTTTAGTCCAGTGCATTTTCCCTTTTATTATTAACTTATAGAGATTCTATCAATGAATGATACTAAACCTTAGTATGTCATCTGTGTTGCAGATACTTTACTTTGTCACTGGTCTTCAGCTTTTTTTTTTTTTTTTGAGACAGAGTCTGGCTCTGTCACCCAGGCTGGAGTGCAGTGGCGTGATCTCGGCTCACTGCAAGCTCCACCTCCTGGGTTCACACCATTCTCCTGCCTCAACCTCCCGAGTAGCTAGGACTACAGGTGCCCGCCACCACGCTCCGCTAATTTTTTTTTTTTTTTTTTAGACGGAGTCTGGCTCTGTCCCCCAGGCTGGAGTGCAGTGGCGCAATCTCCGCTCACTGTAACCTCCGCCTCCCGGGTTCAAGGGATTCTCTTGCCTCAGCCTCCCGAGTAGCTCACCATCCCCACGGACAGCTCTCGATGTGGCCGTGCCTGTGTCTGGCAGCCTCACCATCCCCACGGACGGCTCTTGATGGGCCGTGCCTGTGTCACGCATCTCCTTTGTTAAACTGTCATGGAGATTTTCAGAAAATAAGTGATTTTTACATTCTACCAGTTGTTTATGAAATGTATCTTAAGAATTCTACCCATCTTTTGCTTAAAACATTACTGAGTTTGGGGTAATTAATGTGAATTTTCTATAATATCAGCCAAAAAAATTGTGAAGGGAAATACAGGTATCCTATGTATGTATATGCAAAATACACAGATAGAAAACCCCATAAATACAAAATGCAAGTTTGGGTTCCAAAAACCAAAAGAGTCTGCCAGGAAAACGTCAGCCAAGAAGATGTTCTCTAGCAGAATCCCAGCCGTTGGTTCGGGCAAGGGATCAGCTGCTGAGATTACTGGGAAGGATGTTGAAGAAGGGATGTTTGCACACAGGCCCAAGGATCATGCCACAGAGAACTCGCTAATTGCAAAGGGAAAGCATGTTCCCAGAGTCATCTGGGGTCACCAGCTGATCTGCATGATAAAACTTAGCATCCCTAATTGTGGGACCACCTGAAGTGCTGTGTCCCCAGTGTGAGTCATCTGTGCAGTATACCTACCAAAAATGTTTAGTCTGATCTAACCAAGCATTCATACCTAACTTTGAGTTTATGGGAAGTGTAAGAGCTAGAAGAACAAGCTAAATGACAGTGAGGGATACTTTACAAGACAGTTCTTCAAGAAGCCAATTTTAGTTTTTAAAAAACAGTGTGAGAAGGACATGGGAGGTGCTCAAGATTAGAAGAGACTGAAGTGGTCCCTCTGGGGGAAAGGAATGTGCCCGCGCTCCCCAGCCAGGCTCCCTGACAGCCCCAGTGTGCAGAACTTGATAAGAGAAACATAAGGTCATCTTTTTTCCATGATGAGTGTAACATCTTTGCCCCATCCTGGGATTCAGGAGCCTCTGGAATGTCTATGGAGACAGAGTCTCATACAAGTGAATGTTTTTAGTTCCATTTTGGAAAAATGCAAAGATAAGAATCTCTGAAAGTTACCAGTATCAAACACATTATTTACACATTATTTACAATGCACCATTGGTGGTGAGTAGAATTCCCCGTGTTAGGTTTACTAAGTCCTGGAGAAAACTGCTCTGAGATTGGCAGTGCTATGGAAAATTACAACATCTGCAATTTATAAAGATGGTCCGCCCATCTAGACTAATAATGACATTGGAAAATGCTGTGATGTGTGAGACAAGAAGCATCTGGTGTGTGACAAACACAAATACATCACATATCGAGAAAGAAGGAGGTGACACAGCTTGAAGACCTCCCACGCCAGAGCTGAAAGCCTGAGTCAACTGCCAGTGGTGTTTTGAATCATTTTTTAAATAGACTATGCTACAAGAAAATCTTACTTCTTCCAAACAGTGTGATATTGCTACTTTCATTAAATGAATGTCCTTTTTGTGTGTTTTGTGGTAGAAGTGGTTAAGGCAGTGGTGTTCAGTCTTTGGGCTTCCCTGGGCCACACTGGAAAAAAGAAGAATTGTCTTGGGCTACACATAAAATACTCTAACGATCGCTGGTGAGCTAAAAAAAAAAAAAAAAAAAAAAGTGAAAAAATCGCAAAAAAATCTCAAAATGTTTTTAAGCTTACAGATTTGCGTTGGGCCTCATTCAAAGCCATCCTAGGCCATTTACAGCCTGCAGGCCGTGGGTTGGACAAGCTTGGTTTAAGGCGTGTGTGTGCATCATTTTCGTGACTCTCCACTTTAAGGGGCTCTTTCTGTTAACTGACCAGTGACCGGCCAATCACAGGCCTGGCAGGTGGATGGCTTCCCCTGTAATTCTAGTGTTGCAGGCTCTGCACTGGCCACACAACCAGCGGGGCGGTGCGAGTGTAGTAACAGAGTAGCATTTAAGAAGGTACGCTCACGTCCCGTCCACATGGAGGCACTGGTCGGGACAGCAGCAGCAGGGCACCAGCCCTGGTGGTGCAGCTCCTCCCAGCAGGTGTCAGTCCCTCTTCAAGGGCTAAGCTCTAGGATTTGGAATTCTTGGTTTCCCAAGGCTGGTACGCACTAGTCCCACAAAAGGTTCTGTGAAAATAGGGTCCCTCAGGCCAGGCGCAGTGGCTCACGCCTGTAATCCCAGCACTTTGGGAGGCTGAGGCGGGTGGATCACTTGAGGTCAGGAGTTCAAGACCAGGCTGGCCAACGTGGTGAAACCCCATCTCTACAAAAATACAAAAATTAGCCGAGCATGATGGCGAGTGCCTGTAATCCCAGCTACTTGGGAGGCTGAGGTGGGAGAATCGCTTGAACCCAGGAGGCGGAAGTTGCAGTGAGCAGAGATTGCCCCATTGCACTCCAGCCTGGGCGACAGAGCGAGACTCCCTCTCAAAAAAAAGAAAATAGGGTTCCTCAAACAGGCAAACCTGTGAGATGCACGTTATATTCCTCTCTGGGAAGCCCCTGACACACGGTAAGTTACTAAAGACAGCCTGGCTGTGACAGTGGACCTGGTGCAAAACTAGCCCTCCTGCCACAGACAGATAGAAAAATATGAAACAACTCTATTCAGGCAGTGGACAGCAGGCAGCACGCACCTGCAGGCTCTGAGGAGGGAGTTCCAGCGCGAGCCCCGTGATCACCCCACTCCTTACCTGGGATGTTTCCCAAGCAGAACACAGTACTTCTGAGTGGAAGAGGCAGAGATCAACATCTCTGGCAGCTAGAGTGTGCCAGACAGGGCCCCAGAGAGAAGGGGAGCTGTGCAGAGCAGAGGTCCAGAAGTCCATGCAGGGACCCCCCAGTCGGACCACAGCTGTGGGCAGGGCAGTGGGCAGTGTGGGCCCCAGAGTAGAACGCCCCTGCTTGCCTTCCGTTCCACATGGACAGTTCCCTTCCTAACTTCCCTGTAAAAGGAGTCGAAGTCTGTCACCCTATAACGAGTGCCCCTGCCTGTGCCCATTGTAGGTTCACAGTCAAGTCCAGCTGCCTCTTCAGGAGCAGTGCCCGTGCTCTTGCCACCGCGGTTTGCCTGGCAGGCCCTGAGGCCGGGCAGCTCTGAACATGTGATTTCTACACACAGGGTGTTTGAAAGGGAGGGTCAGACCAACAGGGTTTGAAGCTGGACTGGCTCCCCTTGTTCTGGAGATGGCACCACTGCACTCCAGCCTGGGCGACAGAGCGAGACTCTGTCTCAAAAAAAAAAAAAATGCAAGAGAACTCTTCCTGCCAAAGGCAGGTCCCTCCAACTGGGCATGGCAGGGCCAAGATGGTAAAATGTAGCCTGCAACTCAGACCTCTGAATCCCACCTGCTCACGATTTGTGTCCCTGCACTTGGTATTGGGTGAAAGCAGCAGCTGGGACTTCCTTGTGGAGAGAGCCATAGAGGTAATTTACAGAAGAGTTGAGAGTTTTAAGTAGAGCGGCCTCTGTCTGCTGTGTCACAGTGATGGCGCAGAGTGCAGCCTTGGGAATGATGGCTGAGAACTGGTTTGTAGAAAGTGCAGCCCACCCTGCTTTGACACTTGCCTATGGACAAGTGTAGCAGGCAGGTGGCCAGAACTGCTTTGTCCTTCCTCTGCTGACCTGAATGTGGACTTGGCCCCGTCATAGTGACTGGCCCAGGGTTGGCTATGGACAGGTAACTTGTACTTGGGATGCAGCTGAAGGTGGCCAGGATGCACCAAGAGGCCATGGAAGGTCCCATGAGGTGCCAGGGAAGACCCACACCTGCTCGCCATCTTCTGAGTGGGAAGGAGGAGGGTGGCTAGTGGACCCCACCAGAGTCGAGGGCTGGGCTGTTTGGTTCTAAAGGCTTTTCTGCTGTGTGTGTCCCCAGATGAACGACAATCTCCTTGAGAGCTGGAGCGACCTCGACGAGCTGAAGGGAGCCAGGAGCCTGGAGACAGTGTACCTGGAGCGGAACCCCTTGCAGAAGGACCCCCAGTACCGGCGGAAGGTCATGCTCGCCCTCCCCTCCGTGCGGCAGATCGATGCCACGTTCGTCAGGTTCTGAGTCCTTCTTGGCTCCTCATGTGGTCCCTCTCCTCGGAAGAACTGCCCAGCCACGGGTTTTTAACCCACCTGTTGCTCCTGAGGTCGTCACTATATCAACAGTCACAAACCCAATGGCAATAAAGGCACTGACGATAGCTGGCGCGCGCGACGTCACACACCATTTTCAGATGCCGTTGCAATTAAATCTTGCCACACTGTCCTCCTGGGTGATTGTTGACAGTTATTGTAGCCACAGAGAGAACATAAGACACGTTGCGTTCATTCGCTAGAAATCCCTGTTTCCTTCTCTCAGAAGGCAGTCACAGTCCCTACCTGAGTCGTGTGAAACACAGGGCCTGAGAGTGCTTTACAGGCATTCACGTGCTGTCCGAGTGGCATTCGGGGGCTGGCCTAGCTGGCCCTAGTCCTGGTGTGCAGGGTTCAGGCAGTCTTGACCTGCAACAACCGAGGTTTTTTAGTCTTTTAACCCAGCCATTTTCAATTTTTTAAAAATTAGGTAAGTTAAAAAAGCTGGGTAAAAGCTGACTCAGCCCTGTGTGCTTGTGTTCCTTAGAGCTCTCCTTCAAAGAGCGCCGGGCAGGGCTGACTGTTTTCACGTGTGCCCGTCAGTTCTCGCCACATCCCTTGCCTGTGGGTGAAAGCTCAGGTGTGGGGAGGGTGTCCTGTGTCCCACACGGTGCTGTGCTGCTGCCAGAATACGAGTCCCATTGAGCCTCTCCAAAGACGGCCTCCAAGGATCTGAACTCTTGGCCACTGGTATAGTGGCCTCCTGTTCTCACCCCATTGTTATTTTGGCTTTTTTAATATAAAATGTACATTGACAGACACCCGAAGTCTGGATTTAATGCTACCAGGGCATCGTCACCTCCCAGGGTCTCAGATTTCTCCTCCTGCAGAATGAGGGCCACATCATGTGGTCACCAAGGTCCCTTCTGCCTCCGGGACTCTAGACTCTAGAACCGTCTACTTGAGGAACCAGGACTCTAGAACCGTACTGTCCAATGTGGGCGAGGCTGCAGTGAGCCATGATTGTACCCACTCCAGCCTGGGTGACAGAGGGAGACCCTGTCTCAAGTTTTAAAAGGCTCCAAATTAATACCCAGCCATCTGTTCTTTAACAGACATTTTTACAAACATACAAAAAATGTGGAAGTGATGAGGAAAGGTATGCTAAATCCAGCACAATCCTAATCAAAATGCCATTTGATTTTTTTTTTTTTTAAGGAGTCATTCTCTGTCACCCAGGCTGGAGTGCAATGGCGCAATCTCAGCTCACTGCAGCCACCACCTCCCAGGTTCAAGCGATTCTCCTGCCTCACCCTCCCTAGTAGCTGGGATTACAGGCACCCGCCACCACACCCAGCTGATTTTTGTATTTTTAGTAGAGATGGGGTTTTGCCATGTTGCCGGGCTGGTCCCAAACTCCTGACCTCAGGTGATTCGCCCACCTCAGCCTCCCAAAATGCCGGAATTACAGGGGTGAGCCACCGCACCCAGCCACCATTTGATTTTTTGAGACACATTAAATTCTAAAATTTAATTTTTTTTCCTTTTTTTTCTGAGACAGAGTCTCGCTCTGTCGCTAGGCTGGAGTGCAGTGGCGCGATCTGTGCTCACTGCAAACTCCGCGTCCCGGGCTCAAGCGATTCTCCCGCCTCAGCCTCCTGAGTAGGTAGGACTACAGGCACATGCCACCACACCCAGCTAATTTTTATATTTTTAGAAGAGACGGGGTTTCACCATGTTGGCCAGGATGGTCTTGATCTCTTGACCTCATGATCCACCTGCCTCTGCCTCCCAAAGTGCTGGGATTACAGGAGTGAGCCACCGTGCCCGGCTTTTTCTTTTTCCTTTTTTGGCGAACAGGGTCTTGCTATATTGCCCAGGCAAGTCTCAAACTCCTAGGCTCAAGCTGTCCTCCCACCTCTGCCTTCCTAAAAGCTGGGATTATAGGCATGAGCTACCGTGCCCGACAAATTCTAAAATGTATATGGAAGAAAAAAGTCAACATTGTGATTCAATTCATTTTGAAAAAGAGCTGGGAGAGACGCTTTCCTACCAGATCCTGAGTGCTGCAAACCCACAGTGAGAGTGTGGGGGGAGGCCTGACCTAACAGCACCAAGACAGGGACACCTCAGCAGGAACCCAGGGGACTCGGGGACTGGGAAAAGTGTCCGGGGGTCGGGGAGGGGTGGACAGTGTCCTCATGATGTTGGCAGAGTGCACTATGTGGAAAAATGAACACTGCCCCTCCCTGGCATCACACACAGGATAGGCTCCAGAGCAATTGGTGATTCATGGGCGGTGGTGAAATAGGAAATCAGTAGAAAATAATGTGGGAGACTGGGCATGGTGGCTCGTGCCTGTAATCGTAGCACTTTCGGAGGTCAAGGCGAGTGGATTGCTTGACCTCAGGAGTTCAAAACCAGCCTGGGTAACACGGTGAAAACCCATCTCTACTTTAAAAAAACACAAAACTTAGCCGGGCGTGGTGGCAGCCACCTGTAGTCCCAGCTACTCGGGAGGCTAAGGTGGCAGAATCGCTTGAACCCGGGAGGCAGAGGTTGCAGTGAACTGAGATCTCGCCACTAGCACTCCAGCCTGGGCGACAGAGTGAGACCCTGTCTCACACCCCCAAAAAAGAAAAAAGAATGTGGGAAGGCGGATATGTGAGCTAGCAGTAGAGAAAACTCCCCAAGGCCGGGTGCGGTGGCTCATGCCTGTAATCCCAGCACTTTGGGAGGCCGAGGTGGGCAGATCACAAGGTCAGGAGTTCGAGACCAGCCTGGCCAACATAGTGAAACCCCGTCTCTACTAAAAATACAAAAAATTAGCCGGGCATGGTGGCAGGCACCTGTAATCCCAGCTACTCGAGGAGGCTGAAGCAAGAGAATTGCTTGAACCCAGGAGGTGGAGGTTGCAGTGAGCTGAGATTGCGCCATTGCACCCCAGCCTGGCCAACAGAGCAAGACTCTATCTCGAAAAAAAAACTCCACAAACACAACTGTAAGACAAGATTTTGATGGGTTTATTTACATAAAATTTTACATAGAACAAAAATAATGAATAATACCTGAATAATGGCAACAGTAGATTAAGAGAAGGCGTTTGCAGCTTTTAAAACTGGCAAGGCTTACCATTTAGAACTCCCACACATCAAATAAAGGAGACAGGAATCCTGACGGAAACGCAGGCCAAGGGCCAGAGTGGGCAACTCAGACACCAGGGGCCAGTGGCCTGTGTGGAGCCGCCGCTCACAGGAAGCTGGGCTGCTGGCTGCACCTGCAGACAGGAAGGTTAGAAAGCGGGCAGTGCAGGCATCCAAGAGTCTGTCCCCTGCGACCCAGCCACCGTCCGTCCAGCAGGGCTCCCATGTGGCTGGGGCGCAGTGCCAGGGTCCTCATGGAGGGAGCCCTGCACGCGCCTCCAGCCTCAGAAGGAGCCTCAGAAAGAGGCTGAACTTCAGTGTGGGCTCTTCACCACCACTTCCACCTCCACTAACTACACCCTAAGTATGTCCATAAATGTTACAGCCAGCCGGGCACGGTGGCTCACGCCTGGAATCCCAGCACTTTGGGAGGCCGAGGCGGGCGGATCACGAGGTCAGGAGATCAAGACCATCCTGGCTAACAAGGTGAAACCCCGTCTCTACTAAAAATATAAAAAATTAGCCGGGCGTGGTGGCGGGCGCCTGTAGTCCCAGCTACTCCGGAGGCTGAGCCAGGAGAATGGCATGAACCCGGGAGGCAGAGCTTGCAGTGAGCCGAGATGGCGCCATTGCACTCCAGCCTGGGCGACAGAGCGAGACTCCGTCTCAAAAAAAAAAATGTTACAGCCAAAGAAAGATGGTGCAGCAGATTCTGGGCCTGGGCTCTTCCCAAGGCCTGGAACCTGGCGGGCCCCCTGTGCTGGTTGCGGCTTTTCTCCCTCCCTCCCTTCCTTCCTTTCCCTCAGAAGTAACACAACTTGAAAAAACCACCCACCCAAACAGAGTTGTATGAAGTAAAAATGGAAAGACACTCCTCAGGGCCGAACCCCCTTTAGGTGTTGTGCGTGCACTGTCGCTGAAAGGGCTCCCACTGGGGTGTGGTCACCTCCAGCAGCCGGCCCTGAAGCTCTTGAGTAGACAGCCCTGAGGCCACCAGAGCCACTTTGTCACCAAGAGCAGAGAGCCAGGAGCTCCTGGGAGGTGGCATGTCTTCCTGGGAGGGTCCTTGGCCAATGACTGAGCAGAGTAAGAGCCTACAGTTGCATCCAGGTGAGGAAACGCTTCGTCTTGCCTCCCCTGCAGAGTGCCCATGGCAGGCTGAGGCCACCCTCCACAGGTCTTGGGGAGATGGTGCCCCGCTCATCCTCCCTCCCCTCCTGCCTCCCGACTCCTTTCCTGGTTTCTGGAGCACTTCCCCAGTCCAGCCCTCGTCCAGGGATCCACCTCAGGCGCCTGCAGGCTGAGCTTGGCCAAGCAGAGACCTCTCATGCAGATGCCCTGAGGCCCAGGGCCCCAAGGTCCTGCCGCCCAGGCTCTGCTGGTGCTGACAGGGAACCCGGCCTGCAGGGCCTTCCCGCTGTTCCGAGGCACAACACAGGTCCAAGAACAGGGCCCCTTGGGAGGTGCCAAGCACAGAGGGGCATAGGTATAAGGGAAAGCTGCAGCCAGGATGAGGGTCCGCCTGGAGGGATTTCAACAGGCAGAAGGGGGCACCTGGAACAGCAAGCTGAGCTTGGGGCTCCCCAGTGCAGTTGTGCATGGAGGGCGAGGAGCACGGGTGGTAGGTTCTCAGACACTGCCAGGCACCAAGGAGGAAAGGGGGAGGGGGAGGGAGAGGGGAAGAGGAGGGGCGGGGAGAAAGGATAGGAGGAGAAGGAGGAGGAGAGGGAGAAGTGGGGGGAGGGGGAGAAACAGGAGGAGGGGAGTGGGGAGAAAGGAGGAGAAGGAAGAGGAGAGGGAGAAGTGGGGGGGAGGGGGAGAAACGATAGGAGGAGGGGGAGTGGGGAGAAAGAGGAGGAGGAGGAGGAGTTGGGGGGAGAAATGATAGGAGGAGAGGGAGAGGGGAGAACGGATAGGAGGAGAAGGAGAGGGAGGAGTAGGGGGGAGAAACAATAGGAGGAGAAGGAGGAGAGGGAAGGTGGGGAGAAAGGATAGGAGGAGGGGGAGAAAGGAGGAGGGGGAGGAGGGCTAGGAGGAGAAAGAGGAGGGCTAGGAGGAGAATGAGGACGAGGAGGAGGGCGGAAAGGATGGGAGGAAGGCTAGGACCCCTCCTGTCCTTTTGCAGATGGGGCCCTGAGCATGGGATGTGCCTGAGGTCACCCCTCAGGCATTAGCAGAGCCAGCAGTGTGATCTGGGTCTCCCAATCTCCCCAGCCCCCGGGTGAAACCCTGGCCCACCACTCAGCACATGCTACGTAACCTCAAGGAGCCTCAGTTTCCCCCCACATAAACAGAGCTTACGAGGTCTGCCTGGCAAGGCTTCCAGCAGAGGTGGCACTTGTGGCTGTTCCTGTGGAATCCCACCTCCTCGAGACCCTCCAAGGCAGCAACTATGACAGCTGATGCCAGCCCTGAAATCTCTAAGCAAATAAGGTTCCCAGGAGGACGGCAGCATTTGCATGCGGGTGTGTGAAAGCCCAGCCAAGTGGGCTGCCTCTGTCTGCAGCTCTGAGCCCCACACCCCCTATTTAAACAAAGATAGATCCTGCTCCAGGAGCCGGGAAGCCTTGCCCTGGCCAGCTGTGCTGGGCACCTCCCCTGCCTGCTTCCTGGCCCACTTGCAGGCAAGGTGAGGGCATGCGAATGGCTGCCACTGCCTGGGCGGGGCTCCAAGGGCCACCCCTCCCCACCCTCTGTCCCGCAGTGAGGACGGGACTCTACTGCCGAGACCAGGCTCACGCTGAGAGGTGGGCCATGACCTCCGAGACCTCTTCCGGAAGCCACTGTGCCAGGTGGGGACCCAGCCTAGACGTGTGGGCCACAGGGAGAAGGTGGAGCGTTGGACTCTAGGGAGGCAGGGCGGCACCCCAGCCCACCGGGACTTTCACACACCCTGGCCTGTGGGGAGGCAGTGCCAGGGCCCGCCCTGGTCCCCAAAGCCCCTTGGGGCACGAGGAGGGACACACACTCAGTGCGGCTCTGGACGGGGTACACCCAGCTGGGGTTGGCTTCCTGCCTGCCCAGGGGCTCCCCCATGGAGCAGGTCCCTTCGTTGGGGTGGGGGGCATCCCCATTCTTTCTGCAGAGAGCTCTGAGGAGGGGCCCGCCTGCCCACCACAGAAGGATGGGGGCATGAGGGGCTGCTGGGTGGCCGAAACTCCTCGGGGACTTTCCTCCAGGAACACCCCACAGTCCGTAGTGAGGCTCCCAGCCTGGGGCCGGGGCCGAGTCCTAACACTGAGACCTGGCTCGGGCTTCAGGGTTAGGCAGGTGCAGGCGGCCCAGGCTCAGTCTCTGTCCCTCTGGGCCTCCGCTAATGTGAAGTGAAGGGTAGAACTAGAAGGCTGCCCCTCCGACCTCCTGCGGCGCCTCCATGGTCACACCCTCCGGTCATCGTCGCAGCTCCAAATGCCAGCCCCAGCTCGAACCCTCTCCTTCCAGGGCCACAGATGTCGTGCTCCTGGCCCCGTTTTGCCAGCCCAAGACTAGGAGCCACGGCACCTGTCCTCCCACAGAGAGAGACCCCCGGGGCGAAGGTGCGGGAGGAAGCTGGGACCCCCAAGAGTTGTGAGGCCGGGCTCCATCAGGCCCGCCTTGCTGGGGAGCTCAGGGCCTATGGGTCCTGGCACTGGGTCCTCAGGCCATGAGCGAAGGCAGGCGACTTGAGGGGTTTCCTGTCCCTGGCTCACATGGCTCCACCCTACGGATAAGAGAGGGAGAGGTGTCTGTACTCCAGGCCCACCTTTCTGGGCCTTCTCAGGCTCCACTGAGTACCCAGGCAGAGTGGACGGCATTCAGGGCTGGGGGACACGGGCACTCACTGGATGGACAGACAGACGCCTGCTGTGCCAGGCCTGCCAGACGCTCCCGCCCCGGCACTGGTTTCTTCCTGGAGCTCGTGGCTGGCTAGGGGGTTCTCCATGTGCTCATGGCCAGGAGAGTCTGCCGAGCCAGCCCAGCCCCATTCTACTCCGAGTCGAGTCTGTAAAGTGAGCTCACTGCAGGCAGTGTGGTGGCCCCAGGAACGGGTCTCACCCATCCCCTCTCTGACCCCCATCCCCACCCGGCCTTGCTGGGTGCAGGAGCAGGATGCTGCGGCGACGGGCCCAGGAAGAGGACAGCACCGTCCTGATCGATGTGAGCCCCCCTGAGGCAGAGAAGAGGGGCTCTTACGGGAGCACAGCCCACGCCTCGGAGGTAACAGCACCCAGGAGACTGTGGTGCGACTTGAGAGGTCCTCCCCTGCCTGGGTCTATGCCCCCACCCTGGGCCCAGAGCCTCTGGGGGTGGATGGGCATCACCGTGTTTCTCCTGCATCCCCCGGCAACCCCCAAGCCCTCGCCACCCAGTCCTCAACACACACAGTCAGATCACCGCTCTCCTGGCCTGGCCTGGCTGTGGAGAACCGAGCAGAACCCACTGATGTTCAGACAGGAGCTCCAGGAGGGTAAGGGGGGCCTGGCCAGGCAAAGGCAAGACCAGGGCGGGGCCCTCCCTGTGGTGTCAGTCCCAGTCAGTGCAGGGCCACAGCAGCACCCAGGGCCATCTGTAGGGCTCCACCTTGTCACTAGGAGGCCATGGATGCGCTGTGAGCCTGTGGGGAGAGGCTGGGTCCCGGGCCTTCAAGGCCATGCGGGAGGCCCTGGCCGTGGAGGGCCCTCTTCCTGGTTCTCCTGGGCCACACGTCTGCCCCAGCAGCCTGCGGGTGGACACGGGACCCCTTCCTGCCGCCCCAAGCACAGCTGAGATGAGCCTCCAGGGAGGGCACAGGGCCTCTCACCTCAAGCATCCAGACACTCTCGGTCGCCATGGCCAACTCTGTCCTCAGGGCCCCTTTGGGAGCAGTCCGGCTCCCCTCTGCCCCTGGAGGCCAGCAAGGCAGGCACCCCTGGTCCTGGCCATGCTTCCCGCCAACCTGACCCTTGCCATGGGCCTGGCCCAAGGAGGAGGGGAGCCGGCTGGAGGCCCAGGGCTGGTGGTGCCCTCTGGCCCTGCCTGCCGCTCCCCGCGCCTGCGCATCCTGTGCCCCCACACAGCAGAGGGGCTTCCCCCTCCACCCCCTACCCACCCGCCGAACATTCTTCTGTGGTCCTGAGTGTTCTGGGGCAGGGCGGGGACGGGTTGGAGGCGAGGACGGCTTCAGGGTGGGGCGGGGTGGGTGTAGTTGTCGAGGGCAGATGCTGATGCTGATATGCTTCTCCATCCTCCATGCCTTCCAGCCAGGTGGACAGCAAGCGGCCGCCTGCAGAGCTGGGAGTCCTGCCAAGCCCCGGATCGGTGAGCCCCTCCCAGCACCTGTACCACACCCGTGTTGGTCCTGAGGGTGGGGACACCACGGGGGTGCCCCCAGGGGCAGCAGGCTGGGGTAGCCTCCTCAGTAGCCACTCTGGGGCCAGTTGCTTGGGGATGGGGCACTGGGGTGAGGGCCTCGGGGTGAGCAAACCACAGTGGGAAGAACAGCAGGAAAGGGGGCTCCCTACTGATGGGGTGGGGCCGGAAGGGCTCTGGAGAGTGGACAGGGCTGCCCCCTCCCTCCTGCTCCAGTCCCCTCCACCATCCTCCAGCTGTTCAGCCACAACTCAGGTCATTTCTGACTCTTATCTCTTGCACTCCACCCCTTTTGTACCTTCAAAATCTCTTTGATCCACCCCCAACCCACTGCCTCTGTCTGCCCGGAGCTACCACCGACTCCAGGGGATTGCACCAGCACCAGCCGGGCTCCCAGCACCCACCCCGCCCACCCTGCTGTCCCCTCAGCACCAGAGAGACCCTAACCTCCTCCCACTAGGATGGCTACTACTTAAAAAAAATCACAAGTGTTGATGAGGATGAGCGGAAACTGGCTCACTTGTGCATTGCTGGAGGGAGTGTAAAATGGTACAGCTGCTAAGGAAAACAGCAGTTCCTCAGAGAATTCAGCACAGAGTTCCCGTAAAAGCCAGTATGTCTTCCCTGGGTGAGCGCCCACGAGCACGGGATGGGGGCCCCGGGGAGATATCTGTACACCCGCAATGTCATTCACTGTAGCTGGAAGGCGTGCATTCGTCTGCTGGGACTGTCATAAGAAGTACCACAGCCTGGGCCAGGCACAGTGGCTCATGCCTGTAATCCCAGCACTTTGGGAGGCCAAGGCGGGTGGATCACCTGAGGTCGGGAGTTCGAGACCAGCCTGATCAACATGGAGAAACTAAAAATACAAAATTAGCCAGGCGTGGTGGCACATGCCTGTAATTCCAGCTACTCGGGAGGCTGAGGCAGGAGAATCGCTTGAACCCAAAAGGCGGAGGTAGCGGTGAACCGAGGTCGCGCCATTGCACTCCAGCCTGGGCAGCAAGAGCAAAACTCCATCTCCAAGAAAAAAAAAAGTACCACGGCCTGCGGGGCTTAGATGGCAGAACTTTCTTTTCTCACAGTCTTGGGGCTGAAGCCCGAGGTGAGGGTGAGGCAGGGCTGGTGGCTTAGAGGCCTCTCTTTTGGCTTTTGCAGACGCGCCTTCTCCCTGTGTCCTCACACCCCCGGGGTCTCTTCCTCCTATAAGGACACGAGTTGTCATGGATTAGGGCACACCCTAATAGCCATCACGTGTCTTTAATGACCTAATCTCCAAATACAGTTTCATTCTGAGGACTGTGGGGTGGGGCTTTGACATACAAATTTTGGAGAAACTTAGTTCAGCCCATATCAAGGTGGAAGCCATCCACGTGTCCACCTACAGATGACTAGATAAGCAAAATGTGGTATTTACATCCAACGGATTTATTCAGCCTTAAAAAGGCAGAAAAGTCTGACACAGGCTGCAACGGGGATGCGCCTTGTGGACAGTATGCTACGTGAAATCAGCCAGTCACAAAAGGACAAATGTGATTCCACTTATATGAGGTCCCCAGAGAGTCAAATTCATAGAGAGAGAAGGTAGAATGGTGGGTGCCAGGGGCTGGGGACGGGGAGGGGGAGTTAGTGCTTAATGGGCGTAGGGATTCAGTGGAGATGGATGGTGGTCATGGCTGCACAAGAATGTCAATGTCCTTAGTACCAATGACCTGTACACTTAAATGTGGTTAAGATGGTTTTTTGTTTGGTTGGTTGGTTTTTTGTTTTTTGTTTTTTGTGTTTTTTTTGAGATGGAGTCTCACTCTCACCCAGGCTGGAATGCAGTGGCACAATCTCGGCTCACTGCAACCTCTGCCTCCCTTCGCACCATTCTCCTGCCTCAGCCTCCCGAGTAGCTGGGACTACAGGTGCGCCCCACCACGCCCGGTTAATTTTTGTGTTTGTAGTAGAGACGGGGTTTCGCCATGTTGGTTGGGCAGGTCTTGAACTCCTGACCTCAGGTGATCCGCCCGCCTTGGCCTCCAAAAGTGCTGGGATTATAAGTGTGAGCCGCCACGCCCAGCCTAAGATGGTTTTTTAAAACGTAGACAGCCCTTATTTTCTCAAAATCCTCCACACGCCCCCTCTGTGTGTGTGAGGCTTAAGGCATCCTCGCAGCTGCCTGTGCAGCCACAGGCCTACCCCTCCCTCCCAGCCCCACCAGGCCCTCAGACCACATCTCCTGCTACCAGAAGCTCCCCACCCTTCATTCCAAGACAGCACCTCCCAAGATACAATCGTTTTAAACTTTCATATAAAGGTAGAATATATTCTATCCTCTGAGAAAATCATGCCTTTTATCAATATTAATTGTGCCTAGAAAATTGTCTATCCATAATCATGCTTTGTGTCTTAAAATCCATTTGGCCTGGTATTGTTAAAGTTTTGTCAGTTTTGTGTGTTCTGTTTTGTGTCAAAGGGATTAACGTATGCCTGATGTATTATTTCCCATATTTAGAAAGTGAGTCTTTCAATCCTCAAATATGGTATTTTCTCCATTTATTTAGGTCTACTTTAATTTCTCTTTTCTTTCTTTCTTTTTTTCTTTTTGAGACAGAGTTTCGCTCTTGTTGCCCATCTGGAATGCAAGGGCACGATCTTGGCTCACTGCAACCTCCACCTCCCAGGTTCAAGTGATCTCTGGCCTCAGCCTCCCAAGTAGCTGGGATTACAGGCATGTGCCACCACGCCTGGCTAATTTTGTATTTTTAGTAGAGACAGGGTTTCGCCATGTTGGCCAGGCTGGTCTCGAACTCCTGACTTCAAGTGATCTGCCTGCCTCGGCCTCCCAAAGTGCTGGGATTACAGGCGTGAGCCACCGTACCTGGCCTTTAATTTTTTTTTTTTTTTTTTTTGCTGCTTTCGTGAGATCTTGCACATCTTTTAGTAGATGTATTCCAAATAGCATTACTTGGAAAATTTCACTGCCTATGTGTCATAGGTATATAGAAATTATTTATTTCCTTTTTTTTTTTTTTTTGAGATGGAGTCTCGCTCTGTTGCCCTGTTGCCCAGGCTGGAGTGCAGTGGCGTGATCTCAGCTCACTGCAAGCTCCGTCTCCTGGGTTCACACCATTCTCCCGCCTCAGCCTCCTGAGTAGCTGGGACTACAGGTGCCGGCCACCACGCCCAGCTAATTTTGTTTTTGTATTTTTAGTAGATATGGGGTTTCACCGTGTTAGCCAGGATGGTCTTGATCTCCTGACCTCGTGATCCACCTGCCTCAGCCTCCCAAATTGCTGGGATGACAGGCGTGAGCCACCAAACCCAGCCACAATAAGATATTGTAAAAGAGCGAGACAGAATGCCCACATTCACATAACTTTTACTGCAGCATTTTGTTATAATTATTCTGTTTTATTATTAGTTATTGTTCATCTCTTACTTTACCTAATTCATAAATTAACCTTCACCATAGGAATGTATATCATAGGTATGTACGTATTATAGGTATGTATAGGGAAAGACAGTATATATAGGTTTGTTACTCTGCACAGTTTCAGGCATCCACCGGGTTCTTGGATAGATCCCCTGCAGTTAAGGGGACTCCGTTGTCCTTACTCCTCGGGTGTGGCCTGCGAGTCTCTGCTGGATGACCAGCGTGTTCCAGCTGGAGCTCAGATTCCCCAGCACTGTGTATCCTCTGGAATCTTTGTCAGCCATGGGCCTCCAGCAGCTGCCTCTGTGTATGAATAGCTTGGTGCTCCAAGGGCCTGGGGGACTTTCTCACAGACCCGGTGGCTCCGTCTTCTTCCCAAGCTCCAGCCCCCTTAGCAGCACCTAATTCAAATGCCCATTCGCCTCACCCACCAATGCCTCTGCTTGGGCTCTATTGCCCTCCCTGTCGTTTGGGAAATGCCCCAGGAGGAAGTGAAGGGAAGGGAAGGCTCACCTCGCACGCTCCTCTTATCTGGAGCGCCTGAGCCCAGCATCCATTGCTGTCTCATGCCAGAAAATCAGGGGCTTCGGAAACTTTCTTCAGCTTTGATGATTCTCTATGGCAGGACGGGAAGTCTGACAGTGACTTGCACCTGAGGTCCTTGAAGACCCCTGTAGGAGTCTGGGACTTACCCTGCAGGGATGAGCACCATAGCAGGAATCTCAGAGGGCCATACCCAGCCCCTCTCCAGGCCTCCGTTCCCCACCCAGGCCAATGCAGGGCTGTCCTGGAACCTGGAAGTGCTCCTGGAGTCCTCCTAGCCCTGGCTGGGACCAGAGAGGGGATCGGGAAGGAACCGGCCCTGAGTGTCCAAGTGCATGGCTCCCCACTGCGTCCCGGCTGGGATGCTGGCATCCCTTCCCTGGGCCGGCCACTGCCACTTAGCCAGGCTCCTGCCTCTGTCCCTGTTGGCTCCCAGCAGACTTCGTCCTCGTTTGGGAGGAGGACCTGAAGCTAGACAGGCAGCAGGACAGTGCCGCCCGGGACAGAACAGACATGCACAGGACCTGGCGGGAGACTTTTCTGGATAATCTTCGTGCGGCTGGGCTGTGTGTAGACCAGGTACGTGGAGGCTGTCATGGGCAGGGCCCTAGGCCCTGCATCCACTCAGTGACCCATGACCTTGCCGCATGAGGCCTGAGGGCATGGTGTCCAGAGTCCCAGAGCAGATCAGGCCCCAAAGTCCTGCTGGACCCCCCAGCCACCGTGAGCTCCTCCGTGTGGCTAGGGAGCTGCTGTCCAGAGGCGGAGGTAAACATTGATCCCTCCTGCACACTCAGCTCTCTCATGGAAGTCGGAGCCCTCAGGGTCACCTGAAAACTCTGACACTACCTTTGCCATTCACCTGTCCCGTCTCCAACATTAAAGCTTTTGGGTAGGCGTGTCATTTGTGTTTATGACTCTCAGTGTGCTTATAGAATTAACAGCTTAAAAAGTCCTTTCACATGTTTGCTTTCGGTGATAATGGTAGGTACCACTTAGAATCATTTAAGCAACAGGTCCGGGGAGCGTGAGAAACAGGAACTAGGCGTGAGGATGCTGGGTGTGCGGGCACAGGCAGGCGCAGGTGGGGCTTGGGGCAGCTGGGGATTGGGGTGCAGAGCCCAGCTCTCACCCTGCTGTGTCCCCCACTCATTGCCAGGTCTGTCCAAGCGGCTCCTTCCTTCTCTGCCCTCCTCTGACCACCTTCCTCTGTCCCCAGGAGCAGGCTGTGCTGTCACCTGTCCTCTCCCTCTCCACAGAGTAATCGATCCTGAGTTTTATGTTCATCCCACTCGGGGTTTCTTTACCATTTTAGCGCCAATTTTACATAATCAAGCAATACAGCCTGGCTTTGTCTGTTTGAGATCGGCAGAGCTGAATCTCATGCGGGGTCATTCCTGCGGTGAGGCCCGCCCATATGGCCAGTGACTGCTGCCCCGGGGCCCACCCTTGCCTTGCCGCAGGCAGCTCACATGTGAATGCCGGTCTTTGCTTATGGATGCCGTGAGAATGGGCATTTGACTTGTTCCCAGTCTGGGATGATTATGAAAATCAGCTACTGTCAATTCATTCGTGTGTGTGTGTGTGTGTGTGTGTGTGTGTGTGTGTGTGTGTGTGTCCTTGTGCCTGTGTGCAGGGACTTCTGGGAGTAGGGGTGCCGGGCCGAGGCATGTGCATATGGCCAACCACTCCCCACGTGGTGGCCCCATTTCCACCATCGGCAGTGGCCTGAGGCCCCTTGCTCTGTATCTTCTCAACACTTGATACTGCAGACTTTTAACGTTTTACCAACCAGTTGGGATATAGTGGTGGCTCACCGTGGTTTGTGTGCTTGTTTGTTTGTTTGTTTTTGAGAGAGAGTCTCGCTCTGTTGCCCAGGCTGGAGTGCAATGGCGAGATCTTGGCTCACTGCAACCTCCACCTCCCGGGTTCAAGAGATTCTTTTGCCTCAGTTTCTCGAGTACCTGAGATTACAGGCACCCACCACCACGCCCAGCCAATTTTTGTATTTTTAGTAGAGACGGGGTTTCACCGTATTGCCCAGGCTGGTCTTGAACTCCTGACCTCAGGTGATCCACCCGCCTCGGCCTCCCAAAGCGCTGGGATTACAGGCGTGAGCCACCGCGCCAGGCCTAACGAGACAGGGTCTTGTTCTGTTGCCCTGGCCGGAGTGCAGTGGTGCAGTCACGGCTCTCTGCAGCCTCAATCTCCCGAGGCTCAAGCCATCTTCCCAGCTCAGCCTCCTGAGTAGCTGGGACTACAGGCCCACACCACCATGCCCGGCTAATTTTTTGTAGAGATGAGGTCTCACTTTGTTGCCCTGGCTGGTTTGGAACTCCTGGGCTCAAGCAATCTGCCTGCCTTAGCCTCCCAAGTCACCTGCCCTTTTTTTTTTTTTTTTTTAGACAGGGTCTGAATCTGTCACCCAGGCTGGAGTACAGTGGTGTGATCTTGGCTCACTACAACTTCTGTCTCCTGGGTTCAAGTGATTCTCCTGCCTCAGCCTCCCGAGTAGCTGGGATTACAGGTGTGTACCACCACACCCAGCTAATTTTTGTATTTTTAGTAGAGGCGGGGTTACCCTATGTTGGCCAGGCTGGTCATGAACTCCTGACCTCAAGGGATCTGCCTGTCTCAGCCTCCCAAAGTGCCGGGATCACAGGCATGAGCCACCACGCCCGGCCTCACCTCCCTCTTCCTTATTAAGGCTTAGGAGCTTGTTGTCTGTTCTGGACACTTAGCCATTGCTGGTGGCGTGTGTGACAGACATCTTTCCCCAGTCCTGGCTGGCTGTCCTGGTCATGATGGTGTCCTGGTTGGTTTTAACCTGCTGTGGACTGAGTTAGTCCTGCGTCCGACTCCCCTCCACCTTCCGTGCCTTTCTTCCCTCACCCACCTTCTCATTCCCACGTTGCCTACTCCTTGTCCAGAACACACAGGGAGCAGCCCCTACTTGCCACATCACCCCACCCCAGGGTGCCCCTCCCTGCCCCGCTCTCCCTGGCTTCCTTCCAGTCCTTCTCAGGTGTTGGCACATGGAGCCCACAGAGCTAACAGCCACCCCACTCCTGAGTTTGGATCTGCTTCAGTGTCTGGGAGGTGGAGGTGAAAGACACCTGCTTTTATTATGGACAGAGCTGATTGGGTGGCGTGGTCCCATGAGTTTTCAAGGTCATCATCCAGACTCGAGCAGGTTTGCCCTTTAGTTGAGGGCAGGGGGGACTACTGCAGGGGACGCCGGTGGCCCCAGCACGTTGCCCAAAGTGTGCCTGGTCTGCGGTCTGCAGGACAGTTCTCAGCTCTCACAGAACATCACGGCCAGCTGGGGGCCAGGGTCTGCCCTTGACTCTGTTCCACTTCGCCCAAGGTGGGGCCGGGACTTTGGCACTTAGGGAACCCCAGATGGCTGTGAGGGCTGAGGACCACTGGACTAAATGGGATGGTGCTGAAAAGCAGTTATGCACTCAGAGGAGGCACTTCTGCACTGGACTGAATCAGATCCCTGTCTCAACCCACCCCGGGCTCCAGGAGCACCTGTCACATGTTGGCACACATGTGCACATGTGAACATAGACAGTAGTGCTCACCTATATGTACACACACATACACACGGAAACATGTCCGTGCACAGCATGCATGTACACCTGGTGACCGATCAAAGGTGAGGCGACGTTCGATGTTGAAAACCAAAAGCTGGAGGCACTGCCCCTCAAGCCAGGAGGCAGGCGTGTGTCAGCATAGTCTGGCCAGCAGGGCAAGGCTCTCCCTAGCCTTAGGGGAGGCTGCAGGTGACGCCGGTCCCAACAGCATGCTGTCTGCAGCAAATCTGTTGCTGGGGCCGACTCCCAAACGGGGCTGTCGAGGCCCGGTTGGCTTTCAGAGGCGTATCCATGGGAGTAGGTGTCATGTATCAAATAGGAGATTCAAAGTCAGCTGTTACCACGGCTACAGAAATGCCAGTCTTTTCCTAAGAGTGCGAATGGACACACACATGTGCATACGTGCACACATGCACCCTCAGGCTCTCACGGAGCCCTGGGTGCCTACAGCAGGACGTCCAGGACGGGAACACCACAGTGCACTACGCCCTCCTCAGCGCCTCCTGGGCTGTGCTCTGCTACTACGCCGAAGACCTGCGCCTGAAGCTGCCCTTGCAGGTACGTGGGAGGCATGGGGACAGGGTGGGCCTGGAGGTCCCGGTCCCCACACACTGCGTTCAGCTGCCAGTGCCGACAGCCTCAGGAGGGCTCCCTGCTCAGAGGCCTCAGGGGCTCCTCCTACCCACCCCGACACCAGGCCCCAAGAAACCTCACTGGGCAAACAGGGCAGGTGGTGGCATCCCCCACAGTGGGCTCCCGGGAGGTGGGGTCGGGTGAACAGTGCGTGTGCACTGAGCTGGCCCCTCCAGGCCCAGACCC